>NC_000016.10:26971334-27274364 GCF_000001405.40 Homo sapiens
CACATGGGGCAAAAGAATAGCCTAGCTGAGTCCCACTCAAATTAATAACCCACAGAACCATGAGAAATAACAAATCAGTATTGTTTTAAGCCATTAAATTGTGTTACACAGCAGTTGATAACTAAAGCATAAGCCAAGCTAGACCTTTGCACTTACAGCCTGTTTTGGCCTGGAATTCTCTGTCCACAAGTCTCCTCTGGTTTATTCCTTGTGACACTGGTTCAAATGTCACCTCCCCAGAGAGGCCTTCCCTGATCACACCATCTAAATTAGGACCTCCACACAAGGCCTCATAGCATTCTGTGTTAGTGTCTTCAAAACAACTGATTGCTATCTGAAACTATCTTATTTTGCTGACTGACTCCTAGCCTCCAACCTCAAATGGAAGTTCTATGAAGGCCGGAATATTTTGGTCTTGTCCATTGCCATATTCCCAGGGAACATAATAGTGTCTGAAAAAACATATGTTGAGCCAGGCAAGGTGGCTCACTCCTCTAATCCCACCACTTTGGGAGACTGAGGCAGGTGGATCACCTGAGGTCAGGAGTTCAAGACCAGCCTGACTAACATGGTGAAACCCCATCTGTGCTAAAAATACCAAAATTAGCTGGGTGTTGTGGCACTCACCTGTAATCCCAGCTACTCGGGAGGCTGAGGCAGGAGAATCCCTTGAACCTGGGAGGCGGAGGCGGAGGTTACAGTGAGCTGAGATCATGCCACTGCACTCCAGCCTGGGTGACAGAGCAAGAGAGAGAGAGAGATGTTGAATAAATTAATTTCATGTGACAGGTCCCAAAGCACCCATTTAAGGCCAGAAGATGTTTTCTTGCTGATCTCAAGGGGGTACAAGAGTCCCTTTATTTGGGCTAAAATCAAGGAGTTGCCCAGGGCTGCTTTAATAAGCAACCTGAACTTAGGGGCCAACGAGAACTTCTGGCTCCAATGGGCTGGTAAACTACTCCCTGGCAGGGTGAATGAAGAAGTGAATTGGGCCCTCACCAGCAGCTGCTATGGATGGGTGGGAACAGATGGCTACAACCTCGGAAACTACCATCAACTTCACTCTTTCTCTACAGCACAATACTGCAGTGGCAGAAGGCCCTTTCCTACCTCCAGCCTTCCCAAATCCTTCAGCCTGATGTATCTTTTTTTTTTTTACCATCATGACCCAGCACAACTGTTACCACTAATGCTTTCATGCAGTAGAAAGTGTTTCCAAAGCATGCTCCCCAGACCAGCAGTGTCAGCAGCACTGGAGCACTTGATAGGAACGCAAATTATCAGGCCCCACCGAGACCTCCATGGGACTCTAGAGGCGGGGCCCCAGCACTCAGAGTTTTAACAAAGCTTTCCAGGAGATTCTTGGGCATGCTAAAGCTTGATAATCATTGCTGTAGAAGAAACATGTTAGAATTTGACTCACCTGGGTTCAAATTCCAATTTGGTCTAATTATCAGATGTGAGACTTTGGGCACATGACTTAATCTCTTGGGCCTCAGTTTCCTCTTTTGCATGTGAGGATTATGTCTGCACCCTGGTAACTCATCCTTCCTTGACTTGTCTATGACAAAGTCTCTCACAGCACCAGGTAGTTCTTTCCCAAAACGATTGCAATTTTACACACACACACACACAAACACACACACACACAGAGACTGCACATATACATATATATCCAATCCATTTTGGATTATTGCTCAATCATTTGGGATTACTGCCTTAGTTTCCCCATCTGTAAAATGGGGATGACATTTACCAATCACAGTACCTCCCCCATGTGGTGTGGTTCAGAGAATTCCATGAGCAAATACAAGGAGTAAATACAATTCATTTTGTGATTACTTATTTAACCTCTACTTATTCCCCTACTGGATTATGAATTTTATGAGTCTTTGCTCCCCAGCAACCTCCTCAGGGTCTAGCTGTGTGCCTGGCACAGGGTAGATGCATAACAAATACTTGTTAAATGAATGATGAATGAATGAATGAAATAATATGCATATTCTATACTCCTTGTATACTCATTGCATTAATCTATTTATATTCTACCAATGTCCAACTAACCCCGCCATCTGGAACACACTCTTTCCTATGACATCCTTCTGATGAATGCCCCATCTGGCCTTTCTTGAAACACATGATGGAATAGTGGCTACGAAAGTGGACTCTGGATCCAGACATCTCATCCAGTTCCGTCAATCACAAGTTTCATGAGCTTGAGCAAGTGTATGACTCCACTGTGCCTTGGTTTTCCCTTCTGTAAAATGGAGATATTAGCAATAGTGGTACCTTCCCCGTGAGATGTAGTTCAGAGAATTCTATGAGCAAACACAAGTATAGCATTGATCTTCACACCTGGCTGAATGTTGGAAATATTGGAAAGCTTTTGGAAAACACTGATGCCTGAGTTTCATACCCAGGTTTCTGATTTAATTGGTCTGAGGTTAGGCCCAGGCATTGGGATTTTTAAATTCTTCCCAAGTGATATAAATATCCAGGAAAGTTTAAGAATGACTAATACAAAGTGCTTGAAACAGTACCTGGATACTGAGGTCATTCCTCAGGATCCATGGGGAATTGGTTCTAGGACCTCCTGTGGATACCAAAATCTGCGGATGTTCAAGACCTTTATATAAAATGGCATAGTATTAATATTTACATATAAACCTATGCTCATCCTCTCATATATGTTAAGTCATCTCCAGGTTACTTATAATACCTAATACAATGTAGATGGTCTGGAAGTTGTTTTTATACCATATTGTTTAGCAATAAGGACAAAGAAAAAGTCTGTACATGTTCAAGACAGATGCAAGTTTTTTCAAATATTTTCAGTCCACAGTTGGTTGAATTCATGCATGTGGAACCCATGGATACTGGATACCAAGGCTGATTGTACTAAGTAAATATTAGTTCCTTGTCTCTTTTAAGTATTGATGTAAATTTCATTTCCTCCAGGATGTCTTGTCTGCATCCCAAGACCAAGTCGGGTGCCTCTCCCTGAGTTCCTCCATAGCTACGCTCATCACACTGGATTGAGACTGTCCAGTTACTCATCCGTCTTACATACAAGGCCATGAGCTGTGTCCCAATGCATGCATAAAGGTTGTGCATAGGGTAATTCTGAAGAAAATTGGTTGAACAAATTTTCTGCCTCCCTGACTTATCCCAAACAGTGTTGATCCCAGTGGGTCTCAACACTATCTGTGCACCTGACACCCCAACCTCTCCAATATCCAACTGCCTACTCAGCAGCATTGCTTGGCCATCAGCAGACATCTCAAACTTTGTTTTTGGAGACAAGGTCTCACCCTGTCTTCCAGGCTGGAGTACAGTGGTATAATCACAGCTCACTGCAGCCTCAATTTCCCTGGGCTCAGGTGATTCTCCCACTTCTGTCTCCTGAGTAGCTAGGACTACATGTGCATGCCACCACGCCTGGCTAATTTTTGTATTTTTTGTAAAGACAGGGTTTTGCCATATTGCCCAGGCTGGTCTTGAACTTCCGGACTCAAGCAATCCTCCCGCCTCTGCCTCCCAAAGTGTTGGGATCACAGGCATGAGCCACAACACCTGGCCAACATCTCGAACTTTAACTTGGCCAAAGCTGAACTCTTTATTTTCTTCTCCAAACTAGGTCTCCCATTCTCGCTAACCAACACCTCCACTTTACCAGTTTCTCAGACCAAAAATCTTAGAGTTATCTCTTACTCCTCTTTCTCTCATGCCCATCCATCCATCCATCCAATCCACCAGCAAATCCCATCAGCTCCATCAGCAAAACATATCCAGGATTCTACCATTACTACCTGTGACATTACACTGCGGACCAAGCCACTGTCATCTCTCACCCAGAATGCCCCAGCTCCTGACTCCTATTACTGTTTCCACCCTTGGCCTCCAACAGTCTATGACAGTCCAGCAGCCAGAATAATCCGACTACACAACAGCTCTGCTCAAAACACTCCAATAACTCCCAGTCTCACTCAAATTAAAGTTTGAAATTCAACCACAGCCTAACATTTCCTCCGTGATGAGTTCTGAGCTCTCTCTCTGATCTTAGCTCCTATCACTTTCCCATTCTTGTGGTTTTCTTGCTGCCATTCAAACCCCCTAGGGCCACCCATGTTTGAAGCCTTTGCACAGACTGTTCCTTCGGTCTGTAACCCTATTCCTCAAATATCTGCTTTGCTTCCTTCACTTCCCTTTTGTCTCTGTCTAAATGTTACAAGGACACCCTCTCTTACTGCCCTATCTAAAATAGCCCTCTAACCCCTCACTGCCTGCTCTGCTGTACTTTGGTTTCATAGCATTTATCACCATCTGCCTTGACATTTATTCTTATTTTTTATTGTATTTATTTATTTATTTAGAGACAGAGTCTCACTCTGTTGCCAGGCTGGAGTGCAGTGGCGCGATCTCAGCTCACTGCAACCTCCGCCTCCCGGGTTCAAGTGATTCCCCTACCTCAGCCTCCCGAGTAGCTGGGACTACAGGTGAGTGCGCGCATCACCATACATGGCTAATTTTTTTTTTTTTTTTTTTTTGTATTTTTAGTAGAGATGGGGTTTCGCCATGTTGGCCAGGATGGTCTCGATCTCCTGACCTCGTGATCTGTCTGCCTCGGCCTCCCAAAGTGCTGAGATTACAGGCGTGAGCCACCGCGCCCGGCCTGACATCTATTCTTTATAGTCTGTTTCTGCACACACTACATGCTAAAAGGTAAGCTCTATGAGAATAAGAACATTGTCTATTTGGTCTGCTGCCATGTTCCAAGTGCTGAACGTAATTGGCTGGCACCAGCTAGGTGTTCAATAAACACTGAATGAAGTAATCTCCTTGGAAGCACGGCATTGGCTGGTCAGTTTACGCTGACGGAATGGAAATTCACGCAGTTGGAAGGAGCACCACTTAGGCATTGCCACCTCCTTAGAAATACCACTTGGGGCTGGGCGGGGTGGAGCTCCCAGCACTTTGGGAGGCCGAGGTGGACGGATCACAAGGTCAAGAGATCCAGACCATTCTGGCCAACATGGTGAAACCCCGTCTCCACTAAAAATACAAATTTAGCTGGGCATGGTGGAGCGTGCCTGTAATCCCAGCTACTCAGGAGGCTGAGGCAGGAGAACCACTTGAACCCAGGAGGCAGAGGTTGCAGTGAGCCGAGATCACGCCACTGCACTCCAGCCTAGGGAACAGAGAGAGACTCTGTCTCAAAAAAAATGAAAGAAAGAAATAGCACATAGGCACTAACTCCCAACCTCACTGAGTCATATTTAGCTTCTCAGGAGGGTGGGGAACATTTCTCAGAAGATAAATAGAATCTTTATGAGAAGGAGAAAGGCTTGGCATTTCATGGCTTTTCCAAAATATTTTCAATAGCAATTTGAAGGCTATTTGCTCCTCTGACATTTATCTTCATTTGGCATGGGAAATGGCTGAACGACATGGAGAGGAGGCATCGCTTATGAATGTTGGGTGGTGGCAAAAGAGGCCTCTTACACGAATCTATCACAAAGAGCTGCCATGGCCTCTTGGCTCTGTGAAATCTGCCCCCACCTGCTTTGATTGATTCAGCCAGGATGCCCCCGATAGCTCAATTCATTTGAAGAATAATTATCCACTGTGTTCTAGATGCTGCTCCCTTGTCCCTGGGGAGTTGATGTCGGGAGGTTAGGCTAGTGACAAGTGACAGAGTATGTCTGATCATTGTTCTCACCCTGGGAGGAGTGGCCAGCTGGGGTCAGGCCACGGGGACATGGGCATGTGAATATCGTTGGCATTGTTTGCCTGTGTTACTGATGATGCTTCTCCCTCTGCTGGACTCTGCAGTGCAGACTGCTCTCCCAGTCTGTACCTCCCAAAGTGACATCTTCAAGGGTTGTGCTCAAGTCAGCACCTGGATCACAAGCCCACCTGGGGGACAGCAGGTCGCTGTCACAGGTCTTGGGACAAAAGTTTTGTTTGTCCCTCCAGACTCACTCCATCCTTTCCCACCTGCTTGATGCCCCAGGAGGAGAGCTTCTGTAGTTTACGTCAATGAGCTCCCTCACCTTCTAGCTTCGGGTTGGGTTCAACTGATGTGAGATGCTCACCAGAGATCAGAGGGCAGGAGAAGAGAGGTCAGAGTATTCATTCTCACTGTTAGGCCATAGACTGGTATGGCTGCACTTCTTCAATGGAAACCACAGGTCCACATCGGGTGCTGGGGCTCACGCTTATAATCCCAGCACTTTGGGAGGTCAAGGCGGGTGGATCACTTGAGCTCAGGAGTTGGAGACCAGCCTGGCCAACATGGCAGAACCCTGTCTCTACTAAAAATACAAAAATTAGCCAGGTGTGGTGGTATGCACCTGTAATTCCCAGCTACTCAGGAGACTGAGGCAGGAGAATTGCTTTAACCCAGGAGGTGGAGGTTGCATTGAGCTGAGATCACACCACTGCACTCCAGCCTGGGCAACAGAGTAAGACTCTGTCAAAAAAAAAAAAAAAGAAAGAAAGAAAAGAAAGAAAAGAAAGAAAGAAAGAAAGAAAGAAAGAAAGAAAGAAAGAAAGAAAGAAAGAAAGAAAGAAAGAAAGAAGGAAAGGGAAAGGGAACCACAAGTCCTCTTGGATGACTCTCCATTGCCTGCAGCATCCTTAGGTTTTGCTAAACCTTCCCTCCCAGTCTCAGGCCTACAGGTAGTTAATAGCTCACCATCGTTGCTAGTCCCAGAAAACATCATCTTCTTGTGTGGGACTCCCTTAACCCCACGCAGGCCCTTGTACATAGTCCCTTCAAGAAACTGTCCTCAATCGTTCCTTGTGGTATGTTGCATGTTTCCTGCCAGAATTCTCAATGATACTGGACTGTACCTTTAACACCCGTGAATGCCATGCACAAGAATGCATGATGATTCAGCCAGAACAAGACCCTCTTCCAACAAATGTCTACTGAAGCCGGGGCCTGTGGCTCATGCCTGTAATCCCAGCACTTTGGGAGGCTGAGGGGGGTGGATCACTTGAGCTCAGGAGTTCGAGACCAGCCTGAGTAAAATGGCAAAACCCCATCTCTACTAAAAATACAAAAATGATCTGGACATGGTGGCATGCACCTGTAGTCCCAGCTACACGGGAGGTTGAGGCACGAGAATCTCTTGAATCTGGGAAGAGGAGGTTGCAGTGAGCCAAGATCATGACACTGCACTCCAGCCTGGGTGACACAGTGAGAGTCTCAAAAAAAAAAAAAAAAAAAAAGAAATAAAGAAAGAAACAAAAATATCCCAGGCAGTGGTGGAAAGCTGCCTGTGGGTGAAGCTGGAAGGTGAAAGCATGGTCTGTTTGAAAATTTGAAAGTCAGTCAAGCTGCATGTGAGGTGGCAAACAGCCATTCCAGACTCTTGGATTCAAGTTAGAGTAACTGTATTCGAACTAGTTTATATTGAAAGAGGAACTTTTGGTTCATGCAAGTGGGAAGTTCAACATAGCACTGTCTTCAGGCACAGCTGGATCTAAGGGTTCAAGTGAAAATGGGCTCTCTCTGTGTGTCTCTGTCTTTTTCTCTCTCCCCTTCTCTCTCTATCTCTCTCCCCTCCACTCCCCTTTCTCTCTCTTCCTCTATCTCTCTACTCTTCCTCTATCTCCTTTCTATCTCCTCTCCTCTCTCCCCCTGCCATCTCTCTGTTCTCTCTCTCTCTCTCTCTCTCTCCCCCTTCCCCCCACCTTTTTGATCCTCCCTTTATGTTTTGGCTTTGACTAATTCTGGACCTATCATCTCCTGCTGTATATAGGTTGTCTTCATTTGGAAGAGGAGATAGCTACCACATCCTCTCAATTGCAAGACCCTAAAGGCAACATACCACCTCCTCTTCCACCTCCTCCTGCAAAAAATAAAAAATTTCAATGAACAGCCGCCATTTTGAGTCATGTGCCCATTCCTGAGCCAACCACCATGACCAGAAGAAAGTGGGGTTATAATTGGCTGTGCTGGAGTCACAAGTGTCCCTGTGGTGATTGGGGCAGGATGTTTTAAGTGGCAGCCCACTGGAGCCACATAATTGATGTGAGAGTGGGGAGAAGTCCCTCAAAGGAACGTTCTGGATCAATAAAAACCACAGATACCCATTAAAGCCAGAGGTGAGCCTGGAGAAATCAGCAGAACTGCTCAGGAGTCCTGCTCCTGTGTCCCGGCTGATACTGCCAGCTGAGCTCTCCTGCATCCCACCAATGCTCACATGGCCCCTCAGAGCTGGCCTCCTGTGTGAGCTGTCATGCTCCTCTGTGTCCACATCTCAGTTGTGCTTTGACTTCATGAACCAAACTCTGCTGGTCCCCAACTTCTCATGCTGCCCTGCCCTTGCCTGTGTTCCCATCTTGCCTCCACCTGCTTGAAACAGCGAGTTGATCTTGGGACCTGGATGAAACCACTGCCTCCTCTCCACTGTGAGGGTGTCACCAAGATCTGGGGTCAGGAGAATCAGGAGGTCAACTCTTCCAAGTACTGCCTATGGGTGGCAGGGCCTCAGACATGGTCCACGTGTGGAGAAAGACACCAAGGCTTAGAAGGACAGCAAGGATAGGACAGGGCCCCCAAGCTGGGCATGGGAAACCAAAACAGAAGCCCAAAGCTTGGGAATAGACCAACTCAAGAGAGGGGATACACAGGTAAGGGAAGAGACAAACTTCAAACAACTAGGACTGGATATGACCGGTCCTAGATTCTGTGGCAGTCTCTTCACTGGGGTTCACATTCTTCTTCCAATGCTTACTTGCTCTGTGGCCTTGGAAGTCACTTAACCTCTCTGAGCCTACTTTCTTATCTGTAAATATCAATTTCATGGGACTGTTGAGAGGATTAAATGAGATGATATATGTCAAGCTCCTATGACAATGACTGGCTCAGAGTAGGAGCTCTACAAATGTTGTGGTGTTGGTTAAGATAAAGCTAGTTGTCGGCAGGGTGCAGTGGCTCACGCCTATAATCCAAGCACTTTGGGAGGCTGAGGAGGGCGAATCTCTTGAGCTCAGGAGTTCAAGACCACCTTGGGAAAACTGGCAAAACTCAGACTCTACAAAAAATACAAAAATTAGCTGGGTGGTGGCACATGCCTGTAGTCCCAGCTACCCAAGAGGCTGAGGTAGTAGGATCACTTGAGCCCAGGAGATAAAGGCTGCAGTGAGCCAAGATTGTGCCACTGCACTCCAGCCTGGGTGACAGTGCCAGACCCTGTCTTAAAAAAAATTAAAATTAAAATAAGATAAAGCTATGTGCTATAACAGATAGACCACAAAATCTCAGCAGCCTAGCATAAGAAAAGTTTGTCTCTCACTCAATGTGGTGGCACTCCTGGTCACATAGGTTTCCATGGAGTCACTCTGGGACTGAGGCTCCTTCAGGTCTCTCCTCCTCTAGAATCCTTCCATGCTATGGGTGATAGAGAGGGCATCTGCCTTGATCCAGAAGTGAGACGCACCACTTCTTCTCACATGCCATTGGCCAGGACTGGTCACATGGTCCCCTTTGGTGCAAGGAAGGCTGGGAAATTGAGGTATTGTCTGGGCAGCCTCTTTTCAGCAACAATTCTCCACTGTAAGAAAGGGGAACATAATTCCTTGGGTGCTCAGCCATCTGCCTCTGTCATAATTATTATTGTTTTCTCTTTCTTTCTCTCCTTCCCCAGAAATATTAGTTCTGCAACTGCATCAGGCATGAGCTTGGGAAACGGGCTTATGTGTATTCTAAGGCCAAGGGCTGGGGAGAGTTAAAAGCCTTAGATGGGAATGACAAGGAGATGACAGCTGGCCCCAACAGTCTCTTCCCCTGCCACAGAGACATGCTGATGAGGAACAGAAAGGAGAAGACCCCAACTGACAAGCCCAGCACGTTCCCACCAGGAAGCAAACACCAGATGCTACATTTCCCCATCAGTTTCATGGCAACTCCTCCTGAGCTGTAAAACAATTAGATTAAACAATTCCCAGGTATTGTTAATAGCGTGCTTAAAAATGAAGTCGATTTGACAGTCACTTTCCTCTGATGGAAAATATGGGGGAGACGATTATATCTGTTCATAACTCATTTAAACCCTCTTAATGTTTCTTGATGTGGGGCTCGTGCCTCCTGCTGAGGTGGGCTGATCTTCCCTCCCATGTAAGCAGCCTCCTTCAGAGTCTGGGAACCAAGCCAATGAGAGCTGAATTCCCAGCTGTGCTGTGTAGCAGCAGAGGTGGGTCACTTCATCTCTTTGAAGACCTATTTCACCTGGGAAAGGATATCTACTTCTCAACACTGTTGGAAGGAACCAGATAGATGTAGCCCAGTGCCTTCCGCTAGTGAATAGTATCTATTATTATTTGGCATCACTGGGCCACTGAGTCATAGGTTTACATTCTGAGGCCATCTCACTGCTCTGAGTAGGACAGCCCTGTGGTGAAGAACACCGGATCTAGCATCAGACTGACCTGGGTTATAGCTCAGCTCTGACAATAAACAGCTGTGCAACCTTAAGCAAGTAACTCAAGCCCCTTGAGCCTCAGTTTCCTTGTCAGAGTTATGAAATAATAATAGGACCTGGGTCATGCGATCATTGTGAGAATAATGCATACAGAGCACTTAGCACCGTGCCAATAAACTCTAAACAAATGCCAGCCCTCGTTGTTGGTGTTGCTTTTCAAAGGAGTTATGAGGTTTTATCCCCCATCCACAGTCTCCCCTCCTACCACATAACTGTAATTCTGATTCTTGATTCTTCACTGAAGCTGCTGATTGGCAGGTTTGGGAGGTGGAGTTTGGAGGAAATCTTTATTTAAACCAGTGATGTCCATCCAGGTTGCATCTTAGAATTACCTAGGGAGCTTTTTTTTTTTTTTTTTTTGAGATGGAGTCTCACTCTGTTGTCCAGGCTGGAGTGCAGTGGTGCGATCTCGGCTCACTGCAAGCTCTGCCTCCCGGGTTCACACCATTCTCCTCCCTCAGCCTCCTGAGTAGCTGGGACTATAGGGGCCTGCCACCACGCCCAGCTAATTTTTTTTTTTTTTTTTTTTTTTTGTATTTTTAGTAGAGACAGGGTTTCACCATGTTAGCCAGGATGGCCTTGATCTCCTGACCTCATGATCTGCCCGCCTCAGGCTCCCAAAGTGCTGGGATTACAGGCATAAGCCACCACACCCAGCCTACCTAGGGAGCTTTTTAAAAATCCTTGTATTCAGGATGCAGCCCAGACCAACAAAATCAGAATCTCCAGAAGCGGAACCCATGGGTGTTGAAGCCCCCAAGTGTCCCAGTGTGCAGAGTGGAAAACTGCTTAATAAGCATTATTTCATGCTAATTTGCATATACAACTCATCAACTGCTCCAACAATTGTTGGAGATAGACATGAACTTCCCCTTTCTGCCCCCATTTAATGTAGGAGGAAACTGAGGCATGGAGTGGTGAAGGCACATAAATGGTGTGATTAAAATCACCTTTGCAAAGTTATAACAGTAAGAGGAATAAGACATGGCTGATTCCATTTTGCTTCTAACACCCAAGCTGTCCTTGTTTATTTCTAGGCCTAGGCCAAGCTAACTTTAGGAATAATTTAGTTTATAGTTTAACTTTACAGCAAGGATGAAAACAGCCCTTCCCCAAACCACCACTGCTTGTTCAGGGACCAAACCATCTTCGTAAAACTAATGAAAAGCCACAAGGTTAGGACCACGGGAGGGTTCTGAACTCTGCTAAACTGTAGACATAGTTAAGTGATAACCAGCCATTGCTCCAGAGGTCACAAGATTCATGACTTCCCCAATTGCTCCTATAGATAACATTGCTATTGTAAAACCTAAAATTGGTGTTTGAGGTACATTTCAGACCCTGCACTCTGATGGACCAGCTGGTGCTAAACATTACCATCTAGACTGGTAAACTGACTCAACTAGTTTTGCAATCCCACCCAGGAATGAAAGACAGCTAGAAGATAGCTTCAACCCCTTGTGATTTTATCCCTGACCCAACCAATCAGCATTCCCCGTTCCCTAGCCCCACTGCCTGCCAAATTATCCTTTAAAAACCCTGGTCTCTGAATTTTCGGGGAGACAGATTTAAGTAATGACTCCCATCCTCCTGTTCGGCTGCCTTGTGATAATTAAACTCTTTCTCTACTACAATAATGCTGTCTCAGTGAATTGGGTTAATCTGTGCAGTGGGCAAGAAGAACTTGTCAGGCAATTACATGATCGTCGTCCCTATTCCAATAATGAGGAAACTAAAGCCTGCCAGAACTGTCCCCACACACCATGGAGAGGGAGCTGCATCATGGTATTTGTGGGTGAGTCACAGGGTAGCTGTCTTCCAGGGGCCAGGAGCTTCCCATGGATGGCAGTGGCTTCAGTGGAGGAACTACAAAAAGCTCCAGGGAATTCTGATGCACAGCCTGGGAGGAAAACACAGACAAAGGGGCTGGAGACCCACCTTTGCATGGGAAAACCTCAGCCAGGTCCTTCCTGCCTCTGTGCTTTGGGTTTGAAATCTAGCATGTGAAAGGGCAAATGCAAAGTGTGGCTCCAGCTTGGATTTTGGAACAGAAAAAAAGAACATTCATGGGAAAATTGGTGAAATCTAAATAAAGTCTGCAGTTTTGTTGATACTGTTGTATTGTAGGGACCAGCACTCTTAGCCCCCTGAAGGTTCACTGAAAATCACTGACATGAGGCAGATTGATTAACAGAAAAAAAGGTATACACATTTATTTGATGTTGTATTAGTCAGGGTTCTCTAGACAAACAGGACTAATAGGATAGATGAATATATAAAGGGGAGTTTATTAGGAGAATTGACTCACACAGTCACAAGGTGAAGTCCCACAATAGGCTGTCTGCAAGCTGAGGAGCAAGGAAGCCAGTCCCAGTCCCAAAACCTCAAAAGTAGGGAAGCCCACAGTGCAGCCTCCAGTCTGTGGCTAAAGGCCCAACAGCCTCCAGCAAACCACTGGTGTAGGCCCAAGAGCCCAAAAGCTGAAGATCCTGGAGTCTGATGTTCAAGGGCAGGAAGCATTCAGCACGGGAGAAAGATGGAGGCCAGAAGACTCAGCAAGTCAAGTCCTTCCATGTTACTCTGCCTGCTTTTATCCTAGCTGCCCTGGTAGCTGATTAGATGGTGCCCACCGAGATGGAGGGTAGGTCTGTCTCGCCCAACCCACTGACTCAAATGTTAATCTCCTTTGGCAACACTCTCATAGATACACTCAGGAACAACACTTTGCATCCCTCAATCCAATCAAGTTGACACTCAATATTAACCATCACATTTGGTATACACATGAGCCCTCAGAGTGAAGACCCAAACCCCTGGTCCTGGTGAGATTGTTAACAGTGAAAAGGAGGCCTGCCATGGCTAACTCCATGCTACTCATAACCTCCCCATTTTCCCTACAGGGATATCTTTTAGATTAACTGCTTGTGCTTATCTCTGCCCATAGGCCAAGCTAACTATGGGGGGGAATTTAGTTTATAGTTCAACTTTAAAGCAAGGATGATACTATTCCCTTCCCAAAACTGACCCCCAAGGAGATAAGGAGGGTGTACATACAAGCGTCAATGTTACGTTAAAGATGTATAGGAGCATTGTGACCTAACCTAGGACAAAGAAGTTTCACAACCCCTTGGATCCTTGCTGCCACCCTGGTGTCTGTGATCATCGGTCACCTCTTAACCTCAACCCCTCCCTCTTCCCCCTTCCCCTAACATGAAAAGAGCCTGAGATTGGTATTAACTTAAGGTGGTTCTTTAGGGCCCTGGTCCACCATCTTCTTGGTTTGCTGGCTCTCTGAAATAAAGTCCCCTTCCTTGCCACAATGCCATGTCTCTTGACTTACTGGCTGTTATGCCGTGAGCAGGATGAGATCTGGGCTTGGTTACAGGATGAAGAAGCTTTATATTATCCTAAAGTTACAGAAAGAAAGTGGGCTTGTCAGAAGTGTGTGAACCAGAGCAACTCCATCTGCTATAGGAGCTGGGTAAAATTAGGCTGAAACCTACTGGGTTGCATTTCCAAACGATTAAGGCATTCTAAGTCATAGGATGAGAGAGGAGGACATCACAAAATATAGGTCATGAAGACCTTGCTGATGAAAAACAGGTGCAGTAAAGAAGCTGGCCAAAACCCACCAAAACCAAGATGGCGATGAGAGTGACCTCTGGTCGTCCTCACTGCTGCACTCCCACCGGCGCCATGACAGTTTACAAATGCCATGGCAACGTGTCAGGAAGTTACCCTATATGGTCTAAACAGGGGAGGCATGAATAATCCACCCCTTGTTTAGCATATCATCAAGAAATAACAACAAAAATGGGCACTCAGCAGCCTTCGGGGCTGCTCTGTCTATGGAGTAGCCATTCTTTTATTCCTTTACTTTCTTAATAAACTTGCTTTCATTTTACTCTACGAACTCGCCCTGAATTCTTTCTTGCACGAGATACAAGAACCCTCTCTTGGGGTCCCGATCGGAATCCCTTTCCTGTAACAGGCTCAGAGCATGGCCGAAAACAGGCTATGGTGGTAAATCAGGTTTCAGGGGCAAGGCAGATTATGGAAGGAGAAGTGGAGGAGGCTTGGCTAGCAAAGGTGGCCTTGTTATGTAGATCAAACCACACAGGTAGCAGCCCCCACAGAGAATAAATGGTAAATGGTTTTTTTTGTTTGTTTGTTTTTAAGATGGAGTCTCGCTGTGTCGCCAGGCTGGAGTGCAGTGGCGTGATCTGGGCTCACTGAAGCCTCTGTCTCCCGGGTTCAAGTGATTCTCCTGCCTCAGCCTCCCGAGTAGCTGGGAATACATGCACGCACCACCATTCCTGGCTGGTTTTTTCTTTTTTTTAATTTTAGTAGAGACGGGGTTTCACCATGTTGGCCAGGATGGTCTTGATCTCCTGACCTCGTGATCTGCCCTCCACCTTGGCCTCCCAAAGTGCTGGGATTACAGGCGTGAGACACCGTGCCCGGCCAAATGCTTCTTTCAGATCTTTAAGGTGTCAGATTCAGTTGCTCCCTCCTAGATCCAAACCAGGAAAGGCCTGGCTGCATGAATGGGGACCCTGTACAGATGCAAATTTCCACCACAAAAGACAGCTTTGCAGGGTCATTTCAGTCTGCTGACCCTGCATTAATAGCCCTCAGCTGCTATACTAAGACCTTCCTTTCGTAATATCTCTGAACACTCAGAATTCCTTCCAAAACGGTGAGAAAATAAGTTTCTGTTGATAAAGCCACCCAGTCTATGATACTCTGTTCTAGTGGCCTGAGCTGACTAAGACACGCTTCTACCTGTAGGGGGGTGGGGGGCTTCTGGAGGAGGAGGAAGAGGAAGATAAAGCTGGAAAAGAGGGAAAAAGCAGCAAGGGAAAAGGAGAAGAGAGCAACGGAAGAGAAAGAAGAGGAGGAGAAAACACAAGAAGAAAAGAAAGAGGGGAGACCAGAGCTTCAGCCCCACACAGGACTGGCTCCGAAAGTTGTTAAAACATTGAAAACCTCCTATAATAGTTGGTCAAACAGTTGTCTCAAATGCCCCCACCTCCCTGGCCAGCCTGTCCTCACTCCAGGCCCCCCAGTTCTTCCCTCAAGAGAGCTCCAGGCCAGGCGCGGTGGCTCACGCCTGTAACCCCAGCACTTTGGGAGGCCAAGGCCAGCAGATCACCTGAGGTCAGGAGTTCGAGACCAGCCTGACCAACTTGGAGAAACCTCATCTCTATTAAAACTACAAAATTAGCCAGGCGTGGTGGCACATGCCTGTAATCCCAGCTAACTCGAGAGGCTGAGGGAGGAGAATCGATTGAATCCGGGAGGCAGAGGTTGCGCTGAGCTGAGATCATGCCACTGCACACTCCAGCCTGGGAAACGAGCAAAACACCTTCTGAAAAAAAAAAAGAGAGAGAGAGTTTAAGACCCTACCCAACCTCATAGTTGCCTTTCTCCTGTTATGGGCGTATACTGTGCCAGTTATAAATATTGAGACTGTTACACCTGGCCTGACTCATCACCCAGAACTCCTTAGGTTGCAACCTTAGGTTGTCTGACTTTCTTGGTCCTCTGGTTTCTCATCTCTAAAATCCTGGAGTTCTGAGTGTTCAGAGATTTTACAAAAGTAAAGGTCTTAATATAGTGGCTGAGGGCTATTAATGCTGCTGGTGGTGGCTGAGTGCAGTTGTAGCTACCAGGGAATAAATAGTTAATCTGTGCCTCCTGGCTGCTGTGCTGATTAACACTGGCATTTGTTATAACCAGGTATAACCAGGAGGAGCTGGGTAAGGGAGCAGCCCCTAGGGCGGAGGAGCTGGATCCCCAATGGCAACATGAATGGACCCGTCCCATCCAGAGCACCATAGAGTCTAGGGGTCTCAGCCTCCAGCAGGGCTCTTCACGTCGGGGGTTGGGGTCTGGTGATCAGAGGGGAACTAGCTCTGAGTCACAGAGCAGGATGTGGTCCACCAGGAACATGGGTCGTGGGAGGTTGAGGTCAAAGCTGGAATGAGGAACACTGGCCAAAAAAACTGAGTCAGTGTCCAGTGATGGGGAAATATAAACACAGCAATGTTTAGCGGAATGTTTAGGGCCAGGGTTCCCCAGACCCTCTAGATTCAAAGTCCAGAGCTACATGTTGTGTGCCTCCCTCCCTCCCTCATGCTATTAGCCATTTACCAAGCATGTTCTAAGTGCCGGGTGCCATGTGGCTGTTCTGCCTTCATGGACATCTCAGCCGGTTCTTACAGAAGATCTGGATCTGTAAAATGAGCTTTGACTCATTTTACAGGTGCAGAAAGTTAGGTAGACGGGATAAAGAGTAACTTCTTTGAGACCAAGTAGAGGAACCGAGATGGAAACCCAAGTCTGTCTGACTCCCAAGCCCAAGCTGCTCACTTAAAAATCCTAAAATCTTCCCTGCCTAGGGCTAACCTGGTTCAGCGTGTGGGCAGGCCTGCCAGGAAGCTGGAAGATCTTCAGTTTGGGCAGCTGGAAAGGGCCGGGCAAGGTGGGGCTGATGGCCCCGGTGTCTATCCTGGCACCTGGAGGTGGACTGCCCACTTCTCCACACTCTGGATACCAGGTGGTGGGGGCGGAGGAGAAGGGCAGGTGAGAAATGGCAGGGGGCCACATGTGGGGTTCTGGCCCCTGGAGACAGGTGGGGTGACAAACGTCATGACAGTGTGACAATGTCAACAGTCATTTTGTCTGCCACCCTGAGTTCCAGGCTGTACCATGACTAACAGGGCTACAGGTGGCATGACAAGTCAGAAAATTGTTAAAGATTGAAAATCACCGTGGCTGGAGTGGCAGTGTTCTGAAATCATTACTTCTCCATTGTGGGAGTAAAGAGAAAGCTTGTGCCCAGGTCCTGCGCCCAGGACCACCAAAGACATCAGCCCCTTCCCTCCCTCCCCCGCCTCCTCATCCACCCTATTGCCTCCAAAACCATGAAGAGGCCTGAGCCCCTGCCATTCTTTGAGGCTCCTGACATATTAAAAAATAAAAGGGTGCCCAAACAATTTCACAAGAGTTGTGGCACATCTCGAATGAACATATTAACATTGTAACCCCCTCAGGGGAAAAAAGGCAAAGCAATATAATTATACTTTTCATAAGATAATTATGAGGGTGCTAAAGTATTACCAATTGTGTGTTCCCTATGGGCAGTGAGGTCCAGGGATGGGACATAAATTTAAGGCTTTAGAAAAAATAACTCTTTCAAACCTGTGAGTGGATCTCTGAACATAATGATGTGCAAATCTTGTTTGGACATGAGGTCAGACATCTAAATTGTATTTCTTTAACATAATATGTGTGTCTATTCACACATCTACATCAGCATTTATTATGTGCCAGAACTATGTGGCACATGATAGAGGTATTTAAATTGTAATGTGTTAGGCAGGGTACAATGGCTCATGCCTGTAATCTTAGCACTTTGGGAGGCTGAGGCAGGAGGACCACTTGAGCCTCAGAGTTCAAGACCAGCCTGCACAATATAGAGAGACCCTGTTTCTACAAAAAAAAAAAAAAAATTAAAATTGGTAAGGTATAATGCTGTGTGCCTGTAGTCTCAGCTACTCAGGAGGCCGAGGTGGGAGGATCATTTGAGCCTCAGAGTTGGAGGCTGCAGTGAGCCATGATCACACCACTGCACTAGAGTGAGACCGTGTCTCTGAAATAAATGAATAAGTAATTAAAACTTTTTAAAAATCCACTAGATGACATGTGGAGAAAAAAAACAGTGACACATTTACATCTTATACCCAACTCAAGGGTAGGTATTGTCTTCATCCCCATTTTCCAGATAAGAAAACCAAGACAGAAAAGGGCTGAATAACCCTGCTGGAGCCGCTGAGTGGTGGAGCTGGATGTGAACGCAGGGCATCTGGCTGTAGGTGTGTGTTCTTATCCCTTATGCTCAGTGCACCTTTCGGTCCTTTGGGAAGGTGAGGTCTAAGCCACATGGGCCTCCTGCTCTCCCATATCCATTACAAATAGAAATAGGCCCTACAGGTGAAGAATATGCCTCCAAAAAATGCTTGCTTCATTTTGGCATCTCTATCAGCAGCACATCCTGAATTCATCTTTATCCCGCCCTCCTTTTCCTCACCCTGGTGAGAGAATATTCCAAGCTGTTCCCAGGGAAGGCAGTTTTCCAATCACCCCAATCCCTTAACAGCTCCTGGCTGTTTGTTGTGCTTTAAATGCACCTGCCAGGCTGAGCTAGGACTCTACAAATTCCTGTTCATTCACCAGATGGGCCCTGTGGATGAGAACTAATTTGGCTTGTCACAGCCCCCAACTTGGGGACCCACCAAGAGGACCTCCACCCACCTCACTGCCTTCCTTCAGGGACCCAGGTCAACATCCTCCACAGAAAGCTCTGTCACCCTTAGTCATGCCTATTCTGTCATTCTGTTGTTTTCTTTGTAACACTTACTGAAATCTAAAATGTCCATATGTGGCCAGGTACAGTGGCTCACGGCTATAATCCCAGCACTTTGGGAGGCTGAGGCAGGCGGATCACTTGAGCTCAGGAGTTCGAGACCAGCTTGGCCAACATGGTGAAACCCCATCTCTACTAAAAATACAGAACTTAGCTGGGCATGGTGGTACATGCCTGTATTCCCAGCTACTTGGGAGCCTGAGGCACGAGAATCGCTTGAACCCGGGAGGTGGAAGTTGCAGTGAGCCGAGATTGTGCCACTGCACTCCAGCCTGGGCAACAGAGTGAGACTCTGTTTAAATAAATAAATAAATAAATAAATAAATAAATAAATAAATAAATAAAATGTTTATGTGTATTTACTTACCTCCTTAGATATCTATTGTCAGTCTCTCTCCATTAGAATGTAAGCTCAAAAAAAAATTAAAATAAAAAAAGCTGTACTGCAGCCTCTTGTAGGTACTCAATAAATATTTGTTGAATGAATGAATGCTGAGGTCTCAGTGTCAGTTACATTTCTGGGGAAAACAAGAGGTAGTCATTCTCTGGGTCCACACTCTCCAAAAATGCCACCTCTCCAACAAGTTTTAAGTGACTATGTTAATACAACTGTTTCTAAGACTATGGTGAAAAAACCTTAGGGCAATCACTATGGAAACAAGAATGAGTCTGTTCAACACTGAATTAGAACTTCAGTGGTCAGACCATGAGAAAGGAGGCCAATAAAATCAACCTGTGGGTTTTTGTTTGTTTTTTAGAGACAGGGTCTCACTCTGTTGCCCAGGCTGGAGTGCAGTGGTGCGATCATAGCTCACTGCAGCCTCAAACTCCTGGGATTAAGCCATTCTCCTGCCTGAGCCTCTGAGTGGCTAGGTCTACAGGCACATGCCACGATGCCCGGCTAATTTTTAAACTTTTTGTAGAGACAGAGTCTCGCTATGTTGCCCAGGCTGGTCTCAAACTCCTGGCCTTAAGTCATCCTCCTGCCCTGACCTCCCAAAGTGCTGGGATTGTAGGCATGAGCCACAGCACCTGGCCAGAATAAGCTTCTTGACTTGCTCACTTCCCATCAAATAATAGCCCAGGCCCGGGTCTCCTGGCCTTCAATACATCCTTACCCCTCATGCACGCCCGTGCTAGATTCTGCCCACATGCCCGGCTGTCAGAAATGACCAAGTAGCCAAGGGAAGGGTGAGCTCTGTTTATGCTGGGCTGGACAGATGTGGGGAGGAAAGCTCCAATCCTCTGAGTGGCTACTATATGCCAGGCTCTGGCTTAGAAGTCTGTGCCTTCAGCATTTTGAATTTTCGTCCCCGTAACCATTGTAATCTCCACTGTACAGATGAGAAAACCAAGCTCAGAGAAGGCTCAGAATTCACCCAACTCACACAGCGAGACGGGGGGGACCCTGGCCCTCCCGGTGCCCAGGGCTGCCTCACACTGCAACTGCCGAGGGAGAAGGGGCGGATCTCCCTTTTTGTTACATGACCGTATTCATTTTGAATCACTGCTATCACAAATTACCACAAATGTGGTGGCCTAAAACAACACAATTGGATTATTTTATAGTTCTCAGGGTCAGAAATTCTAAAGTCACCTGTGCTCTAAAGAAATTCTGAAAGCACCTGTTTTCCTAGAGGAGGTTCTAGGAGAGAATCTGTTTCCTTGTCTTTCCAGCATCCACAGGCTGCCTGCCTGAGCTCATGGCCTCTTCCTTCATCTTCAGGAGCTGCTCTGCAACATCTTCAGCCTCTCTTTCTCTCTCTCTCTCTCTGTCTCTCTGTCTCTTTCTCTCCCTCTCTCCCTCCACTTCTGTCCTCAAATCTCCAACTCTGACTCTCCTTTCTCCCTCTTATAAAGACCTCTGTGATTACACAGGTCCATCAAATAATCCAGGATAATCTCCTCATCTCAAGAGCCTTAATGTAATCACACCTGCAAAGTCTCTTTAGCCTCATAAGATAACACATTCACAGGTTCCAGGGACTGGGAGATGCACATCCCTGGAAGATCATTATTCTTTCTACCACGATTTTGCACATCCATCATCCCAATTCCGATCACAGACGGGGAGGTAAAACATAGGGGTAAATATTGGTCCTAGTCTATTAAAAAAAGGATCCACGCCTAAGAGTGGATCAGATAAGGCACAGACATTGGGGCTGGAGAGGGAGCCTTAAATGACATAATGAGCAACATACGAGGCACTGTTCTAAGCTCTCTCTGTTAGCTCAGTGCACTGTGAAAACAACTCTTTGAGGTAGGTGCTATCGTTATCCCATTTTACAGATGCGCCAACCAAGGCACAAAGCAACTAAGGAACTTGCCTAAGAACCAAGGAGCAGCTGGAGAGTGGTAGAGCTGGGATTTGAATCAAGGCTCAGAGTCTGACTATGCCTCGGAGTTGGGACCTCCCACAAATATCAACCCACACCTGCAGACAGTATTTATTTTCACAAAGCACTTTTTGTGATACTGCAGCTTGCATTTATCGACGGCTTATCATGTGCTGGCTGTAGGGCTGTGCTAAGTTCTTTTCATGCATTGTGTCACCTAATCCTCCCCTACAATCCTGGATACTAGGATCCACCCCTCCTTGTGCTAATGAGATAATAGAGGATAAGAGGGTGAAATAAGCCATAAAGGCTCAGACTCTAAAACCCAGGCTGTTACCACCACAGCTCCCCTGACAAGCAGTGGGTTGCCAAGCATCAGGACAGGCCCCAGGCTGGTAGGACTGTAGACCCCCACCCCACCCCTAGAGGCTGCTTTGCCCTTCAGCAGTCATCGAGGGGGCAGGGGAGGCAGCTTCAATAATGTATGACACCGGAGAGATAAAGCCTGTCCATAAACGCTGCTGGCAGAGCTCATCAATGGTGCATGGGGGTTTTATGTTTCCCAGCTCTGATGAAGGCAGTTGCCTGCCTTGCCTCGGGCCAGCATAAAGATATGACCTGCAAAGGTTGCGTTTATCTCCAGGGAGGTCCTCCCCCGACCTCAGTGGATGGGCCTGGGAGTGCCACAGTGGCATGTAAGCAGTTTCTCCACAGGCACTCCCTACCCACGCTCAGCTAAGCCAGCACAGCCTCATGTCAGTTTCCCATCCTGGGCCCTACACCCCCTAGTGATTTAAAACTCCAAATAGAGGCTCCAGCCTCTGGGATGGAGTCCCATGGCCCTTGGTTTGGAGGTCCCTGGAGGACTAGGATTAGGGCCCCCTGCTTTTCAGAACAACGGTTCTAACCCAGACCTTTCTTTATTCGTTCATTCGCCACAAATGCATCGAGCCCCTACTGGTGCCATACATTGCTCTAGGTACCAACGATGAATGGTAACCGGGACTGGGAGCTTCCCTTAGAGAACAGGCCAGAGATGACATGCACAGCACCAGAATCTTGGTGCCAATTTTCAGATGAAGAAATTTAGGAGCAGAGACAGGGCATCCCCGACCAAGGTCACATAGTTGATGAATCACAGAGCTCGTCTCAAAACCAAGGTCCTTGCTCTCTCAGCCCGGGCATCTTTTCTTTTAAAGGTGACTGATTTGAAACTTCTCCAGTGGTTGAGAGCCAAGTTTGGACATCACAAAATGCCTTAAAAATAGATCTCAGGAGGGAATTATATGAGAAGGGAAAATACGAACTCAGTACGGGTCCTGGAGCATGCTAAGTTCTCAAAAAGCTGTTTATGGAAGGAAAAGTAAGAGGAAGGGAAGGAGGGAGGGAGGGAGGAGGCTTAATTTCAGATGTGATCATGTTTCCCCACTGAAAGAGACAGTGAGGCTGACAGTTTTATTGTTCAATTGTTTCGTATGGATTTTGAATAAAAAATAAATTGGCTTCTTTTAAAGAGGACAATCCTGAAAGCTTCGAGGACGGTGGTGAATCATGTGTGACTGCTCTTGGCTTTCTTCCTGCAATGGGAACTCTGTTTGCAGCCAGAGAGGACTTAGAGCATTTCCAGGGAAGGCGGAGGGGATGAACTTCCTGATACCAGATCTTCAGGCCTGGCCCTGGAGTCCCGGGGTAGGAAAGCTATGCTAGGGGAACTTCTTTACTCTCTCTAGGCTGCTCCTTTGCAAATAACTGCCCTGAACTGAGGATGCCTATTGAGTTGACATCCCCTCTGTCTGATCCTTTCTGAGACCTACTGCCCACTGGGATCCTGGGCCAGTTGCTTCCTCTCATCTATAAAATGGGTATCATAAAACCTCCCTCCCAGGACTGCTGTGAAAATTAAATGAGATGTTTGCATGAAGTGTGCCTGCCTCAAACTATGTGCTCAACATCATAGACACATGATGTAGCAAACACGAATTCAATGGTTCTCAGGGGAAAGCAGTCATCTTTACCAAGAATAAGAAGGAATAAATAAAGCGGGGGGGACTCCGGGAGTACTGAAGGAAACTAGCTCACCCTGAAAGCGATGGAAGCTATGGAATTCCCTTCTCAGGAAAATCCTTCTCATAAAGAGCCATTTATAATGTTTTTTGGGGGAAGGAGGTCAAAAGTAAGCCCCAGAAGTGGGCCAGAAGTGGCGGTTCATGCCTGTAATCCCAGCACTTTGGGAGGCCAGGGCGGGAGGATCACTTGAGGCTAAAGTTCAATACCAAACTGGACAACATAGCAAGATTCTATCTCTACAAAAAATTCAGAAAACTAGCCTGGTGCAGTGGCACATGCCTGTAATCCCAGCTACTCAGGAGGCTGAGGAAGGATTGCTTGAGCTCAGGAGTTTGAGGCTGCTGTGAGTTATGATTGTGCCACTGCACTCCAGCCTGGGTGACAGAGCAAGGGCCCCATCTCTTAAAAAAAGAGAAGTAAGGCCGAGCACGGTGGCTCACGCCTGTAATCCCAGCACTTTGGGAGCAAGGCTGGTGGATCACTTGAGGTTAGGAGTTCGAGACCAGCCTGGCTAACATGGTGAAACTTGCCTCTACTAAAATTACAAAAATTAGGCAAGCGTGGTGGCGTATGCGTGTAATCCCAGCTACTGGGGAGGCTGAGGCAGGAGAATCGCTTGAACCTGGGAGACGAAGGTTTCAGTGAGCCGAGATCACGCTACTGCACTCCAGCCTGGGCAACAGAGAAAGACTCCATTTCAGAAAAAAAAAAAAAGGTAAGCCCCAAGGGACACCAGGAGCTAGAATAGGAAACACAGCACTCTGGATTCTTTCAGTTGAACTTAAACCAACTTAAAAATTGTTCAGTAGATTAGGCGTAATTGATTGGCACGTGTAACTTTCAAGTCTGGCTTCAAGCACAACTGTATCCAGATACCAAAGGATGGCGTCAAAGACCTGTATCTCTGTGTTGCAGTCACACTCAGGCAACTTCTCCTCTCTCAACGTGGTCTACAGCATCTCCAAGCTTTTTTTCTACCTGTCCAGCAACCGCAATGGGAAGAGAACCTCTTTTCCCAAAGGTCCAATACAAATCCCAGCACTGGCTTTCATTGGCCTGACTCGGGTCACATGCCCATCCCTGAACCAATCACTTCAGCTAAGATGGGTGCTTTGTGCTGACTGGTCAAGCACAGGTCACTCCCCATCTCTTGAGACTGGGAGGCAGGATTAGCCCCACCTGGGCCAAGAGGATTTAGTGATAAAGCAAATTTCTCAAAGGAAAATCAGGGCACTGTTTCAGAAGGTGGAGAAATGGCTGCTGGCAGGCAGCGATGGCAGAGAGGGACTGCACCTCAAAAAAGCTCTCAGCCCCAGACCACAGTGCACAGGATCTCCTTGCCTCCTTGACTCAGCTTGCTGCTACCAGCTTTCAATTCATTCTCCAGCTCCAGGTCCTGACGTGGAGCATGCCAGCCTCTCCTCTATTTCCCATCCACCTGTGGAGGAGATACTGATCATCCTCCCTTTCTGTGCCTTGGAGACAAGCCCCCCCTCACCCACCAATTAATTCAATTGTGTCACCTGTCCCTGTCGATCTCAGGTGCTCTGGCTTCATCCCTGCCCAGCTCTGGGATTGCCCTTCTTGCCTTTGTCCTCCACTTCTGACACATCCGTGTTCCTTGGACTTGATGATGTTTGACCTCAGCATTCCCTCCACCTCTGGCACTTACTGACCACTTTAGGAGGTCATTCCCCCAAACATGCACTGAAATGCCACCTTTGCCAAACACAACACTCTCCTCACCCAGCCCCCAAGGAAGACTGGCCCCTGATGACCAGGGTTGGCTCGGGGTGTTTGGAGGCCCCGGGAAACAGCCTTACTCAGAGCAGCAGCTCTGCTCCAAGTCATTGCTTTTCTCTTCTTCCATTTGTCACTGGAAACATCTTCACTCAACTTATTTTAAAAATTTCTGATAAGCTGATGTATTAGTTAGGGTAACACTAGGTGAGGCAACAAATAAATCCCAAAACTTTAGTGGCTTACTATAATAGAAGTTTTGTTTTTCCTCCTATATGTAACAGTCTGATGTGAGTGACCCTGGACATTGGTGACACTGCATTCCAGATGTCAGTAACCTAGGCTCCTTCCACCATCCCCAGGGACCTCAGACTCCTCCACATCGCATAGGACATGCAGAAAGATGAAACAGACAGCCTTCCTCTTAAAGGTCCTAACCCCAAAGTGACCAGTATCAGGTCCAATGGTGAATTTGTTGCCGAACGCCAGATGTTCTGGCTAGGTCTATTTGTTTGCCACACGGAAAGTCAATCACTGAGACAACAAATATTGCCAGGGAAAAAAGGCTTTAATGTGGGTGACACCAGCCAGGAGATAGGAGACCAGTTTCAAATCCACCTCTCCAACTAACTAAAGTTAGGGATTGATATAGGAGCTGGTCAGCAGGCAGCAGGTCAGATGAGGGGTCTGGCATATCATAGTGCCCACATGTAGGAAAACAGAAATTAGGGAGGGGTAAGAAAGATGAGTTGGTCAAGAGGCTGCAGGTGCTTCTCCTTGTCTGGATGCTGTGATAGGGGAAGTTTCCGTTCCTTGATACTGTCTAGGAGGCCTAATGGTCACTTTCCTGAGAAAGGAACTCAGATAAAACAAATCTAAGTTTTCAGGCTTCAGTTCTATGAGGAAATTGAGCTTGTTTCATATCTAGTTGTATGACCATACCTGGAGCAAGGGAGCCTGCGGAATGAAACAGTCACTTGCTATCATACCACATGATGCGGAAGAAGCGCATGTTTTCAAAAAGTAGCCGGCTATCTCTGCTGTAATATCACCATTTTATTATTAGTCGTTCACCACAGGTAAATTGCTTTTTAAATTGATTTGTGTTGTGCGGACTCTCCGTGTGTTAACACCCACTGTTCAGTTTCCCAGTTATGATCATGGTGTGAACCAACAACGAGTAGCCTGCAGCAAATCAGAGCATTGCCAGGCTCCAACGGGATGAATCCCCTTGGGTTTTGAGTGGTTGGACCCTGAGGCATCCCCACAGACAAAGAGTTTTTGCAATGAAGCCAGGTCAAGAGAGATTTCAATTCTACATGGCACACAGAAGACTTCATTTGACGTTAGTGAGTGTCCAGAACATCCCTTTCAATGGCTCATGAAAATTAAAACTCTGAAACCCAGTCTCCCATTTACAAACCCTGGTAAAAGGTGTCATTCTGAGTGTACGGATTATAGAGGCTACACTGTGGGGATGCAGAAAGAGCATGCCCACATTCAGTGATTGCACAACGCCAAGCATCTCACAGGTTTCCCCTAAAAGTGAAAGGTCATGCAGATGGCGGTCCTTCTCTGGTCACACTTTAGATGGTCACCTAGAAAAAGTAGCAGTAGTACACAGAGGTCAGGAAGCCAAGCTCTGGGTTCCCAGATCTATCTTTTGTTCCTTCTTTGACCTTGAACAAATTACCTAGCCATGCTAAGCTTCAGTTTCCTCAACCAACAAGTTGGAATGATAACATCACGTACCTCCTGAGATTGTCATAATTATCCAATGCTTGCAAGGTGCTTAGCACAGTGCCTGGCACATAAAGAGTGTTCAGTAAACATTCGCTGTAGTTATCAGGAAGAGTTCACCTTCTGAAACAGTGTTATCTACTGATAACACCACCTGGCTTTGCAAGGTGGTGGTTCAGGATCCGTTAAAGGATCCAGTTTTGGAGGACACTGGAAGACTCATTTCTGAAGTCCTGAATGGAGAAAGGCCAGGGAGCTGATGGGGCTGACTGAACCCTATTCCAAAGAGTACAAGCACCTAGCCATGGAATACGCCAATCCTGACTGCAATGAAGTCAGAACCAGTCTTTGTATGAGGACAGGGCAGGGACGACTCCCTTTAGACCTCCAAACTAGATCTTGAGACAATAAGTCAAACAGGAACGGGAAACATGTGCAACTTACGTATCTGTCCCAGAGCTCGCTCGCTTGCTCTCTCTCTCACACACACACGCACACGCTCACATGCACACACACACATGCAAGCATGCATGCACACACACACACACACACGCAAGCACTATTGTAGCAATTCCACTCCTGGGAATTTGTCCACGGAAAAATCACTGGCACCGGGTGCAGTGGCTCACTCCTGTAAACTCTAGCAGTTTGGGAGGCCGAAGTGGACAGATCACTTGAGCTCAGGAGGTCGACACCAGCCTGGGCAATAGGGCGATACCCCATCTCTACAAAACATACAAAAGTTAGCCAGGCATGGTGGCACATGCCTGTAGTCCAAACTACTTGGGGGGCTGAGGCAGGAGAATCACTTGAGCATGGGACGTGGAGACTGCAGTGAGCCGAGACTGTGCTATTGCACTCCAGCCTAGGCAGCAGAGCAGGATCCTGAAAAAAAAAGAAGAAAGAAAGAGAGAGAGAGGGAAAGAAATCGATCATGGGCTCACACTTTGGCTAAATAAAGAAAAAGAAAAATAGTTAGATTAGTGCACAAAGATTTCTGAATAAGGGTATTTACAATGATGGAAAGCTGGAAGCAATCTAGCTATCCAACAATAGAGGATCTGTTAAACAATAATGCTAAGCCCATAGTATTATGCACACATTAAAAAAACATAATGCTGATCTCTATTAATATGCAAAAACATTTCTGATTCAGTATTTAGGGGGAAATCAGATTGAAACAAGGCTCTTCGTTTAAAAAGCATGTATGCAGCATTTACTAGGTACTAAGAACTATACCAAGGTCTTTGCATATATTACCTTAATTTAATCCTCACAACCCTGTGATGCAGAAGCCACGTGATGATAAGGCCTATGAGGGAAGAGGGTGGAACCAGGTCCTCGATGGCATCTTTGAGCCGTGCCCTACCTGAGAATGCCTATATGTTTTTATTACAAATAAAAAGGAAATAAATAAATCCCTATCTCTTTAAGTCAGTGTTAGGTTTTCCTATTCATTGCAGCCAGTTACAATCCTAATTCATAAAATTTGTAAGTGGCAAGGATAGGATCTAACCACTCCTACAAAGGTGACAATCTGGGGCTGATAGCACAAAAGGAGATAGGAGAAGACCTGACTTTTCTCTGGGCTGCGTTGGTCCAATGCATTCTTCCACAAGCATGCAATGTCTCCACTCCGCCTTGCTCAGCCATAAATACCCTGTTGTTGCCTTCTGTCACTCCAGTTGTGCTACTTGGCCTGTTCCCCCGTACTAGACCCAGGAGTTTGGGGAAGCCAGGACACTCCTCAGGGTCATCATTCCTCTCTGAACTCATGGCTCAGTCAGGTTCATTGCCAGAAAGACACTTTGCATCTCTTCTGCTCATTGCAATTCAGTCACGTCAGAGCAGCCCACAGGATCTGAATGCAATTTTCTTATTGAATTAGGCTAAATCCTTCAGGGAAGGAGGCAAAATTATTTAAAACCTATAAAAACTAAAGCAATATTCTGGCTCTATATTTTAACTTTCTGATCATTATTTAGAGTTAACCTTTTCTGCTGTTAAATCACAAACCCATTTTGCTGTATATCAGGCAGCATGGGCCATAAGGCATGGGGAAAAAATAAAACAGCCAGGCAAAGAATAGACCTGGGGGTTGCTCCTTGGCGCAGGCAGATAATAGAAATCGAGGTGGCATTTTGCTCTTAGAAATCAAAAGTATCAGGAGGTGATTCATTGAAGCAGCAAAAGAAATGAGTTGTAGCAGCGTTGTTATAAATATTAGAGCAATAGATTAGGGATGAGGTGTGTTTCTGTGGAATAATGCCCTGACTGGGAAATGAGAATTCATGAGTCGGGCAGATGCGGGATGGAACCCTGTGCCTGGGATCTCACCAAATTATTTATTCCCTTTGAGCTTAAATCTCTCCATATATAAAATGAAGAAAAAAATAACGCATTCAATTAGGAGGTAAGTACTATTGTTTATTCTCTCTCTTTTTTTTTTTTTTTTTTTTTTTTTTTTGAGACAGAGTTTCACTCTTGTTGCCCAGGCTGGAGTGCAATGGCACGATCTCGGCTCACTGCAACCTCTGCCTCCCAGGTTCAAGCGATTCTCCTACCTCAGCCTCCTGAGTAGCTGGGATTACAAGCATGTGCCACAACACCCAGCTAATTTTTGTATTTCTAGTAAAGACGGGGTTTCACCATGTTGGCCAGGCCGGTCTCGAATTCCTGACCTCATGTGAGCCACCCGCCTCGGCCTCCCAAAGTGCTGGGATTACAGGCGTGAGCCACCGTGCCTGGCCTTTTCTCATTTTTTAAATGATGAAGGCAAGGCATAGGGGAGTTAAGTGACTTACCACAGCAGTCAGAAATGGCAAAGCTGAGGTCTGACCTAAGGCAGGCAGCTGCAGAAACAACGTACCTGTGCACGGTAAATAAAGTAATAAATAGAAAGCACTTATGATGGTGTCTGACATATAGCAGGTACTCAATACACGCGGGATGGATAATTTGTATAAATTGGTATTTATAGTCAGGTGTAGATGTAATTTTTATAAATATGTTTTATCAATAATTTTACCAATAACCAGCCTAATTCCTATTTATCATTTTTCCAAAGAAGCCTATAATAAATCCCAAAAATAGGTTGGATGCCCCTGTGATGCTATTACAGCACCCTGTATTTTTTCTTCATAGGCATTTAAAGGCAATTAATTATTCTTGTGATTAGCTATTTCAAATGCAACTTCCACTCCAGTACCGTGGGTTTCATGAGGGCAGAGAACGGGCCTCTCCAGCAACTAGCATGGTGCCTGGTATATGAAGTATTTGTTCACTCAACAATAACTAACAACTGTTTACTATTCTAGGCACTGGAAACCAAGTCCCTGCCCTCTCTACTCTAGTGAAGGGAAACAGACAGTAAATGAACAAACTAGTAAGCACCTGGTATATCAAATGGTGTCTTTACCAAAGGCTGCAATAACAAGAGTACTATAGACTCACTGGCTTAAGCAACAACCATTTATTTCTCCTGGTTCTGGAGGCTGGGAAGTCCAACATCAAGGTGCCAGGAGATCCAGTGTCTGGTGAGGGCTCTCTTCCTAGTTTGCAGAGGACCATCTTCTTCTTGTATTCTCACATGACCAAAAGAAAAATTATCTCTCTTCTTTCTCCTCTTACAAGGTCACTAATCCCATTCAAGAGGTTTTCACCCTCATGACTTAATTACCTCCTAACTCCTAATACAATCACAGTAAGGGTTAGGATCCCAACATTTAAATTTGAGGGGACAAAAACATTCAGTCCATAACAAATGGTATAAGTTGTCGAAGAACTATAAATTAGGGGAAGGGAAAGAGATGCTCGGGAGCAGGGGACTATTTTATACAGAGGTGGCAGAGAAGTTCTGTTGATAAGATGGCCTGATTAGGCAGATAGATGGGAGAGATGGTGAAAATATCTGCAGAAAGAGTTTTTCAGGCAGAGGAAACAGCAAGTTCAAAGACCCTAAGGCAGAAAAGTGTTTGGCATGTTGAAGGTCAGTGTGGCTGGAAGAGAATAGGTTTGATTTAAGGAGTGGAGGAGATGAGGTCAGAAGGGAAACTAGTGCCAGACAATAAATGAATAATTGTATGAAAGAACATTCACAAACATCAGGAGACCTAGACAGTGCAGGGTTGGTGGGCTTTGCAACACTGATGAGCTCTGAGCAATTACTGCAAAAACACAGCCTCTGGCCTGAAGAGGGATAGGACATGGCCACAGTCTCCCAATATTCCAAGGGCTGCCATGGAGGATATAATTTCACTTCATTTGGGACAATTCCAGGGCTAGGCTGGGATCAATGATGGCTCTAACATGAAGGCAGATTTCAGTTCAAGAAAGAGACAAATATTTAAAAGTCACAGCAGTCAGATTTCTGCTTCTGGAAAAAGGTGGTAGATACACTTTTCCCTTTTCTTTCCACTAAGTACAAATAAAAACCCTGGATATCATATATAAAACAAATATAAGTAGACTTTAAAAGGTAGGGAAAAGAAGGCAGACCAGCTGAGAAACTTGGGGCCCAAAGAACAACACAGTAGTTAGTTCCCTGGATGTTTCCATTCTGCTTTGTTTGTTTGTTTGTCTGTCTGTTTGTTTTTGCCTTGTATATCTCAGGCTTAGAGTTAAAGGATGGAAACCCAGAAAAACCAACAGTCACAGACAAGAATAAGCACTAACAAAAGCTTGATCTCTCCAGCAAAAGAACCGGAAACAGGGCAGCCTCGTATGAGAGAAAACCTTTAGACAATAACCACTCTGTTGCAGCCAAACACAACAGAAAATAAACAAACAGACAAAAAACATGACTCCACTACCACCCATACCAGCAAACACCAAGTGGGGAGCCTACACATATATGTTTGCAAAGATATAAAAAGGCACCCAGCTCCCACATTAGGGCGGTATCAGAAAAGTCTGAATAAGTATCCAGGACTTTCATTCTTGATGGCCAGTTTAATGAAGCTGTCCCCTCCAGGATGTCAGTGGAGGCCACTGAGGGAGCCTAGACTTCCACTCACACCACACAGTAACCAGGCATCTCTCCCTTTACCTACCGGAATGTTGTCCCAAGAGGCCGAGTGAAAAGTCATTTCTATCAGGAACAAGAACACTCCCACAGCTGTGTCCATAGAGACCACATAGGGAACCAGAATTCCACTTCCACCCAGCAAATACAATGAAATCCCACCCTCCCACCAGGTGTCAACAGAGGCCAACTGGGAAACCTAAACTTCTGCTTCCACCTGGTAGTAATTAGGCAGCAACCTCACCTCTGCTGCTGGAGAAGTGTCAGGTAAAGCAAGTGGAAACAGAAGGCCTACGTAAGATCCAGAGCCTCTCATATTACATACAATAAAATTGTCTAGGATTCAAAAGAAAGTTATACATCTTACCAGGAATCAGGAAGGTCTCAAACTAAATGAAAAAAGGACAATCAAAAGATGCCATCACCAAGATGACATAGATAATAGAATTATTTGACAAAGATTTTAAAGCAGCCATGATAAAAATGCCTCAGTGAGAAATTATAAGCACAAAGGAAACAAATGAAAAAAATAGAAAGCCTATGCAAGGGAATAGAAGATATAAAGAAGAACCAAGCAGAATTTTTACAACTGAAAAAATGCAATAACCAAAATAAAAAGCTCAGTGGATATCCCCAACTGCAGAATGAAGGGAACAAAGAATTGGTAACTGGGAGATAAAAAAAATAGAAAGTATTCATCTGGACAACAGAGAGAAAATAGACTGAAAGCAGATTAACAGAGCCTCAGGGACTTGTGGAACCATAACAAAAGATCTAACATTTATGCCTTTGGCGATCTGGAAGGACAAAGGGGAAAGAACAGGGTTAAAAAACTATTTGAAGAAAAATGACTGAAAACTTCCCAAATTTGACACACAGAAAAAAAAAAAAGATAAATTCACAGATTCAAAAAGCTGACTGAATCCCAAAGAAGATAAATCTTAAAAAATCTATGTGAAGATATATCACAATTAAAATACTGAAAACTAAAGCAAAAAAAAAAATCTTGAAAGCAGCAAGAGGAAAACTATGCCTTACATATAGAGGAAAAACAAATTGAATGATGGTAGATTTCTCATTAAAAACTATGAAGACCAGAAAGAAGTGGCACAATAATTTTCAAGAGCTGGAACAAAGATTTATCAACCCAGGGAATATGCCCTTCAGGTATAAAGGAGAAATCAAGATATTCTCCAATGAAGAAAAACTAAGGGAATTTGTCAACAGCAGACTTGCCTTAAATGAATGACTGAAGGAAGTTCTCCAAGCAGAAATGGAATAAATGAATCTTAGAATATTCTGAAGAAAGAGAACCCACAAGAAGCAAATATTGTAACACTGACATGAATCCAAATGTATGTGCAGGAAATATTGAAGATTGTATTATGTTATAGATGGTATTATAAACAGGGAAGGCAAAAAGATGTTTAAAAAAGGACAGGTTTGGTGGGCACAGTGGCTTACGCCTGTAATCCCAGCACTTTGGGAGGCCAAGGCAGGTGGATCACCTGAGCTCAAGAGTTCAAGACCAGCCTGATCAACATGGTGAAAGCCCGTCTCTACTAAAAAATACAAAAATTAGATGGGCATGATGCTGGGCACCTGTAATCCCAGCTACTCAGGAGGCCAAGGCAGGGAAATTGATTGAACCCAGGATGCGGAGGTTGCAGTGAGCCAAGATGGCACCATTGCACTCCAGCCTGGGTGACAGAGCAAGACTCTGTCTCAAAAAAAAAACCAAACAAACAAAAAAACAAAACAAACCAAAAAAAAAAGGACGGGTTTCTATACTTTACTCAGACTGGTAAAATTATTATTCCACTGGTAGATTCTGATAAATTATGTGTATATAAAGTAATACCAAGAGCAACAACTAAAAATGCTACACAAAGATACTCTCAAAAAGACTGTACTTCAATCAAAATGGAATTCTGAATATTATTAACCTACAGAAAGGCAGGAAAAAATATAAGATAGAATGAAAAATATAAAGCAAAACCTAAAATGGCAGACGTGAGCCCTAACATATCAACAATTAAATTAATGTAAATGGAATAAATATACCAGTTACAATACAGAGATTGGAAGGGTGGATTGAAAAATATAACCCAGCTATATGCTGCCTACAAGAAACTTGCTTTGAACATAATGATATAGGTAGGTTGAAAGTAAAAGGTTAGAAAAAGATATATCATGCAATCTTTAACCAAAAGAAAATAGCAGTGGCTACATTAATTTCAGTCATATAAAGTAAGACCTCAGAACAAAAAAAAATTATCAGAGACAGAAAGAGGCATCATATAATGACAAAAGGGGAATCCACCAAGAAGACATAGCAATCCTAAATGTGTATGTACCAAACAAGAGTTACAAAATATATGCAATAAAACCTAATAGAACTGAAAGGAAAAATAGAAAAATGCACAATCATAGTTGGAGACTTCAACACCCCTCTCTCAAGAACTGATAAGAAACAACTAGACAGAAAATCAGCAAGCCTGTAATAAAACTCAAAAATACAATCAACCAATGTGATTTAATTGACAGTTATGGAACATTCCATGTAAATATAAGAGTACATGTTCTTTTCAAATGCCCATTAAAAAAACACACCCAAATAGACAACATTCTCAATACAGAATATGTTCAAAGAGTTCTATAAAATCAAACTAGAAATCAGTAACAAAAAGAAAACAAGAAAATCTCCAAACACTTGGAAACTAAACAACACACTTCTAAATAACCCATGAATCAAAGAGAAAGTCTCAAAGGAAATCAAATAGTACAGTGAACTAAAAGAAAATGAAAACACACCATCTAAAAATTTGTGGAACACAGTTACAGCAGTGCCTACATTAGAAAAGAAGAAAGGTATCAAATCATCAATCCAATTTTCTACACCAATAAACTTAAAAAAAAAAAAAAGAAGAGCAAAATAAATTGAGAGAAAGCAGAAGTAGAGAAATAATTGCTGTGGTTTGAATGCTTGTGTCCCCTCCAAATCTCATGTTGAAACTTAATCCCCAATGCACCAGCATTATCAGGTGGGGCCATTAGGAGGTGACGGGGCCATGAGGCAGAGCCCTCATGAATAAAATTAGTGACCTTATAAAAGGGCTGGAGGAAGCTAGCTATTAAGCCCTTTTTGGACCTTCCACCATTCCACCATGTGTGAACACAGCATTCATCCCCTCCGGAAGACACAGCAAAAAAGCCAATTGGGAAGTGGAGATAGGGCCCTCACCAGCTCGCCAGACACCAATCTGCTGGCACTTAAATTGATATTGGATTTCTAGCCTCCAGAACTGTGAGGGATAAATTTCTGTTTTCTATAAATTACTCAGTCTCAGGTATTTTGTTACAACAGCCCAAACAGACTAAGGCAATAATGATGAGCAGAAATTTTAAAAATTGAAAGCAGAAACACAATAGATAAAATCAATGAACCAAAAAGCTGGTTCTTTGAACAAAGATCAGTAATTTGGACAAACCTCTAACAAGACTGATAAAGTAACATGAGAGAGAAGACACAAGCTACAAAGATCAGGAAAGAAAGAGGAGATATCATTACAGATCCTGCAAACATCAAAAAGATAATAAGGTAATACTACAAACAACTATACATACACAAGTTTGGAAACTTAGATGAAATGGACCAATTCCTCAAAAAGTAAAACTAGCACAACTCACCCAATATTAAATAGATAATCTGAATAGCCCTATAACGATCAAGAATATTAAATCTGCAATTTTAAAACACCAAAGAAAGAGTCTCCAGGCACCAATTGTTTCAATGGAGAATTCTATCAAATGCTTAAAGGAAACTAACACCAATTCTACACAATATCTTCAAGAACACAGAAGAGAAGAGAACACTTCCCAATTCATTTAAAGAAGTTAATATTAGCTTGGAACCAAAACTGGACAAAGACCACACCAAAAAAACCAGAAAACTTCAAATCAATATTTCCCATGAATATAGAAACTGAAATCTTCAACAAAATATCAGCAGGTAAAGATGAACGATGTATAAAACAAAATTATACACCATCACCAAGTGGGGTTTATTCCAAGGATGCAAAGTTGACTCAATATTCAGAAATCAATGAGCATAATCCACCATATTAACAGACTAAAGAAAAATTGCATGGTCATTTCAAATGATACAGTGTTTGACAAATACTTAGTAATTTGTTAAACATCAAATAATAAGTATTAGACAAAATTCAACAACCATTCCTAAAACCTCTCAGAAACATAAGAATAGAAGGAAATTTCCTCCAAGATAGAGTTTCTTCAAAAAAATCTAGAACTAAAATTGTAATGGCAAAATACCAAATAGTTTTCTCTTAAGATATTACTCAACATAGTGCTGGAAGTTCTAGCCAGCCCAATAAGGCAAAAAAAATTAAAAAAAATAAAAATAAATAAAAAAATGGCAGAAAGATCAAAAAGAAAGAGGTAAAACAGTCCCTATTGGCATATAACATGACTTGTTTACATCAAAAATATCAAGAAATCTACCAAAAAAAACTTCCAGAACTAATAAGTGGATTCGGCAAGTTCATAAGATACAAGAAAATTTTCCAAAGTCAACTATATGTCTATATAAATATGTGGACACCACAGTCAAAAATACAATACCATTTGCAATCACTCAACAACAACAAAACTATACTTGGGTATACGTCTAACAAAACATGTATAGGATTTGTATGCTGAAAATTGCAAAACACAGATGAAAAGAGTCAAAGAAGATCTAAATAAATGAAGAGATACACCATATCTTATTCATGGATTGGAAGATTCAGTGTATAAAGATGCCTATTCTGCCCAAATTGATACATAGATTTTGTAATTCCTATCAAAATCGCAGAAGTATGTTTTTGCAAACATGGTATATACAAGACTATTTTAAAAGTCTCATGGAAAAACATAAGGAATTAGAATAGCTAAAACAATTTTGAAAGAAGAAGAAAGTGAGACCAGTCAGTCTACATGATTTCAAGACTTATTCTGTAGTTCCAGTAATCAAGACTGTGCATTACTGGTGGAGGACTACAAACAGGGATCAATAAAACAGAAGAGAGAACTCAGAAATAGACCCTTACGAATTTGCCCAACTTGTTTCAACAAAGGTACAAAAGCAAGACAAAGAAAGATAGCTTTTTCAACAAATAGTGCTAGAGCAATTGAACATTCATAGGTTAAAAAAAAAAAAAGAATCTTGACCTAAGTCACAATTTATACAAAAATGAATTCAGAATGGATCATAGACTTCAAGGTAAAATGTAAAGCTATTAAATACATAAAACAGGAGAAAATCTTCAGGATCTACAGCTATGCAAAGAGGTCCAAAAGCACAGTCCATAAAAGGAAAATTGATAAATTGGTCTTAATAAAATTAAAAACTTTTTCTCTGCAAAAGGTCCTGTTAAGAAGATGAAATGACAAGCTACAGACTGGAAGAAAATATTTGCAAACCACATATCTGACAAAGAACCAGCATCTAGAATGTATAAAGAGCTCTCAACATTCAAGAATAAAAAAGTATGCATCCAATTACAATATGGGCAAAAGGCATGAACCATTTCATCAAAGAGGATATGGAAATGGCAACAAGCACTGGAAAGATGGTCAATATAGTCAACTACTAGAGAAATGAGAATTAAACCCACAATGAGATATTATGACACATCTGCATGAATGACTGAAAAAAATACGATGACAACACAAAATGTTGGCAAGAATGCAGAAACTTCAACTATGCCTATATAGTTGGTAGGACTGTAAAATGGTACAACCACTGTGGAAAACAGTCTGAAATTTTCTTACAAAATTAAACGTGTAACTACCAGATGACCTGGAACTTCTCTAGGCATTCATCTCAGAGAAATGAAGACATATGTTCACACAAAAACCTGCACATGAATGTTTGTAACAGCTTTATTTGTGATAACCCAAAACCGGAAATAACCCAGATGTCCTTCAACTGATGAATGGTTAAACAAACTGTGGTACATCCATAACTTGCAAAACTACTTAACAAAAATAAATAAATAAATGAATATATAAACAAATAAACTTTTTTTTTTTTTGAGACGCAATCTCACTCCCACCCAGGCTGGAGTGCAGTGGCTCAATCTCGGCTCACTGCAAACTTTGCCTTCCAGGTTCCACCAATTCTCCTGCTTCAGCCTCCTGAGTAGCTGGGATTACAGGCGCCCACCACCACACCCAGCTAATTTTTGTATTTTTAGTAGGGACGGGGTTTCACCATGTTGATCAGGCTGGTCTCGAACTCCTCACCTCAAGTGATCAGCCTGCCTCAGCCTCTCAAAGTGCTGGGGTTACAGGTATGAGCCACAACGCCCAGCCATAAATGAACTATTGATCCACTCTGTTGAATCTCCCAGATGAATCGCCAGAGAACTATGCTGAGTGAAAAAAAGCCAACCCAAAAGTTACATACTGAATGATTATACATATACATAACGTCCTTGAAATGACAAAATTATAGAAATAGAGAACACATTAGTGACTTCCAGGAGGTAAGGAGGGAGTGGAGGTGAGAGGGAAGTGGATGTGGCCATAAAAGGGCAGCATGAGGCATCCTTGTGGTGATAATAATATTCTGTGTCTTGACTGTATCAACGTCAATATCCTAGTTGTGATACTGTACTACGGTTTTGCCACTGGGAAAGTGGGGTAAAGGGGACATAGCATCTTTGTATTATTTCTTACAACTGTGTGTGAATCTACAGTTATCTCAAAATTTAAACATTTAATTTAAAAAACAGATGGGCCAGCTGTGGTGCTTTGTGCCTGTATCCCAGCAACTTGGGAGGCTGAGATGAGAGGTTCACTTGAGCCCAGGAGTTTAAGGCTGCAGTGAGCTATGATCACACCACTGCACTCCATCCTGGGTGACAGAGTGAGACCCTGTCTCTTTAAAAAAATAGAAAAACTGGCCAGGCACAGTGGCTCATGCCTGTAATCCCAGCACTTTGGGAGGCCAAGGCAAGCGGATCACTTGAGGTCAAGAGTTCAAGCCCAGCCTGGCCAACATGGTAAAACCCCATCTCTACTAAAAAAAAAAAAAAAAAATACAAAAATACAAAAATTATCCGGGCATGGTGGCAGGTACCTATAATCCCAGCTACTCAGGAGGCTGAGGCAGGAGAATCGCTTGAACCCAGGAGGCGGAGGCTGCAGTAAGCTGAGATCATGCCACTGCACTCCAGCCTGGGTGACAGACGAAGACTCCATCTAAAAAAAAAAAAAAGAAATGAAATTAAAAATTTATAAAAACTGACAGTAGCCAAACCTTGAACTGGTGTAAGAGAACATCAGAACACAAACACCCAAGCTATGGATAAAACCAAAATAAACTTGAACGTTCCCCAGATGCTCCCTCCATCCAGTAGAAAAGAAAAGAAAAGTGGAGTGCAAAGAAGAGGTGTTCTAGCCCCAAGGGCCATAAACAGTTGTTATAATCTCACTTGTCCAGGCAAAATGAAATAAATGACAATGGCAGTGAAGAAGAGTGGACAGCATTTAGAATGCACTGGCCCCCAGGGAAACTGAGTCTCGCCTCATCTCATCAGGTGGGGCACTGCAATTCCTCCAGTGAGTTTCAGCAAGGGGCATCAGCCACAGCAATGCCTTGTGATGTCCAGGTCTTCAGCATCCCCCCAGAGATAAACAATATTGGCCTACACCTTCAGGAGCCAGCTGGATGTAGTTCTGGCTCTTATCAAAACACCTACGCTGGCAGGGTGCGGTGGCTCACACCTGTAAACCCAGCACTTTGGGAGGCCGAGGCAGGTGGGTCACCTGAGGTCAGGAGTTTGAGACCAGCCTGGGCAACATCGTGAAACCCCATCTCTACTAAAAATACAAAATTAGCCAGGTGTGGTGGGAGTGCCTGTAGTCCCAGCTACTTGGGAGGCTGAGGCAGGGGAATCACTTGAACCCGGGAGGCGGAGGTTGCAGTGAGCCAAGATGGCACCACTGCACTCCAGCCTGGACAACAAGAGTGAAACTCCATCTCAAAAAAAAAAAAAATTTAAATTTAAAAAACAAAACACCTAAAGTGTAACTCTAGCCTCAGTAACCTACGGACTCTCTAAAATATTATTGCTGTAAGTCAATCACACTCTTCTTTTTCAAACCTAGCATTTGTACTTAAATCAAAATAGCAATCATACAAGCAAGTTATATCCACCTGGTAACTGAAAAAAGAAATCCCTGTTACACTGTAAGACAGTGAAAGGGCCCAGGACTCTCAACTAATTTTGTGACCACTGCAATTGGTTCAGGGATGTGCATATGGCCCAAATTGTTCAGAAACAGGCTTTCATTCAAATGTTAAGCCAGGCACGGTGGCTCACACCTGTAATCTCAGCATTTTGGGAGGCCGAGGCGGATGGATCACTTGAGGTCAGGAGTTCGAGACCAGCCTGGCCAACATGAAACCCCATCTCTACTAAAAATACAAAAATTAGCCAGCCTGCAATCCCAGATACTTGAGAGGCTGAGGCAAGAGGATTGCTTGAACCCAGGAGGCAGAAGTTGCAGTGAGCCAAGATTGCATGACTGCACTCCAGTCTGGGAGACAGAGCAAGACTCTATCTTGGAAAAAAATAAAAATAATAAAATGTTGCCTAAGAGCTTTTTCATTCTGCTCCAAGAGAGTTTGTCTGAGGACAAAACCAAAACAGAGAAAGCAGAGCTCAGTGACAGAGACAGACCCTGAATCTAAACATCATCTGGGATCTGGATCAAGACGTGCCCGAAGCTATCCCTTGACTTTTCTGTTACATCAGCCAACAAACTCCCTTTCTATCTAAGCTGCTTTGATTTCTTTCCTGTCACTTGCAACCAAAACAGTCCTAAATGACAGAAATGGGCTGTCGCATGGTCTCCGGTTGCCGTAGGTGTGCAAGCCCAGGTGGAATGACCATCTATGAGGGATGCAGTAGCAAAGTTCTGACTGTAATAGGAGGTGGGAGAGCAGACTTCCTGTAGGGTATTTTCTTATTGTTAGAGATAACCTTCCACCACCTTCTTGGTGTGGCTTTAGAACTATTTATTACATAGCTAAGGAGAGTGCCGCCATCGCCCAGAAGGATAAATCACCCCAAGGAGCATTTGCTTTTCCAGGCCGAGTAAGATCCTGCCTGACAGCTGATCGTGGCCTGTGGCATCCTGCGTGACCCAGCCACTGCTCACCTTTCTGACCTCACCTCCTCCCCCTGTTGCCCACAGTCATCTTTCTTCTGCTAGTCCTTGAATAGAACAAGTGTGTTCCCACCTCAGGGCCTTTGCAGTCACTGTTCCTTCTGCCTGAAATGCTTTTTTCAGAGACCTTCCCATGGCTGGTTCCCTCTCACATAAGCCTGAAGTTTACCTCCTCAAAGAGGCTGTCCCTGATTGCAAAATCTGAATTACCCGCCTGGATACTCTCATGCCAGACACTTTCTAGTCCATTACCATGTCTTTTCTTGTTCTCTTTTTTCTCTTTTTTTTTTTGAGACAAGGTCTTGTTCTGTTGCCCAGGCTGGAGTGCAGTGGTGCGGCATGACTCACTGCAACCTCCTCCTGCCCGCAGGCTCAAGTGGTCCTCCAATCTCAGCTTCCCAAGTAGCTGGGACCACAGATGCATGCCCAGCTAATTTTTTTTTAATGTTTTTGTAGAGACAGGGTCTTGCTATGTTGCCCAGGCTAGTCTCTAACTCCTGGGCTCAACTGATCCTCTTGCTTTGGCCTCCCAAAGTGCTGGCATCTTATTTTCTTCACAGCACATAACAGTCTGAAATTACCTTAAATTTCACTTGTTGATTATCAGTATCTCCCCACTCCCCCAGAAGAATATAATCTCCATGAGAGCAGGAGGCACCTGTTGTGTTCACTGCCATGTCCTCAGAGCATAGTGGAAGAAAGAAAAGAGGGAGGGAGAACAGGCTGCGTGCAGTGGCTCACACGTGTAATCCCAGCACTTTGGGAGGCCGAGGCGGGCGGATCACTTGAGGTCTGGAGTTTGAGACCAGCCTGGCCAACATCGTAAAACCCCGTCTCTACTAAAAATAAAAAAATTAGCCGGGCGTGGTGGCAGGCCCCCAGGAAAACTGAGTCTCACCTCATCTCATCAGGTGAAGCACTGCAATTCCTCCAGTGAGTTTCAGCAGGGAATCAGCCATCAGTAGTAGTTTCAGCTACTCGGGAGGCTGAGGCAGGAGAGTCACTTGAACCCAGGAGGCGGAGGTTGCAGTGAGCTGAGATCACACCACTGCACTCCAGCCTGGGGGACAGAGCGAGACCCTGTCTCAAAAAAAGAAGAAAAAGAAAGAAAGAAAGGAGGGAGAACAGAAGCAAGGGAAAGGTGCTGGGATTGGGACCTCTGCCCAGCAATGCCTCTCTTTCCCCTGGGGACCCACTAAAGCAACCTGCAGTGGTTAGAGGTTCCCGGGTGGTGCTAAGCCTCAGTAGGCCACATAGGTAAGCAGCTCATTAAAGCACGTTTCGTTGACGTCTGTATTCCTTCTCTCATTTTCCCTGTTCCTTCACTATGCTTCTGGAATCACCTCCTAAATGAATTGACTGTTCCCAAGTCTTTGTCTCAGGTGTCGCTTTCCAGACAACCTAAAGGAAGACACACTTAGGCAGAGCAATAACAAGGACACGAGTGAGAACGCTCATGGCAGCCTTCCAATTGGTAGCATGAGGTGCGAGCTAACCGAGGTGCCCTAAACAAGGGGAACACGTGCTAAGAAGGAGTCAGATGGAGTCAAATAAAGGGGCAAAAAGCAGCATAGAAGAAATTCCTAATGCATAGCAGGGGAAAGAGTAAAAGCAGGTTGAGAGCTACAGCATGACACCATTTTTGTAATTAAACACACAAGCGCGCGCCTAAAAATCAACATTCTGTATTTCTCCAAAGTACACACTTATTTCAAAACACATTTAAAATCTATTAGAGCAGCTGCCTCTAGGGGAGCAATGAAATGGGAAGAGAGATGGGAGATAAAAAGTATATATAATTAATCGTTGCCTGGACTATTGCTGTCAGTGTGCCACAAGTGAAGGAGTGTGGCTAAGTGGCCTCTGTGTAACTGATGTCCAAATATAAAAATTAAAAACTATTGATAACTCAGCTGGGTGCAGTGGCTCATGCCTGTAATCCCAGCACTTTGGGAGGCCGAGGCGGGCGGATCACGAGGTCAGGAGATAGAGACCATCCTGGCTAACACGGTGAAACCCCGTCTCTACTAAAAATACAAAAAATTAGCCGGCGTGGTGGCAGGTGCCTGTAGTCCCAGCTGCTAGGGAGGCTGAGGCAGGAGAATGGCGTGAACCCGGGAGGCAGAGTTTGCAGTGAGCTGAGATTGCACCACTGCATTCCAGCCTGGGAGACAGTGTGAGACTCCATCTCAAAAAAAAAAAAATTGATAACTCAAACCCATCCTCTCTTCAGATAAATAACTCCCACTCACCCACTCACCTTTGGTATCTCAACACACGGACCACATCCTGGTGGAAATTGTCTCTGGCCTCCCTGACTCAGGCACAGCCCTGCTGTGTATCCCTCCCATGCCATGCATCTCTGCTTCAGAGCAACCATCACGACTGCAATTTCATATTTGCTCCTGTCACTTCTTGGTCTGTGTCTGTCTCCTCAACTCTAGCTCCAGGAGGGCAGCAAACACATTTTCTCTCCCTCTCTCTCCCTTCTCTTTTCCTATCCTCCAATCTCCCAGCACCTGCAGTAACATTGGACACCTGAAGATTGTAGAGAGCATAAGTGCATGCATGAAGACCGTCATGAGAAATCCAATCATCGTGGCCATATACATGCTGTGCACACAAGAGAGTCACACAAATCAAACCACATGTACAGTCAGAACACATGTGACGGGCCAGGCACGGTGGCTCACATCTGTAATCCCAACACTTTGGGAGGCCGAGGTGGGCGGATCACTTGAGGTCAGAAGTTCGAGACCAGCCTGGCCAACATGGTGAAATCCCATCTCCACTAAAAATACAAAAAATTAGCCATGTGTGGTGATGTGCACCTGTAATTCCCAGCTACTTGGGAGGCTGAGCCAGGAGAATCACTTGAACCCAGGAGGTGGAGGTTGCATTGAGCTGAGATCACACCACTGCACTCCAGCCTGTGTGACAGAGCAAAACCCTGTCTCAAAAAAAAATAATAATTTTTTTAAAAAACGTGTGGGAGCCACATCCGCAACACACACTTAAGGCATAAAAATACGCAGGAAATATGCCCAGGTGGTCGTGTGCTTGGGGATCTGTACCACGCAGATGCCCAGACACAGTTTCCACCCCTTGTCAACTAACTCCGGTCCTGCCCACCTCCTCCAAATTTCTGGACCTTCCCCAGGGGTCCCACCCAGCAACCGCTCCCTGGGCAACAAGCTCCCTCCCAACTTCTAAAGACCAATTTCACTTTGCATCCTGACTGGTCTTTCCCTTTATGAAAATCCCTTTCCAACTCAGGCCCATTCTGCAGGTTTCCTCTGGGAACCCGTCCTTCCCTCCTGAGAATGTGCCCACAAAGCTTCCAGCTTAACTGGAAAATGAATGGAGCTGCCTCCAGCCCACCCACCCCCGCTTCAAAGGCCAGCCTGCTAGTACCTATGGAGCTTTGGCAGGATAAACAGATAAAAGGCAGACTGCTTTGTCATTTCAGAAAATGAAAACGAAGGTAGCTGGTAAGGAAGGGAAAGTGGATAAAGCTGGAGGCATTAGAGAGAGGCTCTCAGGAAAGCCATGGTCCAGAGAGCTGGAAGCCTCCCTCTCCCACCTTGGAAAAAGAGCTCACATGCAATTGTTGTATATATGTTAGAGGGTTGTAACTATGCATTTAATTAGAGCCCACACCCTAAACAGTAAGGACTAAGCAGTCAGAATCTTATTTGCTGTGTCCCCAATACTTTGTAGTATCTAGAAACACAAAGAGTGCTCAAGGACTCCACCAGGACAGAAGCCTGTGGATATATGTACTTTGTCATCAGCGTTAAGTAAATACCCAACATGACAAGGCAAGGGCATTAATGTTTTTATCTTATCTAATCTTCACAACTCTGTCGTGAAGGATCAGAGAGGTTTGTTCATTTGCCAGAGGTTACACAGCTCTCAGGAGGCAGGTGCGGAATTGGAAAGCAAATATTTTCTTCCTCCTCCTCCTTCTCCTCCTCCTCCTGCTTCTCCTCCTCCCCCCACTTCCTCCTTCTTCTTCTTCTCCTTCTTCTTCGTCTTCTTCTTCTTTCTTCTTCCCCTTCCCCTTCCCCTTCTTCTTCTAGCATTCACTGGGCATCTACTAGGTGCCAGGCTCCGTGTTAGAGAAAAAATGTTGAGGCTGGGTGTGGTGGTTCACGTCTGTAATCCCAGTACTTTGGGAGGCCAAGGTGGGTGGATCACCTGAGGTCGGCAGTTCGAGACCAGCCCAGCAAACATGTTGAAACTCCGTCTCTACTAAAAATACAAAAATTAGCCAGTCGTGGTGGCTGGCCCCTGTAATCCCAGCTACTCAGGAGGCTGGGGCAGGAGAATCACTTGTACCTGGGAGGCAGATGCTTCAGTGAGCTAAAATCGCACCACTGCACTCCAGCCTGGGCGACGAAGTGAGACTCCATCTCAGAAAAGAAAGAAAAAAAAAAAAACAATTGCACACAAAGAGCATTCCCCTGTGATCTGAATGAGGTGGTGTTTGAAGAATTGGAAATCCAGTCATCCCTTGGTATCGGCAGGATACCAAAAGCCATGGATGCTCAAGTTCCTTATATAAAATGTGGTAGTATTTGCATGTAACCCTTGCACATCTTACCGTATACTTTAAATCCTCTCTAGATTCCTTATAATACCTAACAATGTAAATGCTGCTTAAGTAGTTATTATACTGTACTCCTTTTCGTTTATATTATTTGCTATTGCTGTACTGTTATTTTGTATTTTTTTCTGAATATTTTGTTGTTCTTGTTGCTGTGTTGCTGTTGTTGTTGTTGTGTTGTTGTTTTGAGATGGAGTCTTGCTCTGTCATCCAGGCTCGAGTGCAGTGACGCGATCTCGGCTCACTGCAACCTCTGCCTCCCAGGTTCAAGCGATTCTTCTGCCTCAGCCTCCCAAGTAGCTGGGATTACAGGCGCCTACCACCAAGCCCAGCTAATTTTTGCATTTTTAGTAGAGACAGGGTTTCACCATGTTGGACCAGGCTGGTCTCAAACTCCCGGACTCAAGTGATCCTCCTGCCCCATCCTTCCTAAGTGCTGGGATTACAGGTATGAGACACCGTGCCTGGCCTTTTTCTGGATATTTCTGATCCACACTTCATTGGATCCACAGATGTGGCACCATGGATACACAGGGTCAAATGTATGCAAAATGACTGAAAGAAAATTGGACACGTACATGTGATGAGATTAGGGATTGGGTACACATGTAGGGGAGCATGTAGGCAGTGAGAATGAAGAGAGAGAAAAGAAAGAAAGAAAGGAAACATGAGGAATCTCAAGCCTCATCCATAACCCATGGAAGCAAACTGCATTCTAAGCGAGTTCCTCATGTGATTGTCTGCACATCAAAGTTTGAGAAGCTCTGGTTCAACGCAGGGGTTCTGACACCATTGAAACTGGAGCCCCATCTTGTTATTCATTAACCCAATTACACCTGAATATTCGAACTATTTCCAATATACCAAACAACTTGATTGAACTGTGAATAAAGTACTGACAAAATCAAGAATGCTCATGGTCTTCCTAAATCCTCCATGGAGTATTTCAGTGTTTTTTATTTCTTCCTGTGGGGCATGCTAAAGGAATTCCCAGAATTTTCCAGGGTAAGCCAGACAGAGCATTCAAGAAGGAGGGCGTGGCTTTTAGTGACATGAACAAATGTCCAGTAGCTGCTGAACCATGTCCATTTGAATATTTATTTATTTTTATGAGATGGGGTCTCAGTATATTGCTCTTGCTGGTCTTGGACTCCTGGCCTCATGTGATTCTCCCACGTCAGTCTCCCAAATAGCTGGAACTACAGGCACACACCACCGTGACCTGCTGTCCACTGGACTTTTGAGCAGAGAGTCACTGGTAAGAGCAGGCAAGAGACAGATGGAGTAGGAACAAAAGGGAGAGGATGTAAACACCTTTTTCAAGAAGTATAAGTGACCAGGCAAAGCTAAAGGAAGAAGGGATGATGGGCAGTTTGAGGGCTGTTGTTATTGTTGCTTCATTTTTGGTGGGCTTTGTGAGATGGAAGGGGCTTGAGCGTGCATATGTGTTGACTGGACAATCCCTATGAGGAACAACATGGTTCCACTCAGCAACGTTACTAGTGCAGGTGCCTTGTGACCAGGAAATTTGACTTCTGAGGCTTTAGCTACAAACACAATGGCACACAGGAAAAGTGATGTGCATGCATCGGGATATGCACAGCCACCTCCTTCAAAATTGCAAAAGGGCTGGGTGCGGTGGCCCACGCCTGTAATCCCAGCACTTTGGGAGGCCAAGGCGGGCTGATCACTTTAGGTCAGGAGTTCGAGACCAGCCCGGCCAACACGACGAAACTACGTCTCTACTAAAAATACAAAAATTACCGGGGCGTGATGGTGGGTCCCTGTAATCCCAGCTACTCAGGAGGCTGAGGCAGCAGAATTGCTTGAACCTGGTGGGCAGATGTTGCAGTGAGCCGAGATCACACCACTGCACTCCAGCTGGCTGACAGCGCGATACGCCATCTCAAAAAAAAAAAAAAAGAAAAAAAAGAAATTGCAATAGATTATGAAACCCTACTGCAAAAATTACAGCAGTGAAAGAAATCTGACCTAACTGACTCCATCTTGCTTCTAACTTCCAAGCCACCCTTGATCACTCCTGGGTGGAGGTCAAGCTAACTCTAGGAGGAACTTAGTTTATAGTTTAACTTTGAAACCAAGATGATAACAGCTCCTTCCTGAAACAGACCCTCTCCTTGTGTGGGGATCAGACCACCTCTGTAAAACAAACAGCCACAAGGCTAGAAACTGTGGCTCAAGATTCACACAGCCAGAAGCCATAAGATTCCTAACGCCCCCAATTGCTCCTATCAATAACATCACAAATGTAAAACCTAACATTGGTGTTTGAGGTATTTTTCAGACCCTGCATTCTGATAAGCCAGCTGGTATCACCCAAACCCATAACCCACACCGAGAAACTGGTTCCACCGGCCTTGTGGCCCCCACCAAGGAATTTACTGCAAGATAAGCTCTGACTCCCTCATTTCATCTGTGACCCAACCAATCAGCATTCCACATTCCCTTGTCCCCTGCCTGCCAAACTACCCTTAAAAATCCTAGTCTCCCATTAACTCATCATTTAGCATTAGGTATATCTCCTAATGCTATGCACACCAGCATGGCACATGTATACATATGTAACAAACCTGCACGTTGTGCACATGTACCCTAAAACTTAAAGTATAATAATAATAAAATAAAAAATTAAAAAAAATCCTAGCCTCTAAATTCTGGGGTGGCTGATTTGAATAATAATAAACCCCTGTCTTTCCACTTAACCAGCTCTGTGTTTATTAAACTCTTTCTATTGCAGAAACCTGCTGTGTTCATTGCATTGTCTTTTCGGGACAGCAGCAAGATGAACCCATTGGACAATCTAAAGGTCCATCAGTAGGGGCCTGGTTAAATAAACTGTAGTAAATCCACCCAACAGGGGGCCATGGAGCCATAAAAGAGCCGAGGGAAATCTTTATGTATTGATATGAAAGGATCTCCGAGATATATAAGGTGGAGAAAAACAGGGTATTGAGCAGGGTGTAATGCGTCCAGATACACAAGGGATTGCTGGTGTGCCTCAATATCTCTGAAATGATACACAGGAACTGACCATTCTGGTAGCCTCTGGAGAAAGGAGTTGGGTTAGAAGGACAGGGGTAAGAGAGAGAGACTCACACTTTGCAACCATTTGATCATATCACTGTATCAATCAACTACTGCTGTGAAATCAAAGACCATAGCACCTCAGGCTGGGCTCAGTGGGGCTTGAGTGTAAGGCACAGTCAGAGCCGGCTGGTCTGCTGGGTAGGTTCATGTGTCTCTGTCTTCTTGCTCCCTGGGGCATGGCGAGGGCCTAAGAGCAAAAGGCACATGCAGAACAAGCAATTTCTCTTGAGACCTACACTCAGATCTGGCATGCTGTCACTTCCACCAATGGCCAAAACAAGTTCCAAAGTTAGGACTGAGAAGCATGTTTTATCCCTAGTGGGAGGAACCTCAAAGGTACATGGCAAAGGGTAGGTATATAAGAAGGGAAGAAGAATTGGGGCCACTAATTAAATACACCAAAGGTACTCCATACATATATTATCTGTCTGGAGATAGATATTATTCAGATGTAAAAAGAGAATACATAGACAAACGCATATACACATGCTCACATTAATACCTAATGAGAAGGAACCAATGGGGTGGGAGTGGGGAGAGACTGAACATGCCCAGGAAGAGATCATCAGGGCTGGGTGTGATGGCTCACGTCTGTAATCCCAGCACTTTAGGAGGCCGAGGCAGGCGAATCATTTGAGGTCTAGAGACCAGCCTCACCAACATGGTGAAGCCCTGTCTCTACTACTAAAAATACAAAAAAAATTAGCTGGGCGTAGTGGCGCATGCCTGTAATCCCAGCTACTCAGGAGACTGAGGCAGGAGAACTGCTTGAACCCAGGAGGCAGAGGTTGCAGTGAGCCGAGATCGCACCACTGCACTCCAGCCTGGGTGACAGAGCAAGACTCCGTCAAAAAAAAAGAAAAGAGAGATCATCAGGAGCAGAGCCCTTGGGTGGGGGCTGCAGAAGGGGTTGGAGCTATAGCCAGGTAGGTTTGGAACAGGTCGAAAGACACTTCTTCTACCATGAGAGGAAGAAAGGATGAAAGTACGGGTACAGGCTCATGCAACACATCCTCCATGCAGCAGCCAGAGTGGCCTCTTAAAAGTATGAAATAGATCATGTGGCTTTCCTGTTCAAAATGCTCCAGTGGCTTCCCACTGCACTTAGAGAAAACCTAAAGTCCTTATCACGGCTTTCAAGGCCCAACGTGGTCTCCCCACCTTCTCCAGTGCTTCCTCCCCCATCCTTCCTCTCACTGCTGTGCTCCAGGCACACTGGCCTCCTTGGTTCCAGCCTCAGAGTCTTCACCCGCTGATATGGTTTGGCTGTATCCCCACTCAAATATCATCTTGAATTGTAGCTCCCACAATCCCCCATGTTGTGGGAGGGACCCGGTGGGAGGTAATTGAATCATGGGGGGCTGGCTTTCCCATGCTGTTCTCCTGATAGTGAATAAGTCTCATGAAATCTGATGGTTTTATTAAGGGAAGATGCCCTGCACACGCTCTCTTGCCTGCCGCCATGTAAGACATGGCTTTGCTCCTCCTTTGTCTTCCACCATGATTGTGAGGCCTTCCCAGCCATGTGGAACTGTGAGTCCATTAAACCTCTTTCCTTTATAAATTACCCAGTCTCGAGTATTTCTTCACAGCAGTTTGAAAATGGACGAATACACCCTTGCTGCTTTGTCACTTAGAATATGCTTCTCCTGGTGCTTCACAGGACTGGCCTTTGTGTGCTGTTCAGGTCCCACCTGAATAGTATATCCTGCTAACTAACCTGCCCAAGCATGGCCTCCATCACCCCTGCCCCAGGCACTCTGTATCCTATGTTTCTGTCCTGCTATCTTTCCAGCACTTATCCCTGCCTGAACCACCATGTTAATTAGTTCACTTGTTGTTGCTGTTGTTGTTGTTGAGATGGACGGGTCTCACTGCATTGCCCAGGCTGATCTCAAACTCCTGGCCTCAAGAGATCCTCCTGCCTCAGCCTCCTGAGTAGCTGGGACTACAGGCACATACCACCACACCCAGCTAATTTTTTTTTTTTTTTTTGGAGAGATGAGATCTCACTATCTTGCCCAGGAGGGTCTCAAACTCCTGGCCTCAAACAATCCTCCTGCTTCAGCCTCCCAAAGCATTGGGATTACACTCATGAGTAGTTCACCTGTTTATTACGTCTTCCCCATTCAAATGCAAGGTCCATGGGGACAAGGACCTTGTATTTCCCGTTTACCACTGAACATTGGCATCTAACGCAGTGCCTGGCTCATAGTACAAGCTCAATTAAAATACATATGTGTGTATGTATGTATATGTATATATAAATGAATGAAAAGGGACAGGCAATTGACTTTTCTTCTAGTCATTTATATTATCTCTGCAAACTAGGAGATAAGATCATTTGCTAAGAGGGAAGGAGGAGTCCAGTGTGCTGGCTCATGCCTGTAATCCCAGCACTTTGGGAGGCTGAGGCAGGCAGGTCATTTGAGTTCAGGAGTTCAAGACCAGCATGGCCAGCATGGTGAAACCCCATCTCTACCAAAAATACAAAAATTAGCCTAGGGTGGTGGTGCGTGCCTGTGATCCCAGCTACCTAGGAGGCTGAGGCATGGGAATCACTTGAACATGGGAGATGAAGGTTGCAGTGAGCCTAGACTACACCACTGCACTCCAGCCTGGGCAACAGAGCAAGACTCTGTCTCAAAAAAAAAAAAAGAGGGAAGGAGGAGACGATGGGTAGGAGTTGAGGAAGGAAGTGACATCTGCTATAGGCAATAGCAATGTAAAGGTTAGGGGTTTCTAGAAAACACTGAGGTACAACAGAGGTTGGAGACTGTGAAACGGTAGCAGGTGCCCATCTAAGAGCTTTGGTGGGATTTTTCCCTGGCTGCCTGTACAGTGGCAAATAACAGGGCAAGTTGGAGGTCGTGGTTAGGGTTTTCCAGGAGGGTATGTGGTAGACTGGTTGCTGTAATGGCCCCACTTATTCCTGCCTCTCTTTATCCATGCCCTTCGGCAATGTCCCCCAACCCGAATTGAGGATTAACCATTGGACTTTGTTTGACCAATGGGACTAAAGAAAACTTGACACAGGCTGAGGCTTTAAAACGTGCTTGTGCACTTCTCCTTCCTCTCTCACTGCATTGATTCTGCCACAAGAACATGTTCAGGCAAGCTAAGGCCACCAGCTGGTGGCAGAAGCATGATCAAATCCAGGAGAGATAAGCCCAGCCAGCCTAGCCCAGCCAGAACTACAACTGACCCTCAGATTCATACACAAGCCTAAGTGGTTATTTTAAGTCACTAACTTTGGGGTAATTTGTCACACAGCATTAATAGGACAATAGATGACTGATACAGGGGACAAGATAAAAACAAGGAGGTAAAGAGAGAGCATTGATGAGTGAGTAGGCAACACTAAGCAATTCTCTTTCTACCACATTACACAAAAAAGGTCACCCAAAGCATGAGAAAAGATTCACCCCAGATGTCCTAGGCTGGTGGAAAATGAAGAATATTGGGCTTGGCTCTGGCAGCTTTCCCCAAATCCCCAGGTGTGAGGCTGGCTGGGAGAACAGTTCCTAACGTCTCTGGAGAATGTGACACATGAGGAGATTTTGGACACTATCCCACCTGTGATGGTTAATAATGAGTGTCAACCTGAGTGGATTGAAGGATGCAAGTACTGATCCTGGGTGTGTCTGTGAGGATGTTGCCAAAGGAGACTAACATTTGAGTCAGTGGGCTGGGAAAGGCAGACCCACCCTTAATCTGGATGGGCACCATCTAATCAGCTGCCAGTGCAGCTAGAATATAAAACAGGCAGAAAAACATGAAAAGACTGGACTGGCTTAGCCTCCCAGCCTACATCTTTCTCCTGTGCTGGATGCTTCCTGCTCTCGAACATGGGACTCCAAGTTCTTCAGCTTTGGAACTCGGACTGGCTTCCTTGCTCCTCAGCTCACAGACAGCCTACTGTAGGACCTTATGATCATGTGAGTTAATACTATGTAATAAACTCCTATATATATGTGTGTATGTATATATCCTATTGGTTCTGCCCCTCTAGAGAACCCTGACTAATACACCGCCTAATCCTGACAGCAGCCCCAGGAAGTAGATGTCCCCATTTTACAGGTGGGAAAACTGAGGCTCAAGAGAGAGTGGTACTTCCTGGAGTCACACAGTTGGTGAGAGGGAGGCAGGGGTTAGTCAGTCTAGGTCAGTCTGATTGCAAAGCCTATGCTGCTTGCACCATAGCACACAGCCTCCTGAGAGAGGGTGTCCATGGGGAAGGTGACCCCCAGCCCTGTCCCCCTCACCATGCCACCTCCCGGGACTCAGCTCCATCCTTCCATGCTCTAACTGGCCTGCTGAGCATTCAGCCTGTTAGACCATCCTTCTTTGTTTAAAAACGCTTGAATGAAAGGAAACTTGGCAATTACCTCTGCACACAGCTTTAAGTGCACATATTGGACAATCTTTGCAGATTTCATTGTCTATAAAATTACTCTGTATGCAATTCCCATATGGATCTTCAGCGCCTTGCACCCTGCAGGCTTCTTAGCTGGTTCCCACTCCCAGGCTGCAGTACAGCTCCTGAATGGGTGTCACACACTCTGGAGCCAGCCGGGTTCAATACAAAGCTGGGCTACCTGCCATATGTGTGGTTTCAGTAGCAGACAAATCATCCTAGGCCTCAGTTTCCTCATCTGTAAAGGGGCATAATCACAGTAACTTGTCAGGAGGCTGGGAAAATTCAATGAAATAATGCAGATAAAGTGCTCAGTGCTGTGCCCCCCCCCCCCCCCACACACACAGTGTGGTAGCTAACTTTTGAGATCTTAACCCATATTCTTCCCCCTCCATTTTCTGGAACGCTTAGTCTCCCCGCTATCCCTCCAGCCCTGCCATGCAGTCATGCACCTATGGATTCAGGACAGGTGACTGAGAAGAAGAAATGTCATTCAAGAAACAAGGCTTTTGGCTGGACACGGTGGCTCACACCTGTACTCCCAGCACTTTGGGAGGCCGAGTGGGGTGGATCATCTGAGGTCAGGAGTTCCAGACCAGCCTGGCCAACATGGCCAGAACCTCATCTCTACTAAAAATACAAAAATTAGCCAGGTGTGGTGGTGGGCGCCTGTAATCCCAGCTACTTGTGAGGCTGAGAGAGGAGAAAAGCTTGAACCTGGGAGGCGAAGGCTGCAGTGAGCCGAGATCCCGCCGCCACTGCACTCCAGCCTGGATGACAGAGTGAGACTCCATCTCAAAAAAGAAAAAACAAAACAAACAAAAAAAAAACAGAAAGAAAGAAAAGAAACAAGGCTTTAAAGCCTCAAAACACTGAGCCCTGCTGAACTCCATGTACAATGTTTATGCCATAAGGAATAGATTGAAAAAAGAATAGATGAAGATCCAATGCCTCAGCTAGAAACCATCCTCCTGCAGGGAGGAGAAAACCCAACTTTAGCTAAGACAATAAAAGAAATTAATTGGTTCCCATGACTGACAGGGCCGTGGGAGAGCAGCTTTAGAGGTGTTGACTCGGGAGCTCAACAATGTCACCCAGTCTCCTCCCAGCTTTCAACAGAGGCTGCTCCAAACCAAGACTGGATCCCCTTATGGAGACAAGATGGCTGCCAGAGGTTTCCAGGGTTGTCCTCAAATAGGAGGTGGAGTCTGGAGATAGCTCCTCCCAAAAACTGCAGCCAGCATCATCTCTCGTCTCATCGGCTCAAACTGGGTCACATGCCCATCTCTGAACCAATCATGGGTCACATGCCCATCACTGAACCAATCAGTGGAGGAATGAGTTGGACTAATTGGGTAAATCCAATAAGGTCTCATTCCTGGGGATGTGGGTCGCTCCCCACCAATTGCTGAGGGTTGCCGTGGGTAGAGAGGGCTTCTTAACTGATGTATTCAAAGTACGAAGTTTATGCCACAATGAATAGACTGGAAAAAGAATAAGCAAAAGGCTTCCTAAAAGTTGTCTTGCCCCATACTGAATTACTCCTTTCTAAACAATTTTTATGGGACACACTTCATTCATTCAATAATTATTTTTTGAGCAGCCGCTGGGAGGATCTCACAATCAAAGCAGCTACGAAATATGTCATCGTCTCTTTTAGAATATGACATCCAGAAAGTGGCATCGCTCTCTAAAAAGGTCCGGGCAACACAGAGTATGAGAGGGCTGTCACCTCCAGTAATGATAAGAGCTAACATTTATGAAGAAGTTACTATCTGCCAGGTACTGTGTTAAGCATTTAACTCTTTTAACCTCATAATAGCCCTATGAAAGTAAGTTCTATTATTAACCCCATTTTACAGATGATGAAACAGAGGAAAAGAGAGTAGAAGTAACTTGCCCAAGATCACACAACTATTTAACAGCAGATGAGGATTTGAATCCAGGAAAGCTAGCTCAAGTTTGCATACTATATGGTCTCTCCTTCTATGGTACCATGGCAATTCACATGAGACTTTTGACGGGGATATTCACTCATTCACTTGGCAAACATTTATTGACTATGATATGCCAAGCAATCCCTAAGCCATTTAAAATGTATTCATTCATTCGTTTCTTCAACAAGTGTTTTTCGAATGCCTACTTTGTATCAAGCACTGTACTTCGTGCCAGGGGACAGAGTGGTGGGCAATCCTGACACAGCTCCCAACTTCATGAAGGGTGCAGCCTTTGATCCCTGGTGAATTGTATTAAGACATATCTGTGAAAAACTCCGGGCTGTCATGCACTTTGTACAGTGTGCACACTGCACAATGCACCCAACAGATGGTGTGAGGGAAGGCTGAAATCCACCACCTCAGTCTCCTTATCAAATCCTATGCTCTGACGCTGAGCTGAATCTGTCCAAAAAGATGTCTTCTTCTATGGCAAAGTTGTGTCAGTGCAAGCAGTGTCCATCCAACCAGCAAAGGGTGCTTTCTCTAATTTACGCAAAGCCACCATACTGGAAAATCTATGACCCTGTGAAAGCTGCTTCCACTCCCACCTCCAACTTACAAGTCAAGGTTCTGGTTTGGTTGGTTGGTTAGTCTTTGGAAGATCTGCTGCTAAACAATGCCTCTTGATTCCATTGTCAGGTCATTGGAGAATTTTTTATTTGAGCCCAAGAATTACACCTGCTGCGTCTTAGCTCCAATGAGCAGGTGCTCTTGCAGACTGCTGGATGGTGAACGCTTCTTCATGAGGGTTTGTGATATGGTTTGGCTGTGTCCCCACTCAAATCTCATCTTGATTGTAGCTCCCATAATGCCCATGTGATGTGGCAGGAACCCGGTGGGATAGGAGATAATTGAATCATGGGGGCGGTTTTCTCCATACCGTTCTCCCAGTAGTGAATAAGTCTCACGAGATCTGATGGTTTTATAAGGGGACACCCCTTTCCCTTCGTTCCCTTTTTCTCTCTTGTCTGCTGCCATGTAAGATGTGCCTTTTGCCTTCCACCATGATTGTGAGGCCTCCCCAGCCACGTGGAACTGTGAGTCCATTAAACCTCTTTTTCTTTATAAATTACCCAGTCTCCGGTGTGTCTTTATCAGCAGCGTGAAAAAGGACTAATATAGTTTGCATCTGAAGATGTTCACCACTCCCCCAGGAACCTCAGGAAGAACCAGAAGCACTGGAGTCCTCAGAGGGAAGAAACTTCCCAGTTAATAGAGTCAAGGGCCAACCAACTAAATCCAAGTTCTGGCTATATCCATCCCAATCTCAAGTAGAGTTATTGCAGCAGAGACCCAGAATAGAAGCTGGATGCAAACCCTGCCCGGGGATGTGTGGCAAATGCTGTCAACCTGCCATTTGTATCTCCTCTGCCCTCTTTGCCATTGCTATGCACACTGGCTCCCAATGTGCTCTCAACCCAACAGCCAGCACCTGCACCTCTTTGCTGGTGGGGGCCTGCCTTCAGGCTGCTGGAACCCCATTTGCCTGTGCACACAAAGAGCCAGAAGTGGCCAGGAAGCCACGCGAAATCCCTTAACCAATGGGTGCAGGGGAATCAATAGACTGGCTGCCTTTCCCCGGGGCTGGGACAATGAGGAGGTGTCACGTGCACTGTCGCTGGGGCTTCCCTTGGGACTGAGCCCAAGCTTGGCTCCGTGGAGCCTCACTTGATACCATACCCTGGCAGAGCCTCCTGTTTCCCTTCTCTTTCTCAGTTCCTCACTCCTCTTTTGATTTTCCCTGGAAACGCTTCCTAATAAAAATCTGACACATGAAATTTCCTCTAAGGGTCTGATTCAGGGGAATCAAATCTAGAATGGGAACCAAAGGGAGTTGGCCTGGTCATGCATACTGAGTGTCCCTCTCCCCAGCTCCTTTCTAAGCCTCCTCCATAATTTCAGGAGACATATGCCAAGCACGACTTGGGGCTGGGCTTGGGCCATTGAACTCAATCCATTGGCTCCCTCTGGAATCAATTGCTCACATTTTTTTTTCCAGACCTCCATGAGCAATTATTTGCAAAGTCCTCTCTCCCTCTCTCACTCCTTCTTTCCCTCTCTCTCCCTCTCTCACTCCTTCTTTCCCTCTCTCTCCCTCTCTCACTCCTTCTTTCCCTCTCTCTCCCTCTCTCCCTGGTTAAACTTGGATAATGGTGTTCAAGGACTCCCTGGGATGTTTCTCTAACTGACAGGTTTATGGAGCAATAGCTGCTGATGTTATATGTGTCCTCAGATAGGCAGGTCTTTTTATACTGTGTGTGTCCCCATAAAAATGATTGGTTTTAAGTTGTTATTCTAATATTGCTGTGATTGTAACATTGGAGCCGACAGTCTCCAAAGGAGATGGATATCGAAGTCTGATAAATAGGAGCAGGGCAGTTCCATCGGTCCGTGAGGCAGGAGGACCAGGCTGGTGGGCTGCCACCCGCCAGCAGGTAGGGGCTTAACGCCCGTTGTTTTTATGTTATTATAAAGATAAAAATTAATAAGTGATAGCATCATAAATAATCAAAACTGCTTCCTAGGCTAGATAAAACCAAAGGCAGCTCACTGTGGCCTGAGATGAAGGGAGTTGACAGAGCCCAGAGGAATGCAGATAGAAAAACATGGAGACAAAGAGAGGGAGAGGCAGAGAGGGATGCATGGGTGTGGGGATCAATAGGTATAAAAGAGACAGGGAGACAGGGACATGTGCCAGGCAGACAGGTGCAGGGGAAATGAGAGAGAGGCAGAGACAGGCACGCCGGCAAAGCCCAAGACAGACACACACAGAGACAGAGGCCCACAAACACGCAGAGCTGGAGACCCAGGCAGATGTGGAGAGGAGGAACAGATGAGATGTCACAGATGAGACTGAGACAGAGACACAGGAGGAAATAATGAGAGAAGCACAAAAGAGTGACTAGACTTGGCAGATATACAGACGGACAGAAGGACAGACTGACCGGAGGCAGGCAAACACAGGAACAGAGAGGACACAGTGAGAAAGGCCAACCAAAAGGCAGATATGGGCAGATGTGGAAAAGGAGGAGGAAGAGAGAAAACAGAATGGAAACTGAATCAGGCTGGCAGGCAGTGGGTAATGACCAACCCCGAAGAGTTCGGTGGAAGAGTCGGAGCTCAGGAACTAGACGACCTGGTACCATCATGGTTTTGCCTCTGAGTGACGTCAGGTATGTTCTTCCTTAGCCTTTTTGAGCCTCAGTTTTCTCATCTGTAAAATGGGACAACACACAGACACAGCACCAACTCTGGCCCCTGGATGGTGGTCCCTAGCATCTTGGCATGCCTCTTGTGATAGGAAGCCCCCGAGGTGGCCCCCAGTGACCCCCAGTACCTGGGGTTCATGCCCTCATGCAGCATCCTAAGTTGGGGCCAGAGGCAGTGACTGGCTTCTAACCAATGTCGAATGTGGCAAGAGTGATGGGATGCCACTTCTGAGATTCCATTACAAGTGCCTGTGAGTTCCATCTTTCTAGCAGTTTCTGTCTCCGGAGCTCTTGGGAAGAGGAAGTTGCTGTGCTGTGGGATATCCCATGGAGAGACTGGGGGAAAAGAAAAGCTGTCCCCAGCCAACTGCCATTGAGGACCTGGGTCCTGCCAACCAACAGCCATGTGAGCAACCTCGTGGTGACAGCAGCCCAGGATGACACCTTGATTGCAGCTTCAGGAGAGACCCTCAGCCAGAGGACCCCCAATTCCTGACCCAGACTAAGTTAGTATTTGTTGATTTAAGCCTCTGTTTCAGGATAATTCATTATACAGCAATTAATACCTGATACAGATTGTGGTGCCCAGAAGAGAGGTATGGCCATAACAAAAATGTAAAAATGCTAGTGTGCCCTTGGAAGGAGGCAGAAGCAGGGGCTGGAAGGACACGAGGGAGTGTATTGCAGAAACACTAACCTGCCTTGGACAGGCTGTTATTACAATCTGGACTGTGAGGACACTGAAGGTGAGGGTTCAAGAGGAAACAAGGAACATGTTATTGAGAAAGGGGGTCTCTCGTCAGTGACAAAAAGTTCTGCAACCCTCCTGTCTTCAGGAACTTGGAAAGCAGGAAATGCACCCAAGGAACTGGGCCATAAATAAACTGTTGGAAGGTGACCCCGGCTTCCCATTGCTGCTCATAGGAAAATGCAAAAGGAGACTGGGCTTGGTGGCTCACACCTATAATCCTAGCACTTTGGGAGACCAAGGAGGGAGGATCACTTGAGGCCAGGAGTTAAGACCAACCTGGGTAACAAGCAAGACCTTTCCTCTACAAAAAAATAAAAACTTAGCCAGATGTGATGGCAAACACCTGTAGTCTCAGCTACTCGGGAAGCTGAGGCAGGAGGATTGCTTAAGCCCAGGAGGTCAAGGCTGCAGTAAGCTATGATCACGCCACTGCATTCCAGCCTGGGTGACAGCATGGGACTGTCCCTTAAAAAAATAAAAATAAAAATAATTTTTTAAAATAAAATACAAGAGGGCCTGAGTGGTCTTCTTTTGCATGATGCACCTACAATCTGTATTCATTTCCTATTGCCCTTGTAACGAATCACCACAAACTTAGTAGCTTAAAACAATGCAAATATATTATCTGTCAGTTCTGGAGCCCGGAAGTCTAATGTGGGTCTCACTAAGCTAACATCAAAGTATCCACAGGACTGTGTTCCTTCTGGAGGCTCTGAAGGGAGCACCTGCCCCTTCCATTGCATTGCCTGTATTTCACTGGCCAAAACACACCCATACCCAGCCTGACATCAAGGGAATATTTTCTTTTCTTTTTTTTTTTTTTTTTTTTGAGTGGAGTTTTGCTCTTGTCGCCCAGACTGGAGTGCAATGCCGCCATCTCAGCTGACCGCAACCTCCACCTCCCAGGTTCAAGCAATTCTCCTGCCTCTGGGATTACAGGCGTGCATCACCACATCCAACTAATTTTGTATTTTTAGTAGAGACAGGGTTTCACCATGTTGGCCAGGCTGGTCTAGAACTCCTGACCTCAGCTAATCCATCCACCTCGGCCTCTTAAAGTGCTGGGATTACAGGCGTGAGCTACCGCACCCGGCCTGAATATTTTCTTAACAACTCTAATGCACCCCAGTCCCCCGAGTGCTCCTCAATCCTTAGCTACTCTCTCCCACTCCTCAGGCTAGGCCCCTACCCCAGGAAGTCCCTTCCTGAAGCAGCCATTCACCTCCTGCTCAATGGTAATAAAAGTTAACACTTGTTAAGCATTTACCAGTTGTTAAGTGATTTAAATAAATTACTTCCTTTAATCCTCATAACAATTCTAGGACAATAGCTTTTCTCCATATTACAGATGAGGAAACTGAAATTCAGAGAGGCGACATGATTTACCCAAGATAACACACAGGTAGTATCAGAGCCAGGATTGGAACCCAGAAACGCGGACTCTAGGGTCTGGGATATTAACCAGTCACACTCTTCTGCTTCCCCTGATCTGATGCACAATTTTAGGACACAGGATTGGCTGTTACCAGTGGAGGGCCTTGACTGCGAGTGGTCCAGGTCCTTGGCGTTCTGAACAAAGAATTGTACAAAACGCACAAAGTAGCAGAGGAATGAAGTGCAGGAATGAAAAGCAGTGAAAGCAGGGATATACTAAAGCGAGAAAGCACTCCGCAGGGTGGGAGTGGGCCCCAGCGAGCGGCTCAAGGGTCCAGTTACAAAGTTTTCTGGATTTTTTTTTTTTTTTTTTGAGAAGGAGTCTCGCTCTGTCACCCAGGCTAGAGTGCAGTGGCAAGATCTCGGCTCACTGCAACCTCCACCTCCAGGGTTCAAGTGATTCTCCTGCCTCAGCCTCCCGAGCAGATGGGACTACAGGCATGTGCCACCATGCTCAGCTTCTTTTTTTTTTTTTTTTTTTTTTTTTTGTATTTTTAGTAGAGACATGGTTTTACCATGTTGGCCAGGCTGGTCTCAATCTCCTGACCTGATGATCCACCCGCCTCAGCCTCCCAAAGTGCTGGGATTACAGGTGTGAGCCACCGCGCCAGGCCGTTTTCTGGGTTTTAAGTACTCGGTGTGAGGTTCTTATCAGCTACCCCTTATCTGGATGAAGGATTTAGTCTGTGGCTAATTAAAGGCTGAAGTGAACTGACGTCCTAAGCAGATGAAAGGATGGTCCTTGCATGGCCTGTGGCCCAACCAAGTCACTCTCCCTTTCCATCTGAGACATGGCGGAAGGCGGAGGGCTGTAGAGAGCATAGCCTTTCGTCCTTTGTTACTTGGCAAAGGGAGATGGATGGAGTTTTCCCTTTTGGTTTAGCTTTAGAAAGTTGGCATTAATTGACCTCAGGTTCCCGGCCCCCGGACCCAGGTGTTTTCCTTTGGATCCAGCTTTGGGAAGTCAGCATGCATTGGCCTCAGATTCGCCACACCAGAAGACCTTGGTGTTTCCTCCTGCCTCACTACCTCCAAGGATCCAGGGTCCACAACATTCTACAGTGGGCATTTGGGAAGACGCATGGGTTTTATTTTGCTGGGTAAGCACAGGCAAATTGAAACTGCCTTTGCAAAATTAAGACTGAGACAGTGAAAGAGATTTAACTTAATCGACTCCAACTTGCTTCTAACCTCCAAGCTGTCCTTGTTCACTCCTGGGCGTAGGCCGAACTAACTTTGGGAGAAACTTAGCTTATAGTTCATAGTTTAAAACAAAGATGATAATAGTCCTTTCCCAAAGCAGATCTCTTTCTTGCCTGGGGGCTACACTGCCTCTGTAGGACTAACATTAGCCACAAGATTAGAAATTATGGTTTCGGAGTCATGCAGCTGGAGGCTATAAGATTCTGACCCTCCCTAAGCTGCCCCTAAGACCAGTGCTTGAGGTATTTTGCAGGCCCTGCACTTGATGGATCAGCCGGCACCACCCAGATAGATAAACTGGTTCATCTGATCTTGTGGCCCCCACCCAGGAACTGACTCAGCGCAAGAAGACAGCTCTGACTCCCAGTGATTTCATCGCTGACCAATCAGCACTCCCGGCTCACCGGCTTTCTCCCACCCACCAAGTTGTCCTTAAAAACTCTGCTCCCCGAATGCTCAGGGAGACAAAATTACTTCCCATCTCTGCTCCTGGGTTTCCTCATCTGCGAAATGGGGATATGAATATATGAATATACGAATGCTATTCCTTATACAAATGTTATGAAGATTCAAGGTAATGTATCCTACTACACAGCTGACACAGGGCAAGCGCTCAACAGTGAGTAACTTGTGTTCCTAAAAATAGTGGCCCACAGTGAGTATGCAAGAATGAGGCAAAGCTTCTTTCCAGGATCACCACGTGTGTCCACTGCACTTCACCCTCTCCACCGCACCACCTCTCCAAAAAAAAAATCACAGCTGATCCACAGCCAGACATGATTGTGTCAACAGTCAACAGTGCTCACTTTCTGAGCACCATAATCTGTTGTGTTGACAGAGAAACAGCCTGTAGAGGGTTTCAAGCCCATTTGGCAAATGCAATTAATTTCTTCAGCATTAAATTGTCTTTTCCTAATTGTCCATACAGATGCACAGGCAGAAGGAGAAAGGGACAGAATGACAAGACTATTAACGTCACATTGCCAGTGGTGAGCTGTTTTGGGGTGACACACGAAGCTGTCTAGTCACTGCAATGAAAACCAGATTTATGTCCACTATGGAGCCCCTCAGGCTGAGGAAATGTCCCAGGGACCCTCCCATGCATGGGTGTGTCTGAGGTGACACTGGGATGCAGCGACCTTACCTGCCAAGTGTTCTCTGAGCTTGGTGCTGCATTTGCAGGGAGATGTTGGATTCTAGGGCTGTGTCATGCTCCTACAAGCCTCGTGTTTTCACAGTGCAGGCACATTTCCAGGCCTGACATTTCTCCAGTGGAAGGAGTCTGGCTGTCCCTCATTGAGCATCATATGTGCCTCTAGGAGACCATGACAGCTGACACCCAGAGGACCCCAGCCTCTCTAAACCCCAGACTGGTGTACCCAGCTGTGCTTCTCTAAGTTCCCCCCTCAGCTTCCCTACTGCCACCTCCCTAGCCATTCCCTGACCTTCTCAACATAGTGACACCCTGAGCCACTCATGATTGCCAAAACCAGCAAGCCTGGCTCAGCCCACAGGACCACTCCCTGAAAACTGTCCTTCTATCCATCACCATATTATACCACATGACTCTGACACACAGGCACATAAGCCAATGAAAGTAGGTCAATCCAACCCTCTTTCTGTTTTCATGTGGACTCCTACTTGCAACTCAAACTGCTTAAGCTAAATGAGAAGGTAATTGCTAATGTGAATGAACTCTAGAAGGAAAGAGCTTCAGGCATAGCTGGATCCAGATGCTCAGAAAAAAATGTTATTGAGACCCTGTTCTGACTTTTATAAACCAAACATAGAATTCCTAAGCCACCCAACCTACTGAACAGCCCTCTTTGGGCCAAAGGGACCCCAGAGAAACCTGAAAATTTGAATTCTCAGCCATGACAGGAAAGGAGGTGCTATGGTTTGGATGTGTGTCCCCACCTAAATCTCATGTTCAGTTGCAATCCCCAATGTCAGAGTTGGGGCCTGGTGGGAGGTGACTGGATCATGGGGGTGGTCCTTCATGAATGATTTAGTACCATCCCTTTAATGTTGTTCTTCTGATAGAGTTCTCACAAGATCTGGTTGTTTAAGTGTATGGCGCCTCCCCTCACTCTCTCTTTCTTCTTCTCTAGCCATGTGAAAGGCTGCTCCCCATTTGCCTAATGCCATAATTGTGAGTTTCCTGAGGCCTCCCCAGAAGCTGAGCAGATGCCAGCATCATGCTTCCTGTACAGCCTGCAGAACCAGCCAATTAAACCTCTTTTTTAAATAAATTACACAGTCTCAGATATTTCTTTATAGCTATGAAAGAAAGGACTAATAGAGGAGGTTGGACATGCTTCATTATACCCCCTCCCTTTTGGAATTTAGGCACAATGGATCAACATTAACATATATATATATATAAAATATATATTTTTAAAAATATATATATTTATATTGTTTATATATATAAAATACAAATGTATATATATTTTCATATTTTACATATACATATATATTTTTTTGAGATGAAGTCTCACTTTGTCACCCAGGCTGGAGGGTAGTGTGCGATCTTGGCTCACTGCAACCTCCAACTCCCAGGTTCAAGTGATTCTCCTGCCTCAGCCTCCTGAGTAGCTGGGATTACAGGCACATGCCACCACGCCCGGGTAATTTTTGTATTTTTAGTAGAGATGGGGTTTTGTCATGTTGGCCCAGCTGGTCTCAAACTCCTGACCTCAGGTGATCCACCTGCCTCAGCCTCCTGAAGTGCTGGGATTACAGGTGTGAGCCATCGCAGCCGGCCCAACATTAACATTAAAGTAGAGATTATAGGACTTGACAAAACAGACTCTTCGGCAATAAGATAGCAAATTCCAAACTGACTCTAGTATAGCATCACATAATAGATAGCAGATCCTGAAGGAAATCAAAATATTTTGCCCCAAAATCTATTTGTCTGACATATTTTGAAATGGCCCTGCAAAACTATTTTGTGGAGAAAATTTACATCTGTAGAGAATCTCCCTTAATACAGCAGGACTTTCCCGGATCTAGGAGAGATAACTGCAGGACTTTCCCGGATCTAGGAGAGATTAACTAAGAGTCTCACAGCTTTTAAAGTCTGAAACCATTACCTGGAGGCTCCATCTACATAGCAAGAACCTCAGTCTCCACAACTCCCCTTATCTTAACTCAGGCATTTCTTTCTACTGACTTCAAGTCTTTAGACACAATTTAACTCTTTCAACCAATTGCCAGGGAGAAAATCTTTGAAGCCACTTATGATCTGTAAGCCTCCACCTCAAAATATCCCAACTCTTTAGGCTGAACCAATGTACACCTTTCATGTATTGACTTATGCTTTTACCTACAATTCCTGTCTCCCTGATATGTATAAAACCAAACTGTAACCCAACCACCTAGGTACACTTTTTCAGGACCTTTCGAGACTGTTCCCAGAGCCATGGTCACTCACACAGATTCAGAATAAGCCTCTTTAAATATTTTACAGTGAATGAAACTGCAGTTAAGACCCGAGGGCACTGCTGGATTCCTCCTTGCCCCTTCATAGATGGATTTACAGAAGACTATTGGTCCCAGGTCATCCTCCTGCTGATGCCTCATGCCACTGTATGGACAATGCAGGTCATGGTCTGCCTGATTTATGGATTCAGCAGTCACCTGGATTCTGCTTCTGCTACATTCCTCCTACCAGATTAGAGCTCCTGGAACCAAAGATTGCCAGGAGATGACAGAGGTGTTTGTTGCACCCTTTGTGAGATATCAAAGTGCACGTGGTACAAAGAGCACCGTCACTGAAGTCAGACAGATCTGGGACCACAGGTGTGGTCATTTAGTTTCCCCATTTGTGAAATGGAGGGAATGATGCCTACGTTATAGGAAAATGTAAAGAATGAGAGGCGAGTGCCTAGCACAGTGTCTGGCACGGAGCCCAGCACGGTGCCTGGCACAGAGAAGGCCCTGAATAAATACATGTTGCATGAAAGGAAGGAAGAAAAAAAGGAAGGGAGGGTGGGAGAAAACTAGCATGGTGATCAGCATATTTACTCAATATTCATTTACTCCCTCCTTCCCCCTGCATCTCCCATTTTGCACATAGACAACTCAGCCACTTTCTGTAATTTTCCCAAGTTTTTTCCACTGTCCAATCCTGACTCTACCCCTCCTTATCAGCCCCTGTCATGGATTACCCTGGAGTTACACACCCTGGCCCAGCCACCTGAGACACAGCTGCTTTGCTGCTGAGGAGAAAGTGAAGCACCCAGCCAGCTAGTTCTGAGCCATGAGAATTCCAGAGACAGCCTTACAGATGCAGTTAAACCTTCATCTCCATAGGTCTTCTTGTCCACCCTGGGAACCCCGGGGAAAATCAGCAGCAAGTGCTCCCCAACACATCCCTTAAGCAGTGCCCACCTGTGACATCTGGCAGGAGGAGCCGCTGCTTCTGTCTACAGAATGCCCATTTTGTGCCAGGTTGCAAACTGGTGCAAGCTCAGTCCTGCTTACAGGTGTGTTTTGCTTGGCCTAAGAGGTGTTTAAATATTTGAGTAACTCACCAACATTTACATATCAGAAAATCTCACAATGAGATCTGTTTTAACAATCTAAAGATTGGATTTAAACTCCCTCATAGCTAGGTAGCTGCAGCCCCCTTTGGCCAGCCTGGGCTGCCATTTGTCACAGTTTCCACCAGACTGGCCTCTTTGGGCATTAGTGTTTCTTGATGTAATAATAACCAATTCCAAATATCTATATTATCTGTACATATTAGAAAGGGAGAAATAAAATTGTTCCTATTTGCATATGGCACGAGTATATAGGTAGACCATTCCAAGGAACCTAAACACATACAAATAAAACCCCTAGAACTAATATGTGAGTTCAGCAAGGTTGTAGGATACAAGATTAACACATACAGATCAATCTTATTTCTGTATACTAACAATGAACAAGTATAAACTAAAATTTAAAGCATAATACCATTTACAATTGTTCATAAAAATGAAATGCTTAGGAATAAATCTAGCAAAATATTACAGGGCTTGTGTGGCAAAAACTACAAAGTGTGGATGAAAGAAATCAAAGAAGATCTAAATAAATGGAGAGACATACCATGTTCATAGATTGGACGATTCAACGTAGTAAAGATGTCAGTTCTCCTCAAATGGATATACAGGTTTAATACAGTCCCTATCAAAATTTCTGAAAGACATTTGTAGATATGGACAAACTACTGTAAAATTTATATGAAAATGGAAGCAAACTAGAAAACTTAAAATAATTTTGAAAAAAAGACTAAAGTGAGAAAATCATACTACTCACTTCTAAGATTTATTCTGGAGCTACAGTATTCAAGATAGTGTGATATAGGCAGAAGGACAGACACACAGATCAATGGAATAGCACAGAAAACCCAGAAATATCCCCCTGCAAGTATGGGCAGCTAATTTTTGATGAAGGTGTAAATGTAATTCAATGGAGGAAGGATAGTCTTTTCAACAAACAATGCCGAAACATTTGGACATCCATAGAGAAAAAATAGCAATAAAATTCTATGAAAGAAGGGATTTTACTCTGTTCACAACTCTACTCTGGGCACCTAGAAGAGTAATTGGCACTTAATAAGTGCTTGATAAATAATTCTTGAATGTTGAACAGTTTTTAAAACTACCACTTTTTTTTTTTTTTTTTTTTTTTTTTTTTTATTTATTTTTTTTCCTTTCTTTTTTTTTTTTTATTATACTCTAAGTTTTAGGGTACATGTGCACATTGTGCAGGTTAGTTACATATGTATACATGTGCCACTGTCTGTGTCTCAGGCACTATTCTAAATGCTTGATTCAGTTAATTTTAACAACCCAATGGGATGGGTCTTATTATTTTCCCCATGAGATAGAAGGGGTGCATTAGTTTGTTTTCACACTGCTGATAAAGACGTACCCAAGACTGGATAATTTATAAAGACAAGAGATTTAATTGGCTCACAGTTCCACGTGGCTGGGGAGGCCTCACAATCATGGTGGAAGGCAAGGAGGAGCAAGTCACATTTTACATGGTAGCAAGGAAGAAAGAGCTTGTGCAGGAGAACTCCTCTTTATAAAACCATCAGATCTCATGAGACTTATTTACTATCACGAGAACAGCACAGGAAAGACCCACCCCCATGATTCAATTACCTTCCACTGGGTCCCTCCCATGATAGGTGGGAATTGTGGGAGCTACAATTCAACATGAGATTTGGGTGGGGACACAGCCAAACCATATCAAGGGGATTTTGAAGCACAGAGAGGTCAAATAATTTGTCCAATATATCAGCATATAAGAGGTAGAGCCAATAGAGATCATTACTTTTAATGGCCAAAACCGCAATTACTTTTACACCACCCTAAATGCCTGATAAGACTGAATCCTCCTTTGGGTGGGTACATGACCCCCTTTCTTCTGATAAAGAAAATCAAGTTCAGAGAGATTGCATGAATTTTGGAGGCCCACAGCTAACAGAGACAGAACCAAAGTTCCATCAAGCACCTGTCTGCAGCTGGGTGTGGTGGCTCATGCCTCTAATCCCAGTACTTTGGGAAGCTGAAGTGAGATCACTTGAGGCCATGAGTTTGAGACCAGCCTGGGCAATGCAGCCAGTCCCCATCTTTTAAAAAAATTTAGAAATTAGCCAGGCATAGTGGTACACACCTGTAGTTCCAGCTACTTGGGAGGCTGAGGCAGGAGGATCACTTGAGCCCAGGAGTTCGAGGCTGCTCGAGGCTACAGTGACCTACGATCCTTCACTATATTCAGCCCAGGCAACAGAACAAGAACCTGTCTCAAAAAAAGAATCTCTCTGCAGCCTGCCCAGTGACTCATGCCTGTAAATCCCAGCACTTTAGGAGGCCAAGGTGGGAGGATCACCTGAGGCCAGGAGTTGGAGACCAGCCTGGGCAATAGAGCAAGACCCCATCTCAACAACAACAACAAAAAAATTAAAATTAGGCCAGGCGCAGTGGCTCATGCCTGTCATCCCAGCACTTTGGGAGTCCGAGGCAGGTGGATCCCTTCAGACCAGGAGTTGGAGACCAGCCTGGCCAACATGGCAGAACCCCATCTCTACCAAAAATACAAAAATTAGCCTGGCGTCGTGGTACATGACTGTAGTCCCAGCTACTCGGGAGGTTGAGGCACAAGAATTGCTTGAACCCAGGAGGCGGAAGTTGCAGTGAGCCAAGATGGCGCCACTGTACTCCAGCCTGGGCGACAAAGCAAGACTGTCTCAAAAAAATACAAAATGAAAAAATAAAAATAAAATTAGCCAGGCATGGTGGCATGCACCAGCTAAACCTGCGGCTGAGGTGGAAGGATCGTTTGAGCCCAGGGGTTCAAGGCTGCAGTCAGCTATGATCTTACCACTGCACTCCAGCCTGGGCAACAAAGCCAGACTCTGTCTCTTAAGAAAAAAAAAAGAGAAAGAAAGAAAAACCTGTCTGACCCCAGGACACCTGCTACTGCTTTCTGAAGCCCTGGGGCGCGGTCCTCAGGCTAAGGCTCACAGCCACACTCCCCTCTTAGCAAACCCTCTTCTCCCCCTTATTTAGCTAAGAGTCTGCTTGGCATATGTGGCTTTAATACCAGGGATCCCAGAGGGGCGCAGTTCACCAAGCCAGCTCATTTATTCATTAATTTGTTTTCCATATTTCCAAACAGAATGCGACGGTTCCAGGCAAAGCAAATCAATATTGTGCTCCGCCATTCATCTTCATTCGCGCCACATCCGCGCGCTATCCCCGGCGCTTCTCGCCCAGGCTCCTGGTAATGGGTTCCCGGACGCTGACAAATAGGATTCTCGGAGGCAGCCACGCCACGTTAGCAGATTAAATCATTAATACCCGCATCGGTCATTTTTACGAGCCTGCCTTACCCCGAACTCCTCACCACCCCGGTGTTGAGTACACTGTTAGTGATGCAGGCAGACACGGAGAGGATGAAATTGCCACTTCTGATATTTTATTGGTTGCAAGCTTCAAGATACTGATTTTCCCACTGCTTTCCTAAAATCAGGTATATTGTCCAGAGTTGCAGAAATTATTGAGATGAAGGCTGAATACGGACTTACTGATTCTATCCACACCACTTGCCAGAGGCTCTTCTTGTTTTCCTCCAAAGGGGAGAAAGGTGGTTTCCTGAAATTTATGTTATAGTTACAATTTAAAATTGGGCACTTACTATTTGTCAACTAAGCATCATACAAGCTATCCTCAGTCCTTACACTAACCCAAAGAGCTGCAAACTATCATTGGCTGTCTCTTTTTATTTATTTTTATTTTGTGGGGGTGGGGTCTGGTTGTGTTGCTCAGGCTGATCTCCAACTCCTGGCCTCAAGCAATCCTCCAGCCTCAGCCTATCATTTACTCTTTTTCTTTTCTTTCTTTCTTTCTTTCTTTTTCTTTTCTTTTAGACAGGGTCTCACTGTTGTCCAGGCTGGAGTGCAGTGGCACTATCTCAGCTCACTGCAGCCTCGACCTCCCAGGCCCAAGCAATCCTCCCACCTCAGCCTCCAGAGTTAGCTGGGACTACAGGCCCACACCACCATGTCCGGCTACTTTTTAGTATTTTTTGTATAGGCAGAGTTTCACCATGTTGGCCAGGCTGGTCTTGAACTCCTGGGTTCAAATGATCCTCCCGCCTCAGCTTCCCAAAATTTGGGGATTACAGGCGTAAGCCACTGCGTCCAGCCATCATTCACTCTTTCAATGACGAAATGTTCTAAGATTTCCCCAAGATAACAGGTAACTTGAACTCAGGTGTGCCTAACTCCAGAGACTGTTCTTCAGCCACTAACTATACTGCCCTGCTACCCACCATTCATTCTGATTGAGGGAGCAGGCAAAAATATAAGAGATGTCAGGTGTTAGGGATTGAATGTTTGTGTCCCCCAGAATTCATATTCTGATGCCCTAACTCCTACCTACCACCCTCCAACCCCATGTACCAATATTTTATTGGTTGCAGGCTTCCAAGATTTTTTTTCCTGCTTTTCTAAAACTAGGTATATTGGCCAGAGTTGCAGAAATTACTGAGGTCAAAATAATTTGTGGAGCTTTGATAGGTAATTAGGTTTATATGAGGTCATGAGGGTGGGGCCCCATTATGGAATTATGCTGACACCCTGATATTGGACTTCCTGTCCTCCAAAACTGAGAGACAAATGTGCTTTATTTAAGCCACTTGCTCTATGGCATTTTGTTATAGCAGCAAGAGCAGATTAAGACATCAGGAGTGTCCCTATTGCCTGGAGCAGGGTTGGAAGTCAACCCAAAGAAGCAGAGATGAGTGGGGCAAGATACTAGAAACCAAGCAGAGTGTGTACTTGTGCACACTTGAATCTCCTTTGCCCATAGACAATGCCACAGACCCGAACTTCCCCACCCTTCCAGGCAGGAAAGAATTCAGTGTATTTCTTCTAAAGTTCCGGAAGGTTTAACTTTATCTCTAAAGCAGCAGATAATAAATATTTAAGGCTTTGTGGGCCGTACAGTCTCCGTCAAAACTACTCATCTCTGCCTTTGTAGCACAAAAGTGACCACAGACAATAGGTAGACAATTGGGCACGGCTGTGTTCCAATAAAATTGGAACAAATTTTGGTTACAAAAACAGGCAGTGGGCTGGATTTGGTCTGTGGGTCATATCCTGTTAACCTGGAGGATGGGACTTTAGGATGAGACTTTACGTTTTAGTGATTTCCTTTTTAAAAATTTTTTTAATTTTTAATTTTTATGTGTACATAGCAATGTTTATATTTGTGTGGTACATGAGATTTTTTGATACAGGCATACGATATGACATAAACACATCATGGGGAAAGGGGTATCCATCCCCTCAAGCATGTAGGCTTTGTGTTACAAACAATCCAATCACACTGTTTCAGTCATTCTAAAATGTACAATCAAGTTATTATTGGCTATAGTCACCCTGTTGTGTGACCAAATAGTGGGTCTTAGTCATTGTTTCTATTTTTTGTACCCATTAACCATCCCCACCTTGTCCCCAGGCCCCCACTACCTTTCCCAGCCTTTGGTAATTATCCTTCTATTCTCTATTTCCATGAGTCAATTGTTTTGATTTTTAGATACCACAAATAAGTGAGAACATACAATGTTTTTCTTTCTGTGCCTGGTTTATTTCACTTCATATAATGATCTCCAGTTTTATCCATGTTGCTGCAAATAACTGGATCTCATTCTTTTTTATGGCTGAATAGTACTCCCTTGTGTACATGTACCACATTTTCTTTATCCATTCATCTGTTGATGGACACTTAGGTTGCTTCCAAACCTTAGCTATTGTGAACAGTGCTGCAACAAACATAGGAGTGCAGATATCTGTTTGATATATGGATTTCCTTTCTTTTCAGTATACACCCAGCAGTGGAATTGCTGGATCATATGGTAGCTCCGTTTTTAGTTTTTTGAGAACCACTGTTCTCCATAGTGTTTGTCCTAATTTACATTCCCACCAACAGGGTACGAGGGTTCCCTTTTCTCCACATCCTTGCCAGGATTTGCTCATCATAGTTTTGATTTGCATTTCTCTGATGATCAATGATGTTAAGCATCTTTTCATATGCCTTTTTGCCATTGTAGGTCTTCTTTTGAGAAACATCTATTCAAATCATTTGCCCATTTTTCAAAACTTTTATTTTAGGTTCAGGGGTGCATGTGCAAGTCTGCTATATAGGTAAACTTATGTCACAAGGGTTTGTTGCACAGATTATTTCATTACCCAGGGACTAAAGCCCAGTACCGAGTAGTTATTTTTTCTGATCCTCTCCCTCCTCCCACCCCCCACCCTTAAGTAGGCCCCGGTGTCTGTTGTTCTCTTCTTTGCGTCCATGTGTTCTCATCATTGAGCTTCCACTTACAAGTGAGAACATGTGGCATTTGGTTTTCTGTTCCTGTGTTAGTTTGCTAAGGATAATGGCCTCTGGCTCCATCCAAGTTCCTGCAAAGACATGATTTCATTCTTTTGTTATGGCTGCATAGTATTCCATGATGTATAATTACCCCCCATTTTCTTTATCCAATCTGTCACTGATGCTTTTGCCCATTTTTTAACAGACTATTAGATTTTTTTCCTATAGAGTTGTTTGAGCTCTTCATATATTCTGGTTATGAATCCCTTGTCACATGGGTATTTTGCAAGTATTTTTTCCTAAATTTGAGTGATTTCTGAGCTGGGTATGCTGACCTGTCTTGCACCACTCAGGGGGACAAAATGGAAGAAATGTCAGCACAGGGAGGGGAGAAACGGAGTCCACATTCACAGGGCCAGATGAAATGTAAAACCTCTTCCATGGAGTAGAAGCCAAACTGGAGTCAACCAGGGTAACACAGCAGAAGATAAGTCTAATAGTAATAAAATAAAAGCAAAAATCCTTGCAGAGGTCTTTGAGGCACTCATTATATTCTTCCCAACCCAATCCCACTCTGAGCTGCTCCTGCTCTTCCCCATGCACACTGGTCTCAGCCACACAGGCCTTCCTCCTCCTCTTCCTCAAGCATTCAAGCTTGTTCTCACCTCAGAATCTTTGTACCTCCTGTTCCATCTACCTGGAGCCCATACCCCTGGGCCAGCCTACTGGAGAATGAGATACCACATGGAGCAGAGACAAACTAACAATCCGTCCTGGCTAAAGCCATCCTATACCAGCAAGGCTCTGGCCAATCTACCAGCTGACCACGAATGAGTCCAGTAAAGATTGGACAAACCTGGCTCAGATCAGCAGAACAACCCAACAAAACTGTTAGAATAAATATTAGTGGTTTAGAATAAATATCACTTCATTTTGGAGTTCTTTCTTACACGGCAATAGCTAACTGATACAAAGGTTGTGCTACCAACTTGCTGTGTAACTAATACAAACATTTATTCTGTCTGCAAATTCCTTATCAGGAAAGCAAGAGAGTCAGAAAAGTTTTAGTCTTTCACTTGCTTTGATGTTTCAACAATATTCTGCATGGGTATGCACTCACATTTTTCTTTTTTTATTGATACATAATCCTTTACATATTTATGGTGTACATGTGAGTATTTGTGGCATATGTAGAATGTATAATGAACAAGTCGGAGTATTTGGGATATCTGTCACTTTGAGTATTTATCATTTCTATGTGTTGGAAACAACTTAAGTTTCCTCTTCTAGTGGCTTTGAAATATACACTACATTGCTGCCAACTATAGTCACCCTACTCTGCTATTCAACATTAGAATTTATATCTTCTATCTAACTGTATGTATGTCCAGTTTACCAACCTGTCTTCATGCCCACCTCCCACCTGCACACTCTTCCCAGCCTCTCATACCTATCATTCTATTCACTACCTCCACACACACTTCCTTTTTCAGGAACTCTTTCTTCCCTTACCTTTTATGACACCACAGTTGTATGGTTCTCCATGTACTTTTCTAGCTTCTAACTCTCTGTTCCTTCTACAGCTCATTCTTCAGTGTCTGGCCATGAAATATTGAAATTACTCAAGATTTGGATCTCAGCCCTTATCTCTCCTCATTGTAAATCTCCCAATGTAAGCTCATTCATACCCTTGGATTCATTGGCTAAACCTAGGTTGCAGGCTTCCCTCTAAATCAGTCACTAAGCAGAAGCAGGATTATGATGTTTGGCTTAAACTAATCATGGTCCATGATTCCTGGGGATCAATGTGCTCGGGAAACCCAGCCTGAGCACAGTGATCCTCCAAAAATGGAATATGACATTGAAGAAAAAAGGAGGAATGACTCTGAGGTGGGCAACTAGGTATGCCTGACTGCCACACTGGAAATGAGGCTCTCATCCTCAAACTCTCCAACTCCCTATAACCTAATCCCTCACCAAATCCTGTGTATGCTGCTTCCCTAACATCTCTCAAATTATTCTCGTCTTTTGCTCCACCTCTAGCACCTATTCCAAGCCCATTTTATCCTTTCCCTGGATGAAGGCGATGACCACTCACTGGCCCCTTCCTTAACCTGTGCTCCCTCCCATTGTCTCTCCTTCATCCAGCAGCCAAAACCACCAACTGACCAAGTTACCTTCCTGCTAAAATTCTGACTTCTCATTGCTTTTATGATGCAGATCAAGGTCCTGCATGGACTGGCTGCTGACAGAAGCCCCTCTATGCCCTTTCTCACTTTCTCCATTGCAGCTACACTGCCCTTGACTCGATTACTAAAGTGGGCCATGCTTCCTCCCACCACACGGTCTTTATACGTACTGTCTCCACTTCCTAGAATGCTCCCACTTCCACTTTTACCTACCTCCTTTTCATTCCGCCCATCTTAGCTCAAATGTCACCTCCTCAGGGCAGCCTCCCTTGGTCTCCTGACTGGGTAAAATGCCCCTATTACACACTCTTAGAGCCCTACGTAACGTTGCTTCATGAATGTGTATCATTGTCATCTTAAAGTAATGCAAACCATTCTTTGAGCAAGAACAGAGAACAATCCTTCAATATAGGTTCAATTACACTTGCAGGTGAAAAACTTCCTCAAGATTCACAGCTAGAAGAGATTGAGCAGAGATCTGAACCCAGGTCAGTCTGACTCCAGAGTCTGAACTCACTCCAATTCCTCAGTGACCTTCAAACTGGATCCCATGGACTCCTGGATTTCAGCAGGAGTGAGGCTCAGGGAATAAGGGAAAACCAAGTAGGGACAGGGCTTTGGGCTTGCTGTCCATCTCTTTGCCCACATGGATCCCCCTAAAAAACATGCGTCCTTATTTTCTCTCCTTATCCACAGCCTTCAACCTACACCATAAACTTGAACCAATCTTGAACTCGGCTTCCTAAACTGTATTTGATTTCTCTGGTTCCTGATCCTATTTTTTGTCCCTGGCCTCCTGCCTGCTCCTTGAATTTGACTCTTGCTGCCACTTTTCAGCTCTGTTCTCTAACCTCCTTTCAAAACTTCCAGCTAGACTCACCCATTAAATAATAATCAGACTCTTCAGACTGATTTGTTCTTCTGACTCCTTCCTGGTCTAGCACCCAATGGTTGATACACACTCTTGGCTCACTGGGGTACCTTGTGACTTTTAATAACACTAATAACTTTGGCAGCTGATTTAGTCTTTCTCTCCACCCTCAAGTCCTTAGGGACTTTGATTTCCAATGTTAATGAACCCATGTCCACATCTTCACCTCCCTGGTGCTTGACTTGCCAGCTCCAATGGAATTCACTTTCCTACCATTTCAGCCACCCACACCCAGGATCATGATATGCTGAATTTCTGCTAGAATATAAATCCCAGCCTCCTACTTACCAACCACAACCTCATATCATTTCAACAAAGCCCTTCAATTGCATTCTTACTCACACTCCCTTCCCCCTCCTCTTGAACCACTCTGCATCATTTATCCCCCCTCTCACTTATACCTTCAACCCATCCCTCTCATGCATCCTCACCATTCAATTCATGATACATTCTTTTCAGGCTAGAAAAACACTAAATCCCTCCTGCAACAGATGCTTTCAGTGTCCCCATCTGTAGCCCCTCAGTTCTTACCATTTTCATCACTTTCATCCAACTTCCAACTGCCATCTCCTGTCTTTTTACGTGAGGACTTTATCTGGCTGCCAGAGCCTCCTTTCCCCATGCACATGGCCTGCTAAAGGTGCCTGGGAAATTAATGCTTCCCCAATCCCCAAGGAACGGAAGCTCAACCAATGACTAAAATTGGTGGATAAATATATCCCAGCTCCCCAAAGTTAATGGGGAATTAACTTTGAATACACAGTCCATACTGTCTTCCAGGGTTACCCAATAAAGTTAAGCTCCATATTCCCACATTCATCTTGCTTGCTGAAATATTCTTTACTGATGTCTCCTTTCTTCACCCGCCACCCATATTGGTGTTTCCTGGGATCATCTCCAAAATAAACCACTTGCACTCAATTCTGTTTCAAGGTCTGCTTTTGAAGGAATGCAGACACCTCCCACAATCCAACATCTCCTCTGGGTCCTGCCCAATCTCTTGCTTGCCTTTCTTAGGCCAGCATATACACTATGTTCATCTCTCTCCCATTCACTCTCCAACGCACTACAGTCTCGTTTCTGCCTCCAGCTTTTTCCTAAATGTATGGAGGTGTCTTCCCTTTTATTTGACCTCCGTGCAACTTTCAACATGTTGCCATTCTCTTCTCACATCTCTCTCCCTTGGCTTCACGACATCACTTTCCTGAACTTCGTACCTCTCTGCCATCCCTCGTCAAGTTCTTTCTCAGCTCTTTGAAACTCCAACCACCCTTTACATGTTGAGACTCCTAAACGCTCCACCACCCTTGGCCTTTTTCTCCTCTTACTCTGAGGTTATACACCCTCCTTGGATGACATCATCCAATTATGAGTCATAGTTGACTTTCCAATTGTTTAATCCATGCAGAGTACAATCCCAAATGTCAGACCTTGACTCCAACTGCCAATCGAATCCCTCCCGCATGTCCTAAACCCAAACCACTATCTATCTTTCCTTGCCCCTCTCTGGTTTATGTCACAATCATCCACACAGTCGTCCAAGCCACTTGGTGTCATCTTAAACTCCTTTCCCTGCTTTATCCCGGATACCCAATTCACCACCCAATCTTGTTGATTCGTCCTTGCAAACATCTCTCCTCTCCATCGTGACCCAGGCCCAGGTCACTGTCATCTCTTGTCCAGATTGCTGCCATAGCCTCTTTACCAGTTTCTCTGCCTCCAATAACCACAATCCAATCAATTCCTTCTGAAACACAAATATCAGCCCCTCCTTCCCCGCTGCTTACAACCCTTCAATGCTCTCACTACCCTCAGGTAAGGTTCAAACCCCTTAACAGCCTTCCAGGACCCTTCCCAATATAGTCCCCTCCTACCTCTCCAGCCTCACCTCTCACCACCTTGCATGCCTTAGCCCAGTGGCTCTCAACCCTGGCTGAACATTAGCATTACTTGGAGAGCTTTAAAAACATACCAATAAATTGACCCTGCTCCCCAAAATTATGATGTACATAATCAGGGATTAGGTGTGGGCATTTGTATTTTTTCAAATCCCCCAAGTGATTCTAATTTGCAGCCACAGCTGTGAGCACTGCCCTAACCCAACTGAACGGGTTAGAGTTCTGCCCAGTTCCCACGTTCTCCCACATCCCTGTGCTCACCCATCCTGGCTCTGGCAACGCCTCCCCTTCGACTCGCTTCACATGGAAAACACCTACTTATTCTTTAAAACTCAACTCCAGGGAATCTTCCCTGACTCCAGCTTCTCAGCCTGAGCTAGGAGCTTTCTTCCAAAATCACACAGTCTCCTGCACTTAACCCTATCAGAACATTTATCACATTGAATATTAACTATCTATACCACCTCAAAAAAGTGGCAATCTTGTGAAGGTGACATTGTGGGGGTGGTATTTCATCATTACAACACCAGGGTCTAGCACAGTGGGTCACCCATTAGATGACTCAATTCCCGTTTGCTGAATGAATGAATGAATGAATGAATGATCGTCACTCTCCTCTAGCCACGAAGGTTGGAACTTTGGTGTCTTTTTGTTTCTCTATCTCCCTCCCCTAGTTTCATGCTAGTACACATAGTAGGTGCTCAACAAATATTTGTTGGCTGAATGAATAAATGTTAGACACAAGAAACGAGCATTCACCTTGTCCTCATTTTTACAGAAAAGCATTGGGGAGCAGAGACAAATCAAACTGAACTTCCTCCAGTTTTGCTAAAATGGAATTTGCCAAAGACATCCTGAAAAATGGATTTAATTAGGCCCGTTAATAGGGGAGTCGTTGGTGGCTAAGATTTAAAGCTGAGGCTAGAAAAGGTATCGATAATTTGACCATTTTAAATCATATAGGAGGCTATTTGTCACTCCCACCCTAATTATAAGAATGCTTCTCAATGAAACCTCAGCTTTGGAGGGAAATGAAGCTGAAGGTGGAGGCAGGATCTGACATTTCATTGAAATGGAACAACAGAGGCATCACAGCAGAAACCCAGCTGTCTCAGCCCAGGTGTGCCCCCCACAGGGAAGGGGCTTAGTAGCATTGCACAGCCAGGTCTCATTACACTAATGATTGTCAGTACAACCCAGTGTGCCTTTTAATTGCAAGAAACATCCAGGAGAGGGAAAGGTGCTGCAGTCTCTAATGACGAAGTGAAATTCTGCATAGGTTTTCAGAGCCACATGGATATCTTGCATTCCATTCTCCCATTAGGCCGTTATAGAAATTCAAATTCTAATTGGTTCCATAATCAGGTCCTGGAATCTTTCCACAATCTTTAGCTCACCACTGTCAGAAATACTCAGCTGCCCCCAAATTATGGAGCCAAATAAAAGCTCAGTCTGGGGTTTCAGCTTCCTTCAGATACAAGGGGAATTGATCATCCATTGGGGAATAGTCTCTACTTTGGGGGCCCAGAAATTGACATAACAGGACAGCAGGCATTCTACAAATCCTTATTGAATGTCACTTGATACTATGTGATCTAGGCAGGGCTGGGACTAGGATGAGACAGGTTAGGCATTTGCCTGGGGAGAGCAAAATTTCAGAGGGTACCAAACTACTGTAATTACGGTAATCAATATTTTAATACAGTAATATTAAAATAAAAATTAATGCGGAGGCCGGACACAGTGGCTCATGCCTGTAATCCCAGCACTTTGGGAGGCCGAGGCTGGCGGATCACCAGAGGTCAGGAGTTCGAGACCAGCCTACCCGAAATGGTGAAACCCCATCTCTACTAAAAATACAAAAATTAGCTGGGCATGGTGGCGCACATCTGTAATTCCAGCTACTTGGGAGGCATGAGAATCACTTGAACCCAGGAGGCAGAGGTTGCAGTGAGCCAAGACCGCACCACTGCACTCCAACCGAGGCGACAGAGCTAGACTCCATCTCAAAAAAAATGAAAAATTAATGCAGAAGTATCCACAATGAACAAAACATCAAAATTTTCACTGAAGGCTGGATCCAAGCTTGCACTTGCAAGATGTCTCACCCACCTCACTCCAGTCCCAGCTGTGGCCCTAGCCACTAGGGATGCAGCAGTGAACTGGGCAAACCCCTCCCTCATGGGAAGCTTAAGACTTGAGATCAAACAGCTTGCCCACCCTCTCACGCCAGTAAATATGGAGAATGAGGCTTTGAGCTGCTTCAGCCCAACTTCCCAGCTGCACTGCTCTACATGGCAAACTGAAGCCAGGTTCTGCCCGTAAGTGACCTTGAGAGAAAGTCTCTGCATCTTTCTGAGCCTGTCATCATCATCTGCAACGTGGGGCTCCAGCCTCACCCCCCAACGACCATGCTGAATGCCAGGGGTCTGGCATGGGATAGGTGCCCATGAGTGTGTACCCCTCACATTCCATGACTTGGGGCCAGCCCAGCCCCAGCTCAGGGGGTTGTGTGTGCTAATTTAGAAGTGTGGGGAGGTGGGGGGACAGAGCTGGCAGCTAAGTTGGTCTGGGGGTCTGGGTGGCCATTAACTGCCCCCTGGCAATGTTTCCTCCTCCAGGAATTCAAGGGAGCTCCCCACCTGCACCCCCAAAAGCCCTAGAGGAGGGGCACAGTTGACCGTTGCCTTCCTTTACAATCGAGGAAACTGAGGCTCCAGAGTCCAGGGTGCACGGGGGTCACACCAATGGGTCCAGTGTACCTGGGTGCAAAAGGATGCGGGACCCTCCAAGTCCTGCTTCCGTCCTACCCCTTACGTCGTCCCTCTCCTCCCTCTGCTCTGCCCCGGGGGTCAGTACCAGTCTTCAGGGCGACAGAGGCAGAATCAACGGAGAAGTTCAAATGCAGACCGTTTCCTATTTTCTTGACAGCCTATTTCATGGATCACAGAGACCCAAGTACAGCTGCTTATTCAACGGAGAAAAGAATGAATTCATTTTCATTCCTTAACACCCGATGTGACCTACTCTCTGTTGATCTCTCCCTTCAGAGGCTGCTGCCCTTCCCGCGGACTTTCAATTTGGCCAGAGAGAGAGAAAATGTGCAGTAATGACAGAATGTCCTGCCCGGAGAATGCCGGGAGCCGAATCACTGCCGTGCTGGTAATAAGTCCAAATGAAAGATATTATGTCACCGCGTTTGAATTAAACAGATGAACTATAGTCCTAGACCATTACAAATGAACCAATCTGCTGGACGGCTTCCAAGTGCTCCGCGCTGAGCGCCCCAAAAAGGTGCTAGGCTCCAGCGGAGTTTTATGTCCTCATTTTCTGCCAATAAGTCCTCCTCTCTGCGAATGTGGAGGAATAATTTGATGAAAAGACTGCTCACATTCCACGACTTGGGCCCAGCCCTGCCCTGGCTTAGGGGGTTGCGCTAATTTAGAAGCTTGGAGTGCGGGGGGGTGGGTACGGGACAGAGCTGGCAGCCAAGTGGGTCTGGGGGCCCATTAACTGCCCCCTGGCAATATTTCCTCCTCCAGGAGTTCAAGAGAGCTCCGTATCGGCACCCCAAAACCCTCAGAGGAGGGGCACAGTTGACTGTTACCTTCCTTTACAAATGAGGAAACTGAGGCTCCAGAGTCCAGGGTGCATGGGGGGGGTCATACCAATGGGTCCAGCGTACCCGGGTGCAAAAGGACGTGGGACCCTCCAAATCCTGCTTCTGTCCCACTCTTTACGTCTCTCTGAGCATACAGTTCCTACACACCTTCACCCCACCCTTCCGTGACTCAAGCAGCCTGTCCTTCGGGCTCTGCCACCTCCTTGATTCCTGGCCCAGCCAGTTGCTCCCCCTCTCTGAGAGCCTCTCTCCATCTGCAAACCTGTAGTTCAGGGGTGCACTTTAAGAGTTAGGCTGGACTGGGAGTCAGCAGACCCGGCTTGAATCCCAACTCTGCTGCTTACAGTCCATGCAGATTTTAGAAATCTGTTCCCCTCACTGAGCCTCAGTTTCCTCAACTGTAATTCAGGACTTAAAAAGTCAGAGTGTTCCTCGAAGGCCCCTCTGCCTCTAGCACCCACCTGCCACCAAAATCCTTTCCAACGTGCACTTAACATCTTTCCAACTTTAGAACTCAGCAGCAGGGTAAGATACAACTCTTATTAAATCCACCCGCAAAATGAGCACATTTGGTTTGCCTTATATTGATGATTATAAGGCTTAATATCAACACAAAATGATAATATTACGTAAGGCTACCGAACTTTGCATGTGTAACTTTCCAGTAAATAAAGCACATCGCTGCAAGTGTTTCACATGTACTTATTCAGCAAAACTGCCTGGAACACCGTAGCACTGGGGACGTCTAGGCACTGGGGACACAGCTGCAACAAAACACACACTGTCTCATCTCAAGGATATCAACAGCTCACATCTACTAGCCCCATTTTACAGAGGAGGAAACCGAGGCTGAGAGGGCTTGGATAACTCACTCAGGAGGCAGAGCCTACATCTGACCCCAGAGTCTGTAAGAAGGAGCCTATGGCGGCCCGGCACGGTGGCTCACGCCTGTAATCCCAGCACTTTGGGAGGCCGAGGTGGGCGGATCACAAGGTCAGCAGATCGATACCATCCTGGCTGACATGGTGAAACCCGTCTCTAATAAAAATACAAAAAATTAGCTGGGTGTGCTGGCGGGTGCCTGTAGTTCCAGCTACTCTGGAGGCTGAGGCGGGAGAATGGTGTGAACCCGGGAGGCAGAGCTTGCAGTGAGCCGAGATTGTGCCACTGCACTCCAGCCTGGGCGACAGAGCGAGACTCCGTCTCAAAAAAAAAAAAAAAAGAAAAGAAAAAGAAAAAAAGAAGAAGCCTATGGCAACACCTGCCAGGGACAAAAGCCTGTGAGCCCCCCACCCCCTCCCAGGTTCCACCACCAAGGACTTAAGCCCAAGGCAGGGCCAGGCACAGTGGCGCAAGCCTGTAGTCTTAACTACTCCGGAGGCTGAGGCAGGAGGATCGCTTGCCTGGGCCCAGGAATTTGAGGCTGCAGTGAGCTGTGATCACACCACTGCACTCCAGCTTAAGCCACAGAGCAAGACCCTGTCTCAAAAAAAAAAAAAACAAAAAACAAATGTTGGTATTCTAGGGCATCTGAAAAAGGACATTTTTTTCATCCTTTGACTACATACTCACATGAGGGTAACCAACTCATTTTGGTTTGCTCAGAAGTGTCTGATTTTAAAACTGAAAATTCCACATTCCAGAAGCCTCCTTGGTCATGTGCTGAATTGAGAAATTTTTTTGTTTTAGTCATAATCACATTTTATTTTATTTTCTAACTTTAATTTTAGGTTCAGAGGATACATGTGCAGGTTTGTTGTACAGATTATTTCATCACCTGGGTAATGAGCATAGGACCCTATAGATGGTTTGTCAATCCTCTTCCTCCTCCCACTCTCCACCCTCAAGTAGGCCGGGGGTCTGTTGTTCCCCTCTTTGTGTCCATGTATTCTCAATGCTTAGCTCCCACTTATAAGTGAGAATATGTGGTATTTAATTTTATGTTCCTGTGTTAGTTTGCTTAGGATAATGGTCTCCAGCTCCATCCATGTTGCTACAAAGGACATGATCTCATTCTTTTTTATGGCTGTATAGTATTCCATGGTATATATGTACCACATTTTCATTATCCAATCCACCATTGATGGGCATTTAGGTTGATTCCATGTCTTTGCTATTGTGAATAGTGCTGCAATGAATATATGCATGGATGTGTCTTTATAATAGAACGATTTATATTGCTTTGGGTGTATACCCAGTAATGGGATTGCTGGATCGAATGGTAGTACTTTTTAAGTTATTTGAGAAATTGCCAGACTGCTTTCCACAGTGGTCGAACTGATTTACATTCCCACCAGCAGTGTATGAGCATTCTCTTTTCTCTACCACCCTAAACGCGCCCAGGATCTCTGAGAAATTCACTTGCTCCTAAGTGGTTACTGCCCTGCCCTGCCTGTTCTGTGCTTCGTGCCCTCTGCTGGCAAGAGGAGATTCCTGGCCTGGCCGGGGCACTGGTCTACTTCTGGTTCTCTCCTGAGACTCCAGGTCAGTAGTTGTGCCCTGCCTGAGGCCAACGAGGCAAACAGCCACGCTGCATCCAGCTCCAGGAGTGTTAACATCTCTGGGCCCTGCAGCTTGAAGCCCCCTGGAGTGTGACCCACGATATTCTCTGAGAAGGCCTGGTGTCCTTGGGGTCCCACAAACTTTGGGTCTAAATCGTAGCCTTGTCATCTCATAGTTCTGTGACCAGGTCTATGTTACATTATCTCTCCAAGCTTCCATTTCTTCAAACAGGTCCTACCACAGCCTTGGGGGCACATTTAGCATTCACTGAGTGCTTACTGTATGCCAGGACTGACCTCATGTTACCCTTGCTACAACCTATGGAGCAGCTGCTGTCGCTTTTACAGACGAGGCACCAGCAGCCTCCACTGATGCCCCCACCCATGTCCTCTCCACACTCCGGAGTTGGCCTCAGGTACAGACGGGACCTGGTGTGCTGGCAGATGGCTTCTCACTCAGCACTGTGTCTGCCTCTGGACTGTCTCTCCTTCACCCCAGGGCTTTCTCTGGCCACACGGAAGTTTTCCCAGCCCAGCTCAGAGAGAAGCCAGAGGTGCAATAGATGCCCCAGTGGGGATGGCAGCAATGGCTAAATGTCCAAGCTTCTGGGGTGCAGCCACACCACTTCGCAGAGACCCCACTTCCTCCTTAAGGCCCCCTCACCAGCTGTCCTTTTTTTCTGGTCTTGCTGCCTATATACTCACCTGGGCATCTTGAGGTCACCTCCCAAATAAATGACTGGTACCCAAGTCCATGTTTTATGGTCTGCTTTTGAGGAAACCCAGACTGAGAAAGGTTAGGTCACTTGCCCAAGATCACATGGCGAATACATGGCAGATCCTGGATTTGAACTCAGACATCTGACTTCATATACCAAGTGCTTAATCACTTTGCTCTGCAGTTCTCACCTTGACCTAGAGAAAACTCACGGCCTCCTCACTGCTCAGGCAGCTTTCTCCTGCATCCTCCATTCCTGATAGGGTTTGGCTGTGTCCCCACCCAAATCTCAACTTGAATTGTAGCTCCCAGAATTCTCACGTGGAGTGGGAGGAACCCAGGGGGAGGTAATTGAATCATGGGGGCTGGCCTTTCCCATGCTATTCTCATGATAGTGAATAAATCTCACGAGATCTGATGGGTTTATCAGGGGTTCCCACTTTTGCTTCTTTCTCATTTTTCTCTTGCCACCACCATGTAAGAAGTGACTTTCTCCTCCTGCCATGATTCTGAGGCCTCTCCAGCCATGTGGAACTGTAAGTCCAATTAAACCTCTTTTTCTTCACAGTCTCAGGTATGTCTTTATCAGTAGTGTGGACACAGACTAATACACTTCCCATCCCCATCCATCACACAAGGAGTCCACAACTAAGAATACCAGACAATTGTTTTGCAGGCCACACAAAGCTGCATGAGGAGGCCTGAACAGAAGGAGGGGTGCATTCCTGGTGGCACTCAGCCCTCGGAAAGACTCACCACCATTCAGCCACCCCAGCCTCCTCCAAGATCCTGCTCCCCTGACTCCTTACCCTACTCAAGTGGGTTAACTCTGTGACTTCATCTTCAGCTGAAGTTTAAAGTTAAAGATGAAGAACCTGTCCATGACATTCTGGAATGGCCGTGTTTTATGACCAAATAACATAGACGACAGATATGCCTCTGATTTACCCCATCCCTAAATTGAACCTCATACACACACTCAGAGAACAGGTCCCAAGGGATGCAGAGAAGTGTCTTTTATATATGTTATGTGCAACTAAAACAAGTTAAATCCTAAGAGCCTCCACTGCGATAATAAATAAATAAAAAGTTGAAGCTTTCATAGTCTGTTTGGGGGAATTTTCTGAGAAATCCTCAGGAGAAATGTCATATGAAGGAGACACTTAAAGGAATGTTCATTTCAAGGAAGATAGCCATTAATAGAATGGGTAAATTATGACATCCATCCATAGAATATGCTACAGTAGTGAAAATGAACTTGAACTACACATATAAGCACAAGTGTGTATCACAAATATAACATAGAACATAAATTATAGGAGGATAGATAAAGGACGCCATTTATGTCAAGATGGTTTTATTTTTTTGAGACAGAGTCTAGCTCTATCACTCAGGTTGGAGTGCAGTGGTGCTATCTGGGCTCACTGCAACCTCCACCTCCCGGGTTCAAGCGATTCTCCTGCCTCAGCCTCCCCAGTAGCTAGGACTACAGGTGCCCATCACCACACCCAGCTAATTTTTGTATTTTTAGTAGAAATGGGATTTCACCATGTTGGCCAGGCTGGTCTCGAACTCCTGACCTCCAGTGATCCACCCGCCTCAGCCTCCCAAAGTGTTGGGATTACAGGCATGAGCCACCGCACCTGGCCTATGTCAAGATTAACAGCACACAGAACAACTATGTGTAGGCTTAGGGTTACATTGGTCTTTGTGTTTTATTTTTGTTTGTTTGTTTGTTTGTTTGTTTGTTTGTTTTGAGACAGAGTCTTGCTCTGTGGCCCAGGCTAGAGTGCAGTGGCTCTGTGGCCCAGGCTAGAGTGCAGTGGTGCAATCTCAGCTCACTGCAACCTCTGCCTCCCAGGTTCAAGCAATTCTTGTGCCTCAACCTCCCAAGTAGCTGGGACAACAGGCATGTGTCACCACGCCTTGCTGATTTTTGTATTTTTAGTAGAGATGGTGTTTCACCATGTTGGCCAGGCTGGTCTCGAACTCCTGACCTCAGTTGATCCACCCACCTCGGCCTTCAAAGTGCTGGGATTACAGGCGTGAGCCACCGTGCCTGGCTGGGTTATATCCTTTTATATTTCAAGTATAAAGATGTTCATGGCAATGGTGAACATTACATTCAGGGTTGCCATAAGGAGAGGTGATATGAAGGGGTAAATGGATCTTGGGCAGACCAGTAGTATCCTATCTCTTCCAGTGAATGGTGAGAGATGAGTTTTATCGTTCCCTTTTTTCTTTTTTGGTATTTCCTAAGTAATCAAAAATTGGAGCAAAAAATCAATCACATGGCCACCCAGAGGAGGAATGACCTTTCTTCCTGGACAGATCACTCTTCCAAGCCATGGCTGAGCTGTTTCTCTCTAGAGAAGGCATACAGTCCCAGGTTCTGACTTCAGGGAGTGCCAGGTCCACCCAAGAGTCCTCCTGTTCTTGATTGCATGCTAAATGGGCCTGAGTAGGGAGGTACCCACAACTCTGGGCCCCCCAGGAATGACTCTCACTGCCCCCATGACCAGCCCTGTCTTGCAGCCCAGTCAACTCATTAGGAGCATGGGCTTAGGGCAGACAGCTGGCAGACATGGAGATGCCCAGAGAAGCTGCTTCATAAAGCGATTGTGAGGATGAGACCACGCATGCAGGCATTTGGCACAGTGCCTGACTCACAGCCAGCCCTGCAGAAACAGTCACTCTACTCTACTGCTCCAGCTCCCATGCAGGGAGGAACCCCCAGGCTGGTAGTCAGGGGCCTGCGTTCTAGCACCAGTCAGGTGCCAACCCATTGTGCATGAGACTCTTCTTTTTTATTTTTATTTTTTTATGTTGAGGTGAAATCTCTGTCTGTCGCCAGGGTGGAGTGCAGAGGCACAATCTCAGCTCATTGCAACCACTGCCTCCCAGGTTCTAGCGATTCTCCTGCCTCAGCGTCCCAAGTAACTGGGACTACAGGCGTGTGCCACCATCCCCAGGTAATTTTTGTATTTTTAGTAGAGATGGGTTTTCACCATGTTGGCCAGGATGGTCTCAATCTCTTGAACTCGTGATCCACCCACCTCGGCCTCCCAAAGTGCTGGGATTACAGGCGTGAGCCACCGCGCCCGGTCAAGACTCTTCTTAGCAGAGCACTGACCACCCTGCAAGTGAGGACCTAGTAGGTGCTCAGGGACTCTCTAAAGTGAACAAGTGAGAGTCCTTATCCAGATAGGAGCTTGACAACGAGGAATCCTGGGAAAAGATAGAGGTATCCATCAAAGGATGGCAGGGGAGGCTCAGATAAGAGCACTCTGTGGGGAGACCCTTGGGGAAGAGTAGGGCCCCAGTGGGGGATGCTGAGGGCAAGAGGGTTTTGTGATTTAAAAGTACATATATGTGGCCGGGCACGATGGCTCATGCCTGTAATCCCAGCACTTTGGAAGGCTGAGGCGGGTGGATCACCTGAGGTCAGGAATTCAAGACCAGCCTGGCCAATATGGTGAAGCCTGTCTCTACTAAATATACAAAAATTAGCCAGGCATGATGGCGCATGCCTGTAATCCCAGCTACTCAGGAGGCTGAGGCAGGAGAATCGCTTGAACCCGCGAGATGGAGGTTGCAGTGAGATGAGATTGAGCCACTGCACTTCAGCCTGGGTGACAGAGATGAGACCCCGTCTCAAAAAAAATAATAATAAAGTACATATATGTGAGGCAGAGCACACTGGCTCACACCTGTAATCCCAGCACTTTGCGAGGCCAAGGCAGACAGATTGCTTGAGCTCAAGAGTTCAAGACCAGCCTGGGCAACATAGCAATATCTCATCTCTACAAAGAATAAAAAAAAAAATAGCCAGGCCTGCTGGCACACTGCTATAGTCCCAGCTACTTGGGAGGCTGAGTGGGAGGATTGCCTGAGTCCAGAAGAGGGAGGTTGCAGTAAGCCAAGGTCCCGCCACTGCACTCTAGCCTGGGTGACACAGCTAGACCCTGTCTCAAAAAAAAAGTACACATATGTGTATTTGTGTGTATATTCATGTATATATGCTTATACACGTATTCATGCATATACTTCTGTATGCACTCACATATATACATATATACTTGTGTATACAGTCACATGTACTAATATATGTATTCGTATACACACATACATACATGTATAGTCTCTTTTAAAGCAGAAGGTTCCATTAGGGTCGGGCAGCACCCTGCAGGCCCGCTTCGGGGCAGGCCCTGTCTTGGGTGCGTCCCGTTGGTGCTCAGAGCATCCCCTTGCAGAGTGACATTATCACGATCATTCCTCCATTTCCAAGGAGGAATAGCTATGGTTCAGAGAGGTTAAGTGGATCACGCAATGTCACCTCGGTGGTGGTCACAGGATTTGAACCACGGCAGGCCAGAGTCCTTTCTCTGGCTATACTCTAAGATGGCAAGGGGCAGTTATCCTAACTCCGGAGCACTGTGCCTGCTCTGTCTACCCTCCCTCTTCCTCCCCTCCCTCATTTTATTTTATCTGCAGCACTTCTCACTCTCTGAAATCTGTCCCCAGTCTGTTTGTCCCCAATCTAAACTAAGGCCCAAGAAGGAAGGGCTTGTCTGTCTTCTCCGTGGCTGTTCTCCAGAGTCCAAAAGGCCACCTCCCATTTATTTATTCTCAATTCATGTTTGTGGAGCATTCAATCCTCCCACCTATTTGCGGTGGTGTTAAGCACAGTTCCAAAGGCTGAGACTGGAGCCTGAGTGGGTCTGACTTCTCTGCGCCTCCTCCCACCCACGCACTCCCCCACGTGCTCCAGACCAAGAGGAGGCTGAGCCATTTCCGGAAGCCCATGCAGCCTCTGACTCTGGGCCTCGTGGACCCCACAGCTGGCCTTGAGCCCTTGCTTCCTCTCATTCCCCATGCAATCCCTCAGCAAATCCTGACACTCTCCCTTCAAAATATTTCCAGAATCCAACTAGCTTCTCCATCTCTACTGCTCTGCCCTGGCCCAAGCCATCCCCATCGCACCCCTAGGCTATGGTGCCAGGCAGACTCAAGCCCCGCACCTCCCTGCCTTCCTGTTTTTTGTTTGTTTGTTTGTTTTTTGTTTTTGTTTTTTGACAGAGTCCCACTCTGTTGCCCAGACTAGAGTGCAGTGCAGTGGCGCGATCTCGGCTGACTGCAACCTTCTCCCAGGTTCAAGCGATTCTCGTGCCTCAGCCTCCCGAGTAACTGGGACTACAGGCACGCACCACCACGACTGGCTAATTTTTTTGTATTTTTAGTAAAGACAAGGTTTCACCATGTTGGCCAGGCTGGTCTCAAATTCCTGGCCTCAAGTGATCCACCCACCTCAGCCTCCCGAAGTGCTGGGATTACAGGAGCCTCCTGTTCTTTACACAGCAGTCTGTTCAAACTCCAATCCACTCATCTCACTCCCTGCTGAAAACTCTCCCGTGGCTCCTAATGCACTCAGAGTAAAATGCAGAGCCCTTTCCACGGCCCACAGGGCCCACCCTCCCCAGGGCTCCCTCAGTGACCTCCTCCCCTGGCATTTGCTGGTTTTGATTGAGGGACGGTGTCCCTGTGGGTACACACACACACACACACACACACATGCACACACTCGCCATCATTCTCTACTCCCCGGCTCTGCTTTATTTGCCCCTAACATTGATTATCACACAACACGTCCTACTTCCTTCTGTCTGTCTCCCTCCATGCATGGAAGCTCTCTGAGGGCAGGGCTGAACACTGCCTAACACAGAGCAGGATCCCAATCAATATTGGTGGAAGCCCAGACAGAATATGAGTTCAGGAAACATTTGTTGAATGAATGAGTGAAAACAAGCCAACTCTCCAAGTTAGAAGTTATTATGGCGTGTCACATGCAGAGAATCAATGCCTAACTTAGCAAGGGTTTCCCAGGAATAAATATAAGGGTTGGAGGCCTGGAGCTGACAGCCAATTTTCTGGGCTGGTGATGTTCTCCCTGACGATATTCTTTTCCATCTTCATAATGTGAGAAAGCATTGCTTTCCCACCAGGGACTTTGATGCTAGGGTAGGTATTGAGGTAGGAACACAGCTCCAGAACCCGCTGCAGAAACCATCAGGAGAAAACTAAATCTGGTGAAACACATCAGCAGTGTCTGTGAACATGATGTATTAGTCCGTGCAAAGCAGGTGTTGCTGTGGTAACAAACAAACGCCCAAATCTTGATGGCTTAGTCCAATAACAGTTTACAGCTCACTGATGTCACCAATACATTGGGCAGAGGGTAGTGGTTCTTCTCCACGCAGTCACTCAGAGACCCACGTTCCAACCACGGTGGGGCTTTGCTGGGTCCAAAGAACAGCTTTCAAGGTCCCTATGGAAAGGGAAGAAAGAGAAGGACCATGCATGGGAGATATTTAATGGCCCAAGCCTAGGTAGTAAACATCCCTTCTGCCCACATTCTATTAGCCCTACCTACATGGAGTTGGAAATGTACTTTTCCTACAAGCCCAGAAGAGAAATGAGATGGTCTCATGAGCATATAGCATTGTCTGTGCCACACCAAGGAAGGATGGGACACTTGGTCTCCAGGAGCCACAGACGATATGATTATAACCAGGTTTCCTGTGAGAGCCTTGCCTGGAACTCTGAGTCCGGCTCTATCGGCTAAGCTGCTGGTCCGGTGGGTGCCAGTCTCCTGGGTGAAGAAATTGACATGCATGAGAGAAAGGGAACCTGGAGACAGAGGCTGAAATGTGTGTTTGGCTGAGAGGAGGGTTTCTTGGGGGCAAACAACAAGGGACTGGGGACAGGAAAGGCAGCCCACAGCATAGTTCCAGAATGAGACGCCAGGTCCCACTGTAGAAAATGTCTTCTACCCACTTCTCCCTGGATCTTTCGGGGGTTTGGTACTCTGAGCTCAGAAGGATGCTGCTCCATGTGAGCCTTGAGGACCTGCGTCTCTGGAGGTCGCTGGAAGCAATGCCTGGGCAGGACAGCTCTGGTCTTATGCACAAGGGCAGCTAGGGCGGGGACCAAGTAAGAGCACTGCCCTCAGGTGGCTGCACAGGTGAGGCAGAAATGAGAAGCCTGGAATGAAACCACAGAAGCTCCATGAAATGCCTTCCCCAAGACTACCAGAGTAACCCACAGAGACTTAAAAGGTAAACGCTGGGCCAGGCATGGTGGCTCACGCCTGTAATCCCAGCACTTTGGGAGGCCAAGGTAGGTGGATCACCTGAGGTCGGGAGTTTGAGATCAGCCTGACCAACATGGAGAAACCCCATCTCTACTAAAAATACAAAATTAGCCGAGCATGATGGTGCATGCCTGTAATCCCATCTACTCCGGAGGGTGAGGCAGGAGAATCGCTCGAAACCAGGAGGCAGAGGTTGCAGTGAGCTGAGATCGTGCCACTGCACTCCAGTCTGGGCAACAAGAGCAAAACTCCATCTCCAAAAAAAAAAAGGTAAACGCTAAGCTGAGCCATGGCTGTTTACAAGGCGTCACTGTATCCGCAGGCTACAGTCTTGGTGTTCAATGCACTCGATGGGAAGGGAACTCTGATTACTGCATGGCCTCTGCCATTTATCCTGAACAAGCCCGAGTGTTCACTGCAGTCCTCAGGCCTGTAATGTAATGTGCCCAGAGCAGGTGAGGCGGAAGACAAGAGGAGGAAAGATGTGTTCCAACAGGCTCATCATTAATCCCAGCACTGGGGTATCTGCCCTCTTTTGGTTTTGTGCAGGGACAGAGCCAGTCCTGAGTCCCAGCCTACCTGCCTGGGGCCCAACCTCCTGCCTCTCACCAGCCAGTCCCCTAAAGGGCCAGACCTTGTTCCTGCTTCCCATAATAGTTGGCTCCCACCACACCCTTCACTCTGAACATCGCCACTAAGCCACTGTGCCTGTCTCTTCCTTGCCGGTCCTCATGGGGAGCATAGGGCTGGGGATAGAAGTTAGACAGCAAGGAGATGCCCCACTCACCCCTAAAGGATCACAATTTTCAGAGCAAAAGGGATGCTGCTGCGTGCAGCAAAGGGATGCCGCGCTGCCCTGGGCAGTGGGAAAGGAATTCATGACAACGATGACAGTGATGATTAGCAATGATGGTGATGATGACTGTCAAGGGACTTAGCAGCGCTCTCTCTGAGCAACGCCCTCCTTCTTCTCTCACCCCGCACCCCAAACAGGGCAGGCCAGACCTCTTAGGGTCAGGCTAAGCACCGGGACCACCCGTCTTGCACTGAGGCAGGAGTTGTGCCTGATCTTTACGCTTCTTGATCTTTTGGGGATCGTGGATACCCTTGGGAATTTTATGGATGCTATGACTCCCTGCCTAGGGGAAAGAAAGCATACGTGTAGCTCATTGCAGATTTTGTGTACAATTTCAATGACTTCTCAAGGTTTTAAAAATCCACACATGAACTCTTTAGGGGTCAATGAATATATTAATTTATTCCATCACTCAATAAACATCTATGATGTCTACTAATAAGTGGCATGCTGAGTGTTTTCATCTGTAGTTAACTTCTTTGTCAGGGTTGAACATCAGAATCATCTACAAAAACATCACCTGTGGCCAAGGTAGCACAATTTTCAACGCTGACTGCACGTTAGAATTACCTGGAGAGCTTTTTAAAATTCTATTGCCAAAGCCTCACCTTAGGCCAATTAACTCTGTACCTCTGGGGGTGGAACCCAGGCATCCCCAGGCGAATCCAGTATGTAGCCAAGGGCAAAAACCACTGTCTTAGAAAATCTTGGTCAGATGCAGCAGCTCCTACTTGTCATCCCTGCACTTTGGGAGGCCAAGGCAAGGAGGACTACTTGAGGCCAGGCATCTGAGGCCAGCCTGGGCAACACAGCAAGACTCCGTTGCTATAAAAAAAAATTATTTTCAAGTGAAAAAAAAAGAAAATTAAAACATGTTTTTTAGAAGTTCCCTAGGTGGTGATGCACACCTCGGGGTCATTCATTTATTCACTAAATCAACGTCTAGTGAGCATCAGGCAGTGTGCTGGGCCTTGAGGGCAGAGCAGAGAATAAGAAATCAGAATCTCTGCCCTCATTAAGTTTATATTCTGGCTGAGGACCTGGCAATAAATAACCAGTACATAATTCATTCATGTCACAAGGAACATCAATTAGGAAGTGGCATAAAGGATGACAGCAGGGGCCAGGTGCAGTGCCTCACGCCTGTAATCCCAGCACTTCAGGAGGCCGAGGCAAGTTCGAGACCAGCCTGGCCAACATGGTGAAATTCCATCTCTACTAAAAATACAAAGATTATCTGGCTGAGGTGGCACATGCCCATAATCCCAACTACTCAGGAGGCTGAGGCAGGAGAATTGCTTGAACCTGGGAGGCGGAGGTTGCAGTGAGTGGAAATTATGCCATTGCACTCCAGCCTGGGCAACAGAGTGAGACTCTGTCTCAAAAAAAAAAGTGGGAGTGGGGGAGGCCAGGCTGTAATCCCAGCACTTTGGGAGACTGAGGCGGGCGGATCACCTGAGGTCGGGAGTTTGAGACCAGCCTGACCAACATGGAGAAATCGTCTCTACTGAAAATACAAAATTAGCTGGGCGTGGTGGCGCATGCCTGTAATCTCAGCCACTCGGGAGGCTGAGGCAGGGAGGCATGCCATTGCACTCCAGCCTGGGTAACAAGAGTGGAGCTTGCAGTGAGCCGAGATCACTCTGTCTCAAAAAAAAAAGAGGATGCCAGAGGGGAAAAAAGCACCCTGAGGGGTGAAAACAGCCAGTGCCAAGGCCCTGCAGCAGGTAAGAGCATCAAATCATGAAATCATGAGACCATGCTCCAAAGAGCTAAAGAAACCACTAACAGAAATTCTTGAATTTGCAGGAAGGCAAATAAAAAAAGAAACAATTTGAAACTCCTTTCACTTATAACAAAACCAGCTGCAATCAGCTGGAAGCAATATGGCCAACTGGAGTTAGTGCAAGACCAGCTTGCTGATGTCACAGCCTGAATTTCCACTGCATGTTTCACACTCACTCCCTCCAAATTTGCACATGGGACCCATGAGGAGGCATGAAGAGGTAACTGCACATGCCAAAGGTCTTTGCAGACCTCACTTCTCCTTGCACCAATAACCTACTAATCTCAGAATCCACTCCCTAAACCTTTTCTAATAAAACTACTGCCTTAAAGCCAGCACAGGGAGAGAGATTTGAGCTGACTCCTGCCTCCTTCTGAGCCAACTTGCAATAAAAAGCTTTTCTCAGAAACCCAGTTTCATAGTGTTGGGGTCCAGGGCATCCAGCTGTGAGTCCCTTTTGCAATAAGAGAGTGCTCAGCCTGGTCAAGCATCCAAGGTGAGAAAGGGGCAGGGCGTGGTGTGTGATGAAGTTGGGAGAGCCAGACCAGGCCAGGGCCTTGATGATCCGGCCTGCTGTATTCCCTCCTGTCCTCAAAACCACTCAGCAGGCCGGGTGCGGTGGCTTACGCCTATAATCCCAGCACTTTGGGAGGCCGAGGCGAGCAGATAGCTCCAGGTCAGGAGTTGAAGATCATCCTAGGCAACATGGTGAAACCCCATCTCTACTAAAAATACAAAAATTAGCCAGGCATGGTGGCGGGCGCCTGTAATCCCAGCTACTTGTGAGGCTGAGGCAGGAGAATCGCTTGAACCCGGGAGGCAGAGCTTGGAGTGAGCCCAGATCTCACTACTGTACTCCGGCCTGGATGACAGAGTGAGACTCCATCTCAAAAAACAAACAAACAGAAAATAAAAAATAAATAAAAATAAAAAAATGAAACACTCAGCAAGCAGGCAGAGACTTGGGAGAGAAGAAACTCGGCTCATAGGATCTCGGCTGGGACACACGCCTGAGGCCCCTGACCTGATGTCTGGCCACAGACTCCTCAGAAAGGCTCCCGAGAGGGTGACACCCACCCCCTCTGGCCATGAGCCCCTTTCTGCCCCACTCCTACCCTCCAGGCCAGGCCACTGATGTCACTGGTGCCAGGACAGCATTGTTCTCCCTCCCACACCCGCCTTCACCTCACAAGCCCCATCACCATGGGAACTGAGCCAGCCACTCAGAACACAGAGTTTTCAAAGGGCAGCCTTATATACGGAGTCACCTCTCCCCAGAGAGGTCACAGCCAACATTCAGAGGCCTCCCAGGGCCCCCTCTCCCTGGATAAACCACTTCAGCTGCCCCCCATTTTTCTCGAGGGAGAAAAAGGGGAATCCTCTGTCCAGAATGAGCAGGAAGGAGAGCCAAGCCTACAGTCACCCAGCTTAGAGCTCCAGTCCCCTGCGTGGCCACGCCATGCAGGAGTGGCTCAGGAGCCCCTGAAAGTGTCCAGCAGCTACCTCAGTGACACCCAGAGCAGCGAGAGTCATGTTTCCAGCGTGCAGCACCCGAGGCCAGAGGAGGGCAGCCATGCCAGCCTGAGCAGCGGGTACGCAGGGGACAAGGAGGGCAGCGACATCAGCTTGGTGGGCAGCCACCGGAGAGTGCGGCTGAACAGAAGGCTCAACACCCAGGCGGCCAGTAACCAAACCAGCCAGCTGGGCTCCATAGACCCTCCCAGCTCTCTAAAGAGCCGGCTGACTGGCCCCGCCCACAGCACCAAGCAGACTGGAGGGAAAGAGTGAGGCCAGCCTGCCCGGCAGCGGCAGCGGCAGCAGCATCCTGTCCAGCGCCAGCTTCATCAGCTTGGGCAGCAGTGCCCTCACCTACAAGGTGAGCAGCGGGCTGCTGACTTCCACAGCCAGCCTTCCCTCCACCCAGGCCAGCAGCCGTCAGAGCGTCCGGCTGGATGGCAGTGCCCAAAACAGGCAGAGCAGCCACACCAGCGTGCAGGAGGACAAGACGGGCGGCAACGTGAAAACCAGTGAGCAGGTCACCACGGGGGAGCAGCCTGCCCAGGTGTGCATGCCTTTGTGAGAATCCTCTCCAGCAGCCAGAGTCTCCCAGAAAACAACACACAGGCCCAGCAAACACAGGCTGCACCCAGAGTGGATATTCCCAAAACAAGTAGGAAAGGTGTTTTCAAAAGCACACACTGACTGTGTCAACCATCAGTGGGTAATCCCATTTGTAGCAACAAGCATCAGTGGGCAGGCCACATGTAGCAGGAAGGATCTATGCTGAGCACCGCCTATCCTGAGAACACAGTCAGTGAGGAGACTGTCTATACTGAGAACCACTGTTGCTAGGAAGAGCTGTAGTATCAAGATTCACCAATGCTGAGTCCACCTGTGTCAAAACAGCGAAGAGTAATGACATCGACTGTGAACTTCAGTGACAAGCCATCTATAACAAGATCCATCAATGGCAAAACCATCTGTAGTCAGCAGCATCCTGGTGGGACCCCCTGTACCAAAACTCATCAGTGGCGACAGATGTTCTCGATGGCAAACGCTGACGATATTAAGAACTGTCACGAGTTAGAACCTTCCATGATGAAACCATCCTAAATGATGAATGCCATCTGCAACCAACACCAGCCACGATGAGCTCAGAAGAAACAAGCTGCAACCATGGTTGGGACTGTCCATATCAAGAACCATCTGCAGTGAGCGCCATGCGTGGAGAGCCACATCCACATGAAACTTCATCCTGGCCAAGCAGCACCACACTCTGTCCATCATTGTCACTGCCCGCAGAAGCACTAGCAAGACAGCCACGGTGCACACGGAGCACCTTCACGACTCTCAGCTCCCCCAAGGAGTCCAGACTAAGTGACTGTCACCAGAGAAGGATCATCAGGAGCAGCCAGGGATGCCCCCGGCACACAGGGACTAGGTCTAGTGAGAACATTAGAGGGCGGTGTAAATGGATCCCCATGCCTGGGCACCTGTAATCCCAACTACTTGGGAGGCACCATCCCAGAGAGCTCCAAGCGTCCTTTTTTTTTTTTTTTTCCTTTGAGTGCTGTCTCTGGACATCTTCAGCCCAGAATCTTCTCAGGAGCAAAGGCTTCCTGATGCCTCATTCATGTCAAGAAAGGAGGCCAGGAGCCATCCTGTGTTCAGATGGTTGAGACAGTGACTACGATGGCAGGACAATGCCGTGAGAAGCACTTCATGGTGACAGAGCCCAACCCAGCCGGGAACAGCTGCGATGGGGAAGCTCTGGAGCATTTTGTGAGCACCGTCTCGGTGGATGGGAAAGCCGAAGTCTCTGCCCGTCTCTTACTGGAGGCACTAAACCCCCTCCCTGGGTTGACCTCACAGACATTGAAGTGAGTCTGCCCACAAAGGAAAAGAGGCCAGAGACTGTCGTGAAGACATCCACTAGGTACCAGAAGGAAAGCTGAGGGGGCAGCAAAGACAATAAAAGGTGTCTAGAGAGGTCATATGTGTGTGGGTCTGTGTGTGCGTTCCCGGCCGAGCTCACAGGAGGGGTGGGCCACAAACACACTAAAGAACCATGGAGAGAGTTGGGCATGGCTACCAACTCTGCCACTGCTGTGCTGGCCATCTGGGCAAAATAGTTAAACTTTCAGAGCCTCAGTTTCCTCATCTGGGAAATGGGGACAGTAACCCCTATTTCATACATAGGATGGTTATGTGGATTACATGAAAATGTATATCAAGTACCCAGCAAGGGATAAGTACTAATGTAATGTATTTCTTTCCCTTTTCTTTTTTTTTTCCTTTTTATTTTTTAACTTTTAAGTTCAGGGGCACATGTACAGGATGTGCAGGTTTGTTACAGAGGAGAATGTGTGTCATGGGGGTTTGTTATACAGATTATTTTATAACCCAGGCATTAAGTGTAGTATCCATTAGTTATTTTTCCTGATCTTCTCCCTCCTCCCACTCCCCACCCTCCGATAGACCCCAGTGTGTGTTGTTCCCCTCTATGTGTCTATGTGTTCTCATCATTTAGCTCCCACTTCTAAGTGAGAATATGCGGTATTTGGTTTTCTGTTCCTGCCTTAGTTTACTAAGGATAATGGCCTCCACCTCCATCCCTGTCCCTGCAAAGGGCATGATCTCTTTTTTTTATAGCTGCATAATATTCCATGGTGTATCATTTTTCTTGCTTATGGGTAAAATGGGCACAATGGTTTCTGTCTTGCTTCACTCACAGGCACAGAAAGGCTAGTCACTGCTAATAATGGAGAAAAAGCTATTGACCAAAGCAAAGAAAAAAGAGCCACTGTATCTGCTGGGAGGTAAGATGTTTTGGCAGAGAGTTGTGGTTTGAGGAAGGAGTTGCTGGTTCTGGGTGTGAGGGTGCCACATGTCTGGTGTGGCGAGTCTCTGCTTCTCAAATATAAGCACCCCTTTTGAGAACATTCTCCCCTACTTTCCTCCAGACAAAGTCACTCAGCAAGGCCTGAGCACCCATTACCCAGGGCAGTCAAGAAAGGCCTCCCACCTCCACCCAAGAGCCTTAGTCGTGTGGGGTAGCTACAACAAAATACGATAAACTGGGTTGCTTACAAACAGAAATTCATTGTTCACAGTTCTGGAAGCTGGGAAGTCCAAGATCAAGGTGCTAGTGGATTCGGTGTCTGGTGAGGGCCCAGCTGTGCTCCTAGACTGCCATCTTTGCACCATGCCCTCGCATGGTGGAAGGGGTGAGGTTGCTCTCTGGGGCCTCTTTTGTGAGGGCACTAATCCCATTCACAGGGGCTCCACCCCCATGACCTGATCACCTCCTAAAGGCCCCAACTGTTCATACCATCAGCTTGAGGGAATAGATTTCAACATAAGAATTTTATGGGGACACAAAAGTTCAGTCCCTACCACCAAGGGAACCCCTGTGTTCTGTAGGCAGCTCTGGGGGAAGCTTGGCCACCTCATCTCCCCCCAACATAGCCCTTCCCTTCCCTAAGAACCTCCCCTAGTTTCCCCATCTCAGAGGAGAAAGGAGAACACACAGAAGCGAAGTTATGGGCAGAGCGGTGCTGGGCACCTGCATGCTGGACCCCCTCAGCCTGGAGGCCATGGGCTCTTCAGACACAGCATGGCCAAAACTGAGTTGACCACCTTCCCCTGACTGCCTCTTTCATGTCCCTTCTCAGCAGATGGCACCATCAGGCTGCATTTGTCCAAGCCGGGACATCACGCCTGAGTCCTCCTCCCCCTGCCTCAGCCCAGTGTCCCATCAATCCCTAAACACCCCTCCACCTCCACTGCTGACCCCCAGCCCGCCTTAGCCTCCCGCTAGAACAGTGGTTCTCAACCCTGGCTGTGCATCAGGGTCACCCGGGGTGGAGGGGAGCATTTACAAAGTACAAGTGCACAGCCTCCTCCCAGCAACTTGGCCTGTGCACCGGTCTTTAATAAAATTCCCCAGGTGATGAAAGTGTTCAGATCAGGACTGAGAGATGTCACTGACTTTGATCTCTTCCTCCTGGAATCCACTTTCAATCCCAGGGGTCAAAACCGACACCCCTGCAGGGCCAGGAAGGGAATAGAGAATGAGGAGGAAGTGGAGGTGGCAAATTGGGAAGCCCATGTCTTCTCTAAAGAGAGGCCAAAAATCCAAAATTCTGAGTAAAATCTCCTAGTTCTAAAATACTGGTCACAAATTCAAATTCTTTCAAAAAAATTATAACACAAATAAAAACATTTCTAAAGGCAGGGTCAGACCCATGTGCCCAACGGCTTCTGCTTTTTTCTTTCTTTTTTTTTTTTTTTTGAGACAAAGTCTCACTCTGTTGTTCTGGCTGGAGTGCAGTGGTGTGATCTAGGCTCACTGCAACCTCTGCCTCCCAGGTTCAAGCAATTCTTCTGCCTCAGCCTCCCGAGTAGCTGGTATGGGATTACAGGCACCTGCCACCACACTCAGCTAATTTTTGTATTTTTAGTAGAGATGGGGTTTCACCATGTTGGCCAGGCTGGTCTCAAACTCCTGACCACAGGTGATCCACCTGCCTCAGCCTCCCAAAGTGTTGGGATTACAGGCGTGAGCCACCGTGCCTGACCTGGCTTCTGCTTCTAAACAGAGAACAGAGCCATCTCTCTGAAGCAAATATCTGCTTATATTCCTCGACTGCTTAAAAACTTCCAACATTTTCCCACCATCCAAAGCAGCATTGACACGGCATTCAAGGTCCTCCCCAAACAGACCCAAGCAAGTTTTCCCTGCCTCACTTCCTGCTACTTGCTCCCATGCACCATCTCAAACCTGATTTCAAACCTCTGTGCCCTTTGCACATGCTATTTCCTCTGCCTGGCATAATTTACACACAGTAAGATTCACCTCTTCGTGTACAGTTCTGATTTTTTGTTTGTTTATTTCTGAGACAGAGTCTCGCTCTGTCGCCCAGGCTGGAGTGTGGTGGCATGACCTCACCTCACTGCAACCTCCACCTCCCGGGTCCAAGCAATACTCTTGTCTCAGCCCCTCGAGTAGCTGGGATTACAGGTGCCCGCCACCATACCTGGCTTATTTTTGTATTTTTAGTAGAGACGGGGTCTCACCATGTTGGCCAGTCTGGTCTTGAACTCCAGACCTCAGGTGATCCACCTGCCTCGGCCTCCCAAAGTGCTGGGATTACAGGTGTCAGCCATTGCGCCCGGCCTAGGCCTATAATTCTTGACACACGCACACATACAGTCATGTATCCCCCACCACAATCAGAATACCAAACAGTTCCATCACTCCCCGTAAATTCCCTCATGCCCCTCAGTAATAATCCTTCCTCCCATCTCTGCAACCATGGACCAGTTTTCTGACTCAGAATGTCATATACATGGACTCATCCAGTATAGACGGAGCCGCTTGAGCCTGGCTTTTTTCACTTAGCGTACATAATGCATCTGTGACTCATGCATATTGTTTATGTGCCTGGCTGTGTGGTGTTCCACAGTGTATCCATTCTCCAGTTGGAAGGCATTTGGGTTGTTTCCAGTTTGGGGAGATGATGAAGCTGCTGCAAACATTCACGAACAGGTTTTTGTGCAGATTTTTCATTTCATTTGGAGAAATACCTAGGAGTGCGAATTCTGGGTGGCGTGGTATGTTTAACTTTACAGGAAACTGCCGAATCACTTTCTAAAGTTGGCTGTAACGTTAGTTGCCTACACTACGTATTTGTCAGACTTCTGGTGTTTTTTGGGTTTTTTTGTTTGTTTCTTTTTCTTTTTCTTTTTTTCACGATAGGGTCCTACTCTGTCACTCAGGCTGGAGTGCAGCAGTGTGATCACAGCTCACTGCAACCTCGAACTCCTGGATTCAGGCAATCCTCCCACCTTAGCCTCCCCAAGTAGCTAGGACTATAGGTGCATGCCTCCACATCTGGCTAATTTTGTATATTGTTTATTTTGTATTCCTATGTTGCCCAGGCTAGTCTCAAACCCCTGGCTTCCAGCCATCTTACTGCCTGGGCCTCCCAAAGTGTTGAGACTACAGGTGTGAGCCAACACTTGACTCTGATTTTTGTTGTAACCATATATGAGGGTGATTTGTATCAGTCTCCCTTTTACATAGAGAAACTGAGGCACAGAGAGGCTAACTCTCTGTAAGTGGCAGGGCTGGGATTTGAACCCAGGCAGCCTGGCCCCAGAGTCCATGATCTTAGCCGTTATCGTCTCTACCCTCCCTCTCTGCTTTGGGCACTTAAGGCCCCCAGCACACCCAGGGAATAGGTCACCCCCAGACCCAGAGCCCCCAGTTAACCGTTTCCTGTCTCAGGCCAAGTGTAGTGGCTCTCACTGCCTGGTACATGAGGGTGTATGTGTCCGCCTCCCTGAGGGGTGGAGGCCCACTTCTGTGTCAGCAGCATCAGTGATTCCCGAATGAATGAATGAGTGAGCACATGAGTGAAGGATCAATAGCTGCATCAGAGGAAGAGGGCCGGGTCCTCCTGGGCTTGCTCTTCATTGGCTACAGCCCACTACCCCAAAACAAAGGTTAAACAATGCTCAGTGTGCATGCCAGCAAGCCCCAGGGCCTCTCTATCCTCCCCTGGCTGTGCACCCAGCAGATACATCTCAGCCTGGCTCTCTCCCACGGCAGCACAGAGGACCCAGCAAGAACTCGAAGTAAGGACCATTTTTCAAGCCGGCGTGGCGATTTTTTCTTTCCTGTCCACTAGCGTGGCGTTCAGGGTGGCAGGAGGGCTGGAATGATGGGTTGGCTGCAGGCACCCGCTCCTGAATTATTAACTGGGCTGGGGAGAGAGTTGCTTATCAATGCTGTCCATCCAAAGGACCGCAGCAGCCTTGGACTTCAAACAGGCCTGGAGCAGGCAGGCAGGAAAGAGAGGGATTTGGCCGATGGATCTCCCATGCTTAATGAATCAGAGGCCTCTTCCCAAGTGCTCTCTTGGCCTCCAGCGCCACCTGGGAAGGGGCTCATCTTTCATATTCTTCACACTGCAGTGCTTGATTTCTGTTGGATTCGGGTTCTTGACCTCTCCTCTTGTCCCCACTCCAAAACCAGTGGATGAAATAGATGGAGTCTGCCAAATACGGCCTACTGTGAGCCAGGAGCTTGCTGGCTATGCCAGGTTCTTTTTCAATGTCTCATCATGGCAGAGAAGCAGGAGGAGAGTATCTTGGGTTGAGTCTCCTAGAAGCAGAACCTGAGGTGGGGATTCTTGGGAGAGTTATTGAGGGAGGGTTCCCAGGAGAAGCAGGGGGAGGCAAGCAGGATGGGAAAGAAAAGGGGTTAAGCAATGGTGTGGTCTTGGCTGGACCCTGGCCTCAGCCTGATTCCACAGGATCTCTGGGGTGTGAATTGCACCACGGAGCTGATTCTACCTTCAGTCAAAAGAGACAGCCATTCGTGCCCTCATGCCCTCGGTGGAGGAACCATAACCTCCCAGGTAAAATGGCTCCCATCCAGCCAGGAGCAATTCTCTATAGAAGGGGCAGCTGTGAGCCACTAGCAGCAATCCTGGCCAGGCAGTCCAAGGTAGCATGATGGCTCCACAAGATGATCAGGAACCCAGCTCCTTCCAACTCTCCATTCCACCATCCCGAGGATGAAGTCCTCTTCCGTGTAGTATAAAATGGCTGCCTAAGCTCCATCCAAGATATCTGTTTTCAAGACAAGCATGAGGAGGAAAAGGATAAGAAAATCTTGACTGTTCTTTTTTAGGGAGACATCCTAAAAGTCCCACACAACACAGCTATACCTAGCTATAAGGGAGGTAAGAAAAATTGGTCTTTATTCTAGGAAACAATGTGTAGGAATTAAAGTTGCCATTCCGTAACTAATAATGGAGGAAGAAATGGATACCGAGGGAGGCAATTACAGTATCTGCTATAAACACTGCTCCAATTCATTCTCCCACAGGGTCTAAAGGGACTTTTTTAGCCTCTAATAAAATCACCCTTTTACATAAAACCTTTGGGGTAGCTAGCAAAAATGGCCCCAATACCCACCAACTCCTCCCGTGAAGAGGAGTCTATTTCCCCATCCCTTGAATCTCAGCCGATCTTGTGATTTGCTTTGACTAATAGAAAGTGGCAGAAGTGATGCTCTACAGTTCTGAGTTTATCCTTTAAGAGACCTTGCAGTTTCTGCTTCCACAGTCTTCCAACTCTGCAACCATTTTGAGAACAAGCCTGGGCCAGCCAGTTAAATGATGAAAAGCCACACGGAGAGAGACCCCAGTCCCACCCCCAAACTACCAACCTATTCCTGTCAAGGTCATCATAAACCAGCCAACCCAAATGACCCACCAGCTGACCATGGACAAATGGACAAAAACCAGTTAAGGTCAGCTGAGCATGACCCAGACCAGAAGAACCACCAATTGAGCCAAGCCCCAACTGCTGAACTACAGGCTCCTGAGCTAAATAAGAGGTGGTTGTTTTAAGCCACTGTGTTTTGGGATTTTTGTTACACAGCCAAAGCTGACTGATAAGGCTCTGATGGCCTTCCCTTGCTCTCAGGGTAAAAGAACAAAATTCCCACCATGACCACCAAGGTTCCAGCCTTCAGTGACTGCTATGATTTGGATATAGTTTGTTTATTCCCACCAAAGCTCATGTTGAAATTTGATCCCCTGTGTGGCAATGTTAAGAGGTGGGTCCAGGTGGGAGATGTTTTGGTCATGGGAGCAGATTCTTCATTAATGGCTTGGTGCTGCTCTCTGGTAGTAAGTGACTTCTTGCTCTGGCAAGACTGGATTATTTCCTGTGGGACTGGATCAGTTCCCTCAAGAGTAGGTTATTATAAAGCCAGGATGCCACTTAGGCTTTGTCTCTTCACACGTGTCTACTTCCCCTTTGACCTCCTCTACCATATTGTGAGGCAGCACAAAAGCCCTCACCAGAAGCCAGGGTCATGCCCTTGAACTCCCCAGCCTGCAGAATCGTAAGCTAAATTAATCACTTTTCTTTAGCCGTCTCAGGTTTTCTGTTATTGCATCACAAAATAACCTAAGACAATGGCCATTCTGGCCTCATCACAAATATGTTCCTTTCACTCTCTGTGGTTTCATCATCTCCTCAGACCCACTCACCCCAGAGCATTTGCACCAGCAGTTCACCTAGCTAGAATATGCTCTGCCGTCTTCACCTGGTTACTTCCTAGTCTTCCTCAACTCAACTCTCATGTGTCTTGGACTCAGACCTCAACTCCCATGTCCCTTCCCCCCAGATAGATCCAATCCCCCTGAATACATTCTCAGAGTACCACGACCCTCTCTCCCATAGCACTTCATTATAGTTATAACTTTACACTTATTGGTGTGATTCTTTGATTAAAACCTGCCTCTCTAAGGAGCCTTTAACTCTACAAGGGCAGGAACTGTGCCTCTTTTGCTCACTCTGTACCCCTAAAACACAGAATTATGGCTTTTCACCATAGGGGCATCATTGTGTCCCAAGCATCTGGAACCACGCCTTGCATACAGTAGATGCTCAATAAACACCTTTGAATGAATGAGCTGAATCTGAACGTTGCAAAGGCTATCCAATAGAGACTAGTCAAACCTTGATTGTAATGTTAGTTCTTAAAACACAAAAGATGATCAAATGAGAGCCAGTGGAAGTTGGAATTGTCACACACACACGTACACACTCTAAGTTTAGCAACTTGATGACTTCCAAAAGTCATAAAATGACTGTTGACAGACTTAGCACTTGGGCTCACTAGAATTCCCTAGGGCCACCTGCTCTTAATGGATTGTCAGTTGTGGTTTGTGGAAACCTGCCCAGAATCTCTCTCTCTCTTTCTTTCTTTCTCTTTCTTTCTCTCTTCTTTCCTTCTTTCTCTCTTTCTTTCTCTCTTCTTTCCTTCTTTCCTTTCTTTCTTTCTTTCTCTTTCTTTCTTCCCTTCTTTTCTTTCTTTTTTTTTTTTCTTCTTGAGATGGAGTCTCGCTCTGTGCCCAGGAGTGCAGTGGCGCAATCTCAGCTCACTACAACCTCTACCTCCCAGATTCAAGCAATTCTCCTGCCTTAGCCTCCCAAGTATCTGGGACTACAGGTGTATGCCACCATGCCCAGCTAATTTTTTGTATTTTTAGTAGAAACAGGGTTACACTGTGTTAGCCAGGATGGTCTCAATCTCCTGACCTTGTGATCTGCCTGCCTCAGCCTCCCAAAGTGCTGGGATTACAGGCGTGAGCCACCACACCCGGCTCCTTTCTCCTTCCTTCCTTCCTTCCTTCCTTCCTTCCTTTCTTTCTTTTCAGGGTCTCACTCTTTCACCCAGGCTGGAGTACAGTAGCACAATCATAGCTCACTGCAACCTCCACCTCCCAGGCTGAAGTGATCCTCCCATACCAGCCTCCCAAGTAGCTGGGACTACAAGTGTGCACTACCACTCCCAGCTAATTTTTGTATTTTTTGTAGAGACCAGATTTCATCATGTTGCCCAGGCTGGTCTCAAACTACTGGACTCAAGCAATCCATCCACCTCAGACTCCCAAAGTGTTGGGATTAGAGGCATGAGCCATCATGCCCAGCCTTCTTTCTTTTTTTTAATAGAGACAGGGTCTCATTCTGTCACCCAGGCTGGAGTGAAGTGGTGCAATCATAACTCATTGCAGCCTCGAACTCCAGTGCTCAAGCAATCCTCCCACTTCAGCCTCTAGAGTGGTTGGGACTTCAGGAATGCACCACCATGCACGGTTAATTTGTTTTTATTTTTTGTAGAGACAGGGTGTCCCTATGCTTCCCAGGCTGGTCTTGAACTCCTGGCCTCAAGCAATCCTCCTGCCCAAGCAGCTGGGATTACAGGCATGAGCCACTGTGCCCAAGTTTAGAATCTCTTTCTTTCTGGTGGAAACCTTTCACATACATATCACATTAACCACATGAGCAAAGCATAGTCTCGTTCTAATCCTGGAATTCACAGTGGTCAAATAGAATAGACTTCGGGTTCAGAATCCCTGGGCACAATCTTGGATCTGCCACACACTAGCTGTATGCCTTGGAAAGTGTGTCTTAACCAACCTTTCTAAGCCTCAGTGTCATCATCTATAAAATGGGGATGATAATAGTATCTCCTAGGGTTGTGAGGAGTAAACAAGATCATTTGTCCAAAATGCTTGACTCAATGCACATAGTAGACCTGCAACCAATGGCAGCCATTGTTACAATGGATCCCAGACTGGCATGAATCTCCGCAGGGGCAGCTCATAGCTCAGGTTGTTAACTTGTCTTTCTGTCCCTTCCCCAACCCCCAGCCTCTAGCTTAGGGCCTGGCACAAAGTGAAGGTCAATGAATGTTTGTTGAGTGAAGAAATGAGAACTTGAGAAATGAAGGAATTCAGCTCCTTCACTCATTCAGCATTCACTGAGTGTATAACCCTGTGCACTGTGTGCCAGATGGCAAGAACCAAATAAGAATTACAGTATCTCTGCCCTCAAGTTGCTTAAAGCCTGGGCCAGAAGTCCAAATGCATCAGCTCATAAGAGATTCCACCTAAGGATCTAAACTGCTAGCTGACTGAGATCTGGAGACTCCCTTCCCATTCCCCCTGGCAACAGCAGCTGGAGCTGAGCTCTCTTTCCCAACTACCTAATTTTTGTGTGTCCTGGAAGGCTTAGAGTTGCAACCCCGGTCTGGAGGAAGAGGAAGATGGGTAATTAGGGCAGTAAGTGAGATCCTGCAGCTCCAGGAAGGACATGAGCACCAAGGGGAGGAGCATCTTACCCAGCCTGGGCAGAGAAGGGAGCAAAGAGGAGGGCAGGAAAGAGCAGAGACAGGCTCTGTTTCCACACTGGACACACACAGTCGTGATGGGTAGGTCAGTCCCTTTCCCTGGACTTTAGTTATCCCCAGAGGCGCATGAAGAGGTTTTAGTAGATCAACAGACTTTAAGCATTTTTTAAAGTATTGAGCCATCTCCCTACCACTGCCACAAATGAAAGCAGACCCAGACAGAAGCAGAGTTACCTGGGGGCAGGTGAGACTGGGAGCAGAGCCAATCACACCTCCACTCCCCACATGTGTTCCCCTCATGGAGCCCCAGGCCACCTCCCTGAGCTGCAGAGACCTAGGGAAACCCTTTGGAAAAGATGGCTCTGCCACTTGGCATTCTGAAACCACATTCCATCAGTCCCAACTGAGGCTCAAACCCAGATCCCAAAAACCCACAAGCACCCAGGCCCAAGCAGGTAACATGAGTGAGTGATGACCCCAGCCAGATAGACTCAGAAAAGCACCTTCAGTTGCAATCTTTCAACCTAGACACATTTGGTTTACATATTGAACTCTGACTATTCTTTATTTCCACCAAGAAATATGCACTCTCTTTTTTGTCTTGAAATAGGTGGCTTTCTTGGTCTATCTTTCAACTTTCTGCTTTTGATAGAGATGTGGACATCAAGAAATGGTTCGCTTTCCTCTTTGCTTTGTAGAAGAAAAATGGTGGTGCGAGGATGATGACAGACAGCAGCTGCCAGCAGCCTTAGGACAGGGAGGCAACAGGGAGTGGTGGGGACTGTGGTGAACTGGAACATGCAGGCTTTGTCTAAGGGGCAGCTACCACCCAGCACAGAAAGATACTATCAGTGTTATCATGTCTGCTATTTCCAGGAAAGCAGAAATCTAGGCTTGTTATGAGAAATCTCCTGATTTTTAAGTAGTGATTATTGTAACAGTCAGCTTGGGTTGCTATAACAGCTAGGTGATTTAAATAAACAAAAGAAACTGATTTTCTCTCCATTCTAGAGGTGAGAAGTCCAAGATCAAGGTGCCAGCACAGCAGGGTTGGTCTCTGGTGAGGCCTCTTTGTTTTGGTTTGCAGACGGTCACCTTCTCACTATGTCCTCATATGGTGGTGAGTTGAGGGGGAGAGAGAGAGAGAAAGAGCTTGAGAGTACAAGTTCTCTGGTGTCTCTTCTTATAAGGACACTAATCCCATCATGAGGACCGCACCCTCATAACTCATCTAAATCTAATTACCTCCCTAAATCCCCCTCTCCAAATACCATCACATTTCTGGTTGGGCCTTCCACATAGGAATTCAGAGGGACACAATTAGGTCCACAGCAATGATTATTTCCAACTTTTTTCCTAAACAAAACATTGTTTTGTTCCAGTAAAACATATCTATAGGTCCAGATTCATCACAGGGGCTACGAGTTTGAGACCTACTAAGTCTGGCCTGTGAAGCCAGTTCTCATGTAGACTATCTGTCTTCCTACCCCCAAACTGGCGAAATCAGTTTGAGCTGACAACTAGGAAAAGAGGTGAGTTGGGGTATTCTTCTTGGAAGCCTCCCACAAGCTCACTCTTGCTCTCTAGAGAAAATAGATGCGACGGATGAACGGAAACAAGAAAGCAGCTTGAGATTGGATGGACTTCAGAAACATGAAAAATGATGTTCTTGGAAAAGATGACATGCAATCAGCTTGAATAGGTTGAGAAAGGTTTAAACCAACACCCTGGAGCTTTATACCAGAAAACAAGAACTACCAAGTTCTCCCTCCACACAACAGTTTCAGGATCTATCTAAAACAAATCCAGTAGTGTTACCAGCACCCTGCTTAATCCTTCAATGGCTCCCCATTGCCCTCGGGGTAAAGTCCAAATGCAAATACTTTAACTTGATTTTAAGGCATTGCAGGAGTCGGCCCCTTATCCAGGTCCTCCCACACATGCCTCAGGTCCCAGTACCGTCCCTTTTCCTTCTCTCTCTTCAGGGGCGTTTTACACATTGTTCTCTCTACCTGTAACACTCTTCTTCTTCCCTTATCTTCCAACTTGTCTCTCTCCATAGGACTCAATGCAAATGTCACTTCCCACAGGAAGCCCTCCCTGATTACACCCCAGGTTGAATTTAGGATCCTATTCTCTGCACTCTCACTGTACCACCTTCTTATCTCTACCTTTGTCCAAGTCACCCTGGATTGTAATCGTCCATGTCCTTCACCATTTTCTCCACCAGGGGAGACAATATCCCCAGTACTCAGCACAGAGCAGACAGGCAAGGAATGTGTGCTGAAGTCAGGAAGGAAGGAGGAGGTCTGAAAAACGGAATGGACCACCATTCTACACTCTAGGGTATAGTTCTCCCTGGGAACCGAGGCCTCAGTGGCTGCTCAAGGTCCCTTCCGTCATTTGAATCTCAAAGAGTCGCAGTCAGTGACACTCAGAGGCAGGATTCCAACTCAGAGAGACTGAGTATCAATGACCACACAGCCACATGCAGGCAAAATGGTGATGAGAATTCAAATCAAAGCTCTGCTGTGTTGCCAGCTCTTCCTACTCCCCAGATCTCCCCTTCCCCATGGAGGAGTCAGGGAAACGTCCAGGTGACGGCGTGGTGGCAGTGATGGGGAGGACAGGCACAGAAGGTATTTTCTCCTCCAGGTCTTCGTGGGCATCGGCCCCATGAATTATTCATCAGGAAATCAGCTTGAGGTAGTGTCTTAGTCTTAATTTTCAATTCCCCTAATGCTGGCCGATTCTCTGCTGAAAACTTTTCAATTATTAATGTTTCTAAAACAATATTTGTTTTCTCGGCATCTAGCAACAAGCAGAGGCCTCATAGCTAGTGAACCCACTCTGAAATTCCCAGAGAAAGGTTCAACTTGCTGAGGAGGTGTTTCAAAGGGGTCACGGGTCTGTTCGGCTGCAGCAGCCAGACTGAGAACATCAGGTCCACACGGAGACAGGTACAGGGGTCCCCAGATCAGGAACCCCCAGGGAAGAAGAAACTATAATAATAGCAAAAGCAACTGCCATGTATACGTTCCATGCATGCAGTTTATTTTTCCCTATTATTTATTTCTTAAAAAACTTTGTGGGTAAGACATATATTCCCATTTTACAGATGAGAAAAGCGAGACTCAGCAAGGTGAGATCTTAGATCATGTTTCCACAGCTCACAGAGAAACCACCTTTACAAAAATTGTATTAGTGAGAAAGTTATGGCAGTGGGGGAGATCTGATGTTGTCAACCCCTTCATGCCTTTAGCCTTCAAGAGGCCAGACGTTTAGTTTATAGTTTAAGTGATACTAGCCATTCCCCAGAACTCGACTGTCTTTATAAAGCTAATGAGAGACCACCAGGTCAGGAGGTTAGAGAAACCTGAATTCTGTTAAGGTGTAGACATGAACGATTGCCAGCCATTATTCCGGACGTCACAAGATACACAACTTCCCCAATTATTCCTGCAGAAAACGTCGCTATCGCAGAACCTATGATTGGCCTTTTGGGATTTTTTTTTTTTTTTTCTGAGACAGAGTTTCGCTCTTGTTGCCCAGGCTGGGGTGCAAGGTGCAATCTCAGCTCACTGTAACCTCTGCCTCCCGGGTTCAAACGATTCTCCTGCCTCAGCCTCCCGAGTAGCTGGGATTACAGGCATGTGCCACCGTGCCAGGCTAATTTTGTATTTTTAGTAGAGACAGGGTTTCTCCATGTTGGTCAGGCTGGTCTCGAACTCCCAACCTCAAGTGATCAGCCCGCCTCGGTACGCTGCGACTCCCTAAGATTTCATCTCCATCCCAGCCAATCGGCAGTGGGCACCCACTGCATAGCCACCCCCACTTCTTCCCTCAAACTACCTCTGAAAAACCCCTAAACCAGGAACCTTCCAGGAGGTTGGTTTGAGTGATAACTCTGTCTCCCACGTGGTGTTGCTGGCCTCACATTAATTACACTCTTTCTCTACTGCAATGCTGTGAATTGATTTTGTTTGTGCAGAGGGCAGGAAGAACCCGTTGGGCGGTTACAATAGGTGAGAACAAGGCTTAGACTCATTTCCATTAATATATGACTCCAGGGCCAGTACATTCTCCACCTTGACCCAGTGGTGTTGCCTGAAATTTCAGTTGCATCATGAGAGAGGTAAAGTAGATACAAGAAATCACTTTCTGGAAACGTATTATTCTCAAAGGGCATTTGAAGCAAGGCATTGACTGAGGGGAGATATGAATGAGACAAAATTCTGGGGGTGAGGGTGGTGGACCTCAGAGAAGCCTAGAGCCCCTGGGAGTGACTATTCTCCTTTATTATGGGGGGAAGGGGTAGAAGACAATCCCCTTAAGCAGTGACAAACACTTCTTTGTGCCGCCTGTAACACCCAGCCCCAATCATAGACAGATGGTGGTGCTAGAGTCTGGCAGAATAAAACGACCCAGGCTTGTGAGTCAGACCATCCTGGCAAGGTGTCCCAGCTCAACCACCTCTGAGCCAGTCCCTTAAGCCCTCTGAGCCTCACTTTGCCATCTCTGTGAAATGGAGCAACACCAGCCCTGCCTCATCATCTGAGATAATGCCCGTGGCCAGCCTGGTACACAGTGAGAGGCCCACAAATGCCAGCCTGCCTTTCCCTTTGCTCAGCTGAGCCAGGGGCTGACATTTTCAGAAAAAGTCTTGCCAAAGCACAAGGAGAAGGGCAGAAAGGGAACAAACAGAGAAAATATTATTCTTTCTCAAGGCTGTTTCATTGCCACATAGTGGTGGCGGGTTTTCTACATTTTCTTTTTGCCTCATATATCCCAGACTTGGAACCAAAGAAGCCAGCAATCCAGAAACACCACCAGGCACAGACAAAAAAGCACCAACAAAAGCTGGTTCTTTCCAGCCAAAGGAATAGGAAAAGGACAACCGGGCAAGATTGCAAGGAATAAAATCCACTCAAAATATCTGGGACAAAAGTAGTAGCTTCCCGTGAGAACAGAGCATCTCAGGGGACATAGGCCCCGGGTCAGAACTGTTTCTGGTGGTGTCTCCATCCCTCTCTGAACTCCAATGCCTTACTTCCCTGCCCGTCCTGTGTCGGCTTCCGGCTCCTTTCTGCAAACTGGCGTTCCCTGCTTCTCCATGGGGCCACATGTGCACGGCAGGGCTCCCTGGGGTTCAAGTCTTTATTCAAGTGCTCAGGGGTCCGAACAGCATCATTCTGAAGTCTGATTGGCCCAGCTTACTGTCAGGGATGCCTCCTGGACCAATCAGACGGGCCGGGGGTGGGCTCACTGAGTATACAGGGCTCACTGGGTAAAGGTGGCTGCGGGGTCTATGTCCAGGGCAAGGGCAGTGCTTACGTGCAGTGGCTGGCCTCCAGGGTAACCCCCAATAACCCTGTCTCCAGGCGTTTGTGCCCTTATATGCCCCCCAGCCTTGCACGTAGGCTGGCCCAGGGATTCACTACTAATAAATAGAACATTGCAAAAGGGATGGGATGTCACTTCCAAGATGAGGTTAGAAAAGCCCCTGGCTTGCCTCATGCTGGCCTTCTCCTGTCTCTCTTGCTTTCTCTCCTGCTCACTTGAAGCCAGCTGCCATGTCAGGCGCTTTGCATTAAGAGTCCCACGTGGCCAGGAAACAATGTCTCAGGTCAACAGCCGCCTCTGGCTTGGGTCACTGGGCAGATGATGTAAGAAAGTCCAGAGGAGGGGTAGGGAGATCAGTGGACTCAGTCCTGGCCAGGTGGGGTAAGAACTGCCCAGAGGACCCCCAAGTGGAGATAGCAGAAACCATGGCACTCCTGATACCTTAAATTGGGTGCTCTGGAACAGATTCTGAGCCAGGGGGTTGGGTGAGGTTTATGGGGAATGTTGTCAGGAATGACTCCGCACAGAAGTGAGGAAGTCTGGGAGGGAGACGCTGGCCTGCAGTGTGACTGCACACGAGGCTGCTGTCAGTCCTGTGTTAAGTCCCAGAGTTGGACGGCAGTTCAGGGTTGCCCTGAATTGAGACTAAGGGCCCCAGCTTTTGTAGACCCACATCAGCCCAGGCTGCCTCCCAGAGTGGATACACCTGGGCAGAGCAGGTCCCTGTGGCCGAGGACAGTCTCCAGCTAGCAGTGCAGCTGATGGTCTGCAGCTTGTAGTCCCAGAAGCTCAGGAAGGTGGCCTGGAAGGAGCAATGCGGGTTAAGCCCCTGCCCTATTTCCAATCTGCATCCCATTCTGGCTCCCTGGAGGGCTGGGGGTGCTGTGAGGATCAGCCTGCAGCTCGACCCCTCACCTGCATTAGCCAGGCACCGAGATGATGGCGTGCTCTTTGCTCTCCCACTCTGCCCGCTGTGCCCACAGAGCGGCTCCTTCTAATGTATTTTTTATAAATAGAGCTGGGTTTTCCTTTGATGCAAACACCAGAAGCAATTAGAGTCACTTGTTACCACATTTTCTGTTCTGTGGCTGATCTCTGGAGCATCAGGACAAGTTGTCATCATCACCACCAGGGGCACAAGAACCCACCACCGGGGGCTCACAGGGCCGGGGGCTGCCTCCCAAGGGCTGGACAGGTTCTCTCCCCAGAGGCTCTCTCACACCCCGCAGCTGATTCACTAGCAAATCCTACTGGATGTCCCTTCAGAGTACATCTAGGATTCGATTTCTCACCACCTCCTTGACCACCTTGGTCCAAGCCTGCAGCATCTCTCACCTGACCATCACAGCTACCTCCTCAAATCTCCCTGCTTCTGCTCATCCTTGCCTCACTACAGCACAGCAGCCAGACTGATCCAGCAATCCCACAACTGGGTATCTACCCCAAAGGCGGAAAAACTCATTCTATGAAAAAGACACATGCACACGTATGTTTATTGCAGCACAACTCAAACTTGCAAAGACAGAGAACCAACCTAAGTGCCCACTGGCCAATGAGTGGATTTTTAAAATGTGGTACATACACACCATGGAATAATACTAGCCATAACGAGGAATGAAATCATGTCTTTTGCAGCAACTTGGATGGAGTTGGAGACCATTATTCTAAGTAACTTAAGAATGGAAAACCAAATACCGTTATGTTCTCACTTGTAAGTGGGAGCTAAGCTAGGAGTATGCAAAGGCCTACAGAGTGGTATAATGGAAACTGGAGACTCAGAAGGTGGAGGGTGGGAGGGGAGCAGGAAATAAAAACTATGTATTGGGTACAATGTACACTACTTGGGTGATGGGTGCACTAAAATCTCAGAATTCATCACTACATAATTCATCCATGTAACAAAAAACCTCTTGTACCCCAAAAGCTGTTGAAGTAAAAAGAATATTTAAGTAAGAAAACGAGCTGGGCGCACGGCTCACGCCTGTAATCCCAACGCTTTGGGACGCCGAGGCAGGCAGATCACCTGAGGTCAGGAGTTCGAGATCAGCCTGGCCAACATGACGAAACCCCATCTCTACTAAAAATACAAAAATTAGCTAGGTGAGGTGGTGGATGCCTGTAATCCCAGCTACTCAGGAGGCTGAGGCAGGAGAATCCCTTGAACCCAGGAGGTGGAGGTTGCAGTGAGCCAAGATGGCGCCAATGCACTCCAGCCTGGGCAACAAGAGCAATACTCCGTCTCAAAAAAAAAAAAACAAAAAACAAAAAACAAACCTAAGTCAGATGATGTATATCCTCTGCTCAAAATCATGCTGTGGCCCCCACCTCACTCTGAGAAAAACCCATACAAACCAATACCATGGCCTTTCTGGGCTCATTTCTGCTTCCCTTCCGCTCGCTCATTCTGCTCCCTTCACAATTGCCTCCTTCAAACTCAACAGGCACATTCCTGCCCCAGGACCTTTGCACTTGCTTTTCCTCCATCCTGGAGTATTTTTACAGCCCCACCTCCTGCAGACTGCCATTCTGATATCATCTCTTTAGCAAGGCTCTCCCTGACCACCTTATTTTATTTTTGAGATGAAGTCTCGCTCTGTCGCCCAGGCTGGGGTGCAGTGGCATGATCTTGGCTCACTGCAACGTCTGCCTCCCGGGTTCAAGTGACTCTTGTGCCTCAGCCTCCTGAGTAGTTGGGATTACAGGGATGTGCCACCATGCCCAGCTAATTTTTGTATTTTTAGTAGAGAGGGGTTTCACCATGTTGGCCAGGCTGGTCTCAAACTCCTGACCTCGGGTGATCCGCCCACTTCGGCCTCCCAAAGTGCTGGGATTACAGGCATGAGCCACCGCGCCCAGCCTTGACTGCCCTGTTTTGACTTGCAGACTCTCACCACCTCTCCCATCACTCTGCCCTGGTCCATTTCCTCCCTTCATGAGTTGATGCCTGACAGGTCACATATTTTCCTTGTTTATTTTATTCATTGTTTGTCTTTCCCTTTATCTTCATGGGGGCAGAGATTTTTGCCTTTTTTGTTCAGTAACTAGAATGCTACCTCGTGCTTAGTAGGAAAGTTCAATATTTATTGATTGCATGAATTTAAAAATGAATGACAGCCTGGGCATGATGGTTCACACCTGTAATCCCAGCACTTTGGGAGGCTGAGGTGGGCAGATCACCTAAGGGTTAGGAGTTCAAGACCAGCCTGGCCAATTTGGTGAAACCCCATCTCTACTAAAAATACAAAAATTAGCCAGGCATGGTGGTGGGTGCCTGTAATCCCAGCTACTTGGGAGGCTGAGGCAGGAGAACTTCTTGAATGCAGGAGGTGGAGGTTGCAGTGAGCTGGGATAGCACCGCTGCACTCCAGCCTGGGTGTGAATAAGACTCCATCTCAAACAAATAAAAATAAAAAATAATGAATAACAGCTCATGCTTGACCCATAACACTTTTCTCCTCACAACAGCCCTTACAGGTGGGTATTATTATCCCCATTTAACAGATGAGAAAACTGAGAATCCCGAAGGCTGGATGCCCTGGCCAAGGGCACACAGCTCACCAGTGGCCAAGGCAGAGTTCACATTAGGTTGGGTTTCCCCACGCCACCTCTTTCACTCGCACCTGCGGCTCCTTCCTCCAGGAAAGTTCTTCTCGTGGCTGGCTCCGTCTCCAGCTCAAAGTCAGCTCCTTGGAGAGGCTTCCCTGACCTCCCTGCTTCTCTGTTACTCTCACTGTGTCCCTTCATTTCCTTCACGACCCACTGGACATTCTGAAGTTACCTGCTGCCTGCCTGTCCAGGTGTAGGTGAAATGACAGAGGCTCAGGAAGGGTGCCATTTGGAGGACAGCGAGGTCCTTGAAGATGGCCTCAGGCTTCTGTCCACAATGCCTTCTCTAGGGGAACTCACAAATGCATAGAAAATCAACTAGCCAAATGACCAATTTACCAGGTAATTGATTCACTAAATATTTGTTTCTATTCTACTTAGGAAGTTTCAGCAATTTGTGTTGCAAATCGTTTTGGCAGGCTTTGAGGAATTTTTTTTTTTTTTTTGAAGTTTGGGTCTCATTGTAGCCAGAGGGAGGGGCCATCCCTGTGCCGCCTCCACGTGCCTGCCTTCTGCCTTCAAAACAACTGGGAATGTGCCCCCAAAGCCTCCTCTAACATGGCTGCTATGGCCACAGCCCTCAGGCAGAGCATCGGAAGGGAGGCCTCCTGACCAGCTTTTGGGTAGCTGGACCCATCACAAACACATGCTCCCAGCCAGGCCCAGGCCATTGCCATGCCAGACTGGGTCATTTCAAAGGCCACATAAACCAGAGAAGTTCAAGTGAGGGAAGTGAGGTATTTGCCTCGGATATGAAGTTTAGGGGGCACACACAAAACTCATGAGAAGTGTTTTAATGCAATATGTTTTAAATCAAAATTAATGCAAAAAATTCATGATATACAAAATGACAATTTTTTTTCGTTTTTTTATTTGTTTGTTTGTTTGTTTGTTTGTTTGTTTGTTTGAGACAGAGTTTCGCTCTTGTTACCCAGGCTGGAGTGCAATGGCACAATCTCGGCTCACCGCAACCTCCACCTCCCGGGTTCAAACGATTCTCCTGCCTCAGCCTCCCGAGTAGCTGGGATTACAGGCACGTACCACCATGCCTGGCTAATTTTGTATTTTTAGTAGAGATGAGGTTTCTCCATGTTAGTCAGGCTGGTCTCGAACTCCCAACCTCAGGTGATCCGCCCACTTCGGCCTCCCAAAGTGCTGGGATTACAGGTGTGAGCCACTGCGCCTGGCCGAAAATGTTTTAAATAGAGTCATGATCAGTAACAATGCTGTGACAAGCCATATTGGAGCATGAGGGAAAAGGAAAAATCAATAATCCTGTTTCTGTCTTTATTTAAAATGCATTTTGCTCACTCTGGATTTTTTTTTTTTGCATTAACTTGGATTTTTTTAATATTACATTGAAATTTTATTTATGAACTTACATACCCAGGAAAATATAGTAGACATGCTTTTTCCTATTCTTCCCATAAACACAACTAAAAACCCTGGCGATTATACATAAAATAATCATGAGATTCTGAAGGGTAGAGAGAAGAAGGTAGGGTGGCCAAGGACATTGGGACCCAAGGTACATAGTGGTGGGTTTTCTACATTTTCTTTTTGCCTCATATATCCTGGACTTGGAACTGAAGAAGCCAGCAATCCAGAAACACCACTAGGCAGAGACAAAAAATCACCAACAAAAGCTGGTTCTTTCCACCAAAGGAATAGGAAAAGGACAACCGGGCAAGGCAGAATCGTTTTAACAATAGCCACTGTCCTCCATCCAAACACCAGAGAACAGCACTATGTCCTTCCCCACTCATGTCAGCCAAGGGTGAGTGGGTTGACTACACCATCATCTCTACCAGGCTGTAATGAGGCACCCACCCTCTCCTAGGGTGATAGCAGAGGAGGTCAAATATGGAATTCATCCCCCCCAGGGTGGGAAACAGCCCCCATCACCTACAGCATCAATAGAAACTACATGGAGGCCAGGTGCAGTGGCTCACGGCTGTAATCCCAGCACTTAGAGAGGCTAAGGCAGGTGGATCACTTGAGGCCAGGAGTTCGAGACCAGTCTAGCCAACATGGTGAAACTCCATCTCTACAAAAAAAAATAATTAGCTAGGCATGGTGGCACACGCCTGTAATCCCAACTACTTGGGAGGCTGAGGCAAGAGAATCACTTGAACCTGGGGGGCCCAGAGGTTGCAGTGAGCTGAGATCATGTCACTGCACTCCAGCCTGGGTGATAGAGTGAGACCCTGCCTCAAAAAAAGAGAAACTACATGGAGAGCCTGGACTTCATCAGACAGTCATGAGGCACCTCCCACTATCTCAGAGTTAGAAATTTCACCACTGTCCTGTGATAATGAGGCCACCAAGCCCATGGTGTCATTGGAGACCAAGTATAGAACAAAGATGAGGCACTCCTCCCCTCCCAGCCAGGGAGGTATCAGTGGAGGCCTAGCAAGCGGCAGCCCCCTGACCTCCTGCCCAGCAGTAACAAGGAGCCCCTCCCCTCTTGAGTATCAACAGAGATCAAATGGGGAACCTAGCCTTCTACCCCACCTGGAAATAGTGAGGTGGTACCCTCCCATCCCCTACTGGAATAGGATCAGAGGAAGCCAGCCAAAACAGAAGATTCAAATAAGATACGGAGTCTCACAACATAATACAAAAATGTCCAGATTTCAATCAAAAATCACCTAGTATACCAAAATCTAGGAAGATCTCAACTTGAATGTAAAAAAGATAATCAGTAGATGACAACACTGAAATGACAGAGATATTAGAATTATCTACCAAGAAGCCCTGGCAAAAAACTAAAAGTCACTGAAAGATTTCAAGGCAGCCATCATAAAAACACTTCCCCAAGCAATTATACACTTGAAACAAATGAATAAATAGAAGTTCTCCAGAAAGAAAACAGTGTGGAGATTCCTTAAAGAACTCAAAGTAGAACTACCATTTGATCCAGCAATCCCACTACTGGGTGTCTACCCAGAGGAAAAGAAGTCATTATATGAAAAAGATACTTTCATACGCATGTTTATAGCTGCACAATTTGCAATTGCAAAAATTTGGAACCAAACCCAATGCCCATCAACCAACAAGTAGATAAAGAAACTGTGGTGTATATATATGCTGGGATACTGCTCAGCCATAAAAAGGAATGAACTAATGGCATTCGCAGGAACTGGGATCAGAGACTATTATTCTAAGTGAAGTAACTCAGGAATGGAAAACCAAACATCGTATGTTCTTGCTCATAAGTGGGAGCTAAGCTACAAAGATGCAAAGGCATAAGAATGACACAATGGACTTTGGGGACTCAGGGGGGAAACGGTGGGAAGGGGGTGAGGAATAAAAGACTACAAATTAGGTACAGTGTATACTACTCGGGTGATGGTTGCACCAACATCTCACAAATCACCAATAAAGAACTTACTCATGTAACCAAACACCACCTGTTCCCCAAAAACCTATGGAAATAAAAAATTTTTTAAAAAGTTCTCCACAAAGAAATGGAGTCTTCACAAAGATACAGAAAATATCAAAGACAACCCACTGCAAATGTTCGAACTGAAACATGCAATACGTGAAATTAAAGAACTCAATGGTTGGGCTCAACCACATAAAGGAGAGGACAGAGGAAAGAGTAAGTGAACTTGAAGACAGAATAATATAAACTACCTCATCTGAATATCAGAGAGAAAATTGACTTCTCAAAACTGGAGCAAAACTTCAAGGACCTCTGGGACTGCAGCAAAAAATCTAACATTAAAGTCACAGAAGAAAAGAAGAAAGAGGATGGGGCTGAAAAGTCACCCAAGGATATCAGGGTAGAAAACTTCCCAAATTTGGCAAAAAAACATAAACCTACAGAGTCAACAAGCTCAGCAAACTGCAAAGAGAATAGAACCAAAGAAATCCACACCAAGACACATCACAGTCCACTTCTGAAAACTAAAGGAAAAGAAAAAAAATTTATTTTTTGAGATAGAATCTTGCTCTGTCACCCAGGCTGGAGTGCAATGGTGTGATCTCAGCTCACTGCAACCTCCGCCTCCCAGGTTCAAGCGATTCTCCTGCCTCAACCTCTCTAGTAGCTGGAATTACAGACACACACCACCAAGCCCGGCTAACTTTTGTATTTTTAGTAAAGATGGGGTTTCACCATGTTGGCCAGGCTGGTCTTGAACTCCTGGCCTCAAGTGATCCGCCCACCTCCGCCTCCCATAGTGTTGGGATTACAGGCATGAGCCACTGTGCCTGGCCCTTTTTTTTTCTTTCTTTCTTTTTTTGAGACTGCCAAGAAAAATATATTGAAAGCAGTGAGAGAAACAAGATTTTGCCCATGGAGAAAAACAATTCAGGTGACCTTGGATTTCTCATCAAAAGCCATGAAACCCAGAAGGAAGTAGCCACAACATTTTTCTGGTGCTGTAAGAAAAGAACTGTCAATGCAAAATTCTATAGCAAAAATTCTACAGCAGAAATTATCCTTCAGGGTGAAGGAAAATCAAGACATTAGCAGGTGAAGGAATACTGAAATAATTTGCCATGAGCAGAGCCGCTTTGAAAGAATGGCTAAAGGAAGTTCCCTCAACAGAAAGAAACTCATAAAAGGAGGAAATCTGAAACAATGGGAAGAAAAAACAACAGAGAGTAAAAATATGAGTAGGTTCACAATGTTTTTCTTCTCCTCTTGAGTTTTCTAAATTATGAATAATGGCCAATTCAAAAATTATAATGCTATCTTATGTGTTTCTAATTGTACATAGAAGAAATATTTATGACAATTGTATTATAAAGTGCATGGCTGAAGGGACAAAAAGGGAGGAAAGTTTTCTGCATTTCACTTGAACTGGTGAAATGTTTACACCAGTAGATTGTTATAAATTAGGTGTATGTAATGTAATATCCAGACCAATTTCTAAAAAAGCCATACAAAGAGATACACTCAAAAACACTGTAGATAATTAAAATGGAAATCTAAAAATTGTTCAGGTAACCCAGAGGAAGGCAGGAAAAAGAAAACAGATAAATGAAAAACAGAGAGGACAAACGTGAAAAATAAAATGGCACACTTAAGCCCTAACATATAAATAGTCAAATTAAATATAAGTAGTCTAAATATGTCAATTAAAAGACAGAGACTGGCATAGAAACACAGCTATTTGCTCTCTACAGAAACTCTCATCAAATATAACAATGTAGGTAAGTTAAAAGTACAAGAATTGATCAATATGTATCCTGCGAATATTAACCAAAAAAGCAATATATCTTATACATTAATATTAGATAAGGTAGACTTCAGAGCAAAAATAATTACTAGAGACAGAAAAGAACACCACATAAATATTAAACGGTCAATTTACCAAGAAGACATAGCAATCCTAGATGTGTATAAAGCAAACGACAGAGCTATAAAATATGTGGAGCAAAAACTGCTAGAACTGAAAGGAGAAAGACAAATACACCATTCTAGTTGGAGATATTAGCACCTTCTCTCAACAATTGATAAAACAACTAGTCAGAAAAATCAGCAAAGGTTTAGAAGAACTCAACAATACCACTTATTGAGAAATCCACCAGTAGGATTTAATCGACATTTATAGAACACTCCATCCAACATCAGCAGAATATACATTCAAGTGTCCCCAAAATATATACCCGAATAGACTATATCTTATGCCATAAAACAAACTTCAATAAATTTAAACGAATTTAAACCATAGAGAGTGTGTTCTCTGATGACAGTGGAATCAAAGTAGAAATCAATAACAGAGAGAAAACAGTAAAATCTCCAAATATTTGGAAACTAAATAACACACTTCTAAAAAATCATAGGTCAAAGAGGAAGTCTCAAGGGAAATTTTAAAATGCATTGAACTCAACAAAAATGAAAATACAATATAATAAAATCAATGCACGCAGTTAAGCAATGTTGAAAGGGATAATTTTAGCACTAAATCCTTGCATGAGAAAGGAGGAAAATTCTCAAATAATAGTCCAAGCTACTATCTCAAAAACCTGGGGAAAAAAAGAGTAAAATAAAACTGAAGAAAGCGGAAGAAAGATGCAAATAGAAATCAATAAAATTGAAAGGAAAGCAATAGAGAAAATCAATTAAACAAAAGCTAGTATTTTGAAAAGATCAATAAAATTGACAAACTTCTAGGAAGACTGAGAAAAACAAAAAAAGACACAAGCCAGTCACAGTGGCTCATGCGTGTAATCCCAGCACTTTGGGATGCCAAGGCGGGCGGATAATCTGAGGTCAGGAGCTCAAGACCAGCCTGGCTAACATGGTGAAACCCCGTTTCAACTAAAAATACAAAAAAATTAGCTGGGCGTGGTGGTGCACACCTGTAATCTCAACTACTCAGGAGGCTAAGGCAGGAGAATTGCTTGAACCCGGGAGGCAAATGTTGCAGTGAGCCAATATTGCACCATTGCACTCCAGCTTGGGCAACAAGAGTGAAACTCCATCTCAAAAAAAAAAAAAAGGACACAAATTGCCAACATCAAAGGTGAAACAAAGAGTCACTGCAGACATTGCAGACATCAAAAGAATGATAATAAAGGAATACTATGAACAACTCTATATACACGAATTTAACCAATTTCTTAAAAAGTGCAGACTGTCACACCTCAAACAATGTGAAATAGGTAATTTGAATAACCCTTTAACTATTAATAAAATTGAATTTATAATTTAAAACCTTCCAAAAAAAGAAGTTTCCAGGCCCAGATGGTTTCACTGAAGAATTCTATCAAAAGTTTAAAGAAAATACATTTGAAAATACAATGAAATCTATATAATATCTTCCAGAAAATAGAAGAGAAGGGCACTTCCCAATTCATTTTATTAAGCTAATATTTCACTGTTACCAATATCAGACAAATACAGTACAACAAAAAGAAAACTACAGATCAATAACCCTCATAGATATGAGGGCAAAAATCTTCTTTAATAAAATATTAGCAAATAGAATTTAGCAATATATTTTTAAAAATACACTATGACTTAGTAGTTTACTCCAGGTATGTAAGGCTGACTTGACATTGGCAAATCAGTCAGTGAAATCCACCATATTAACAGGCTAACAATGAAAAAAGTCACATGGTCATATCAATTGATAGAGAAAAAGTATCTAGCAAAATCCAACATTCATTCATATTAGAAAAAAAAACTCTCATAGAACTAGAAGTAGAGAGGAACTTCCTCAAATTGATAAAGAACATGTACAATATACCTACAACTGCCATTATACATAATGGTGCAAGACCAAATACTGTCTCCCTAAGATTGGGAAAAAGTCAAGGATGTCTGCTCTCACCACTCTTATTCAACAGAGTACTGAAATGTATAGCAAGAGCAATTAAGCAAGAAAAGGAAATAAAAGGCATACAGATCAGAAAGAAAGAAATAAAACAGTCCCTATTTGCAGATAACATGATTTTGTTTACATATAGAAAATCCCAAGGAATCTCCAAAAAAAAGGAAGCTCCTAGAATAAGTAAGTTCAGCAAGTTTGCAGGATACAAGATAAATATACAAAAATCTTTTGCATTTCTGCATGCTAGTAATGAACACATGGACATTGAAATTAAAAATATAATACCATTTACAATTGCCTTCCCTTTGAAAAATGAAATACTTAAGGAAAAATCTAACAAAACACATATAGGACTTTTATACTGAAAACTACAAATCCCCTACCTCACTCTAGTCCTGGTTCTTGCATGAACTGCCCAAGGCTCTGTTTAAGATCTTGTGATTTGGGCAAATTGACCATTAGACAGATGAGTGATTTTTGGCTAATTGCTTTTGATAATTTGGCTGTGGATTAGTTGCTCCCAGTTGCTCAGAGGTAGGAGGGAAGAGGCTGGGTGTAAGTTAGAACTGAATATGACCCAGGCCTAAAAAACCATTTTAAGGAATCTGGCCACTCTCCTCAGGGCAATGGGCATGCATCATTTTGCTAGGGCTGCCATAACCAAGTACCACAGGCCGGGAAGCTTCAGCAACAGACATTTATTTTCTCACAGTTCTGGGGGCTGGAAGTCCAAGATCAAGGTGCCAGCAGGGTTGGTTTCTCCTGAGGCCTCTCTCCCTGGCTTGTAGATGACTGCCTTCTCCCTGTGCCCTCAGTGGTCTTCTCTCTGCTCATGTCTGTCCTAAATCTCTTCTTCTTATAAGGACACAAGTCATAGTGGATGAGGGCCCACCTCCAATGACCTCATTTAACTTTAATCACCTCCATAAAGACCATTCCTCCAAATACAGTCACAATCCAAGGTACTGGACATTAGGACTTCAATATATGAACTGGAAGCATGGGGCAGAGGTGGTTCACATTTGTGTTATTTGTTGTCCTCTGGCTTTGCTATGGAAACTGGTGGAAGGTAAGAGAGGAGGCAGGGAGACCCATTAGGAGGCTGTCACCATCTCCCAGATAGGAAGGTAGGGGTCCACACTGAGGCAGAGGCATTGCAGGTAGAGAAAAACCTACAAATTCAGGGGTGTCCTAGCTAGGGCTCCCCTAAAAGCAGACCACAGACAAGGACTTGGATGCACATAGCTCATTTGGGAGGTGATCTCAGGAAGCACAAGTGAAGACGCAGGGAAAGAGTGACAGGGAAGGGAGATGAGCCAATAAAGGGTGTACCATGGAGCAAGTTACTCCTGGGGGTCCCTGGAGCTCAATCCCACTGAGGAGCATCTAAGCAACCAAACAGAACTGCCCACTGGAGGACAGGGGGCATGAGGAATTTACCACCAACTCCCATCCCCCACTGGCTGAAGGGAGCCCCCAGGGGTGTGAGACCCGATGCATATCTGGGTTGCATGTGCACATAGCTGAATGACCTTGGAGATTTCAAAGCAGCACTGTCTAATAGAACTTTCTGTGATGATAGAAATGTTTTGTGTTGTTTGATATGATCCCCACTAGCCACATGTTTCTACTCAGCACTTGGAATGTGGCCGATGCCACTGGGGAACTCAATTTTTCATTTATATCTCACTTTCATTTGTTCTAATTTATATAATCATATGTGGTAGTGGCCACTATGTTGCATAGCACAGCTTTGGAGAAAGCAAAGCAGAGACCTTGCTGTGCACTTATGAAATAGAGTGCTAGCAGGGACAGGGAAGTGTCCACCATAGCCGTGCTAAATCTGGAGGGCCAAGGGGCTGGGGAGTGGGAGACTGGCACAAAGAGAGGGAGAATCAACATGACTTGGTGTTTCACTGGATATAGGGGTGAGTGTCTCCAGGTAAGGTGTGTTAGTCTGTTTTGCGCTGCTATAACAAAAATACCTGGGACGGGGCAATTTTTAAAGGACAGAAAGTTACTTTCTCACAGTTCTGGAGGCTGGAAAGTCCAAGATCACAGCACCAGCAGATTTGATATCTGGTGAGGGCCGCTCTCTGCTTCCAAGATGGCACCTTGACACTGCATCCTCCAGAGGAGAGGAATGCTGTGTCCTCGAATGGCAGAAAGTGAGAAGTAAAAGACTCCCTCCACCAAGCCCTTTTATAAGGGCACCTAATCCCATTCAAGAGGGCTCCACCCTCATGACTCGATCACCTCCAAAAGGCCCACTTCTTAATATGGTTACATTAGCAATTTAACATGAGTTTCAACATGAGTTTTGGAGGAGAACAAACTTTCAAACCATACCACAGGGGTGCTAGGAATGAGATGACCAAAGGTTATGCAGGCGATGTCTCCAGGGCTGAGCTAGCCAGCTCTAGGGGACACACTTTAGGCCCTGATGCCTGCTGTGAGAGAGGGTACATAGAAGCAATAAATAGACCCCTAATTGATCTTCCTGCAAGACTGAGCTGCCCGTCCAAATGGCAGAACAGCCAACTGTGTAGGAGGAGAGCTTAAGGGCAAAAATGTTAGTATATTTGAGATCTCTCCTTGATATTTCACAGTGCTTTAAAACTGAACATAATTAAAAGCAGCATTCTTTTAGAAAAACAAAACAAGGTCCCCACCTAAAGAAAGCAATTCAGATAGACGCATGTTGATGACAGACTTGGCAGCACCCTCGCAGTGCCTGCATGCTGACACATTATAATTTTTTCGATAGTTAGACATATTCTGTTGTTATTCAATCTGACTCCTTTGAAACTGTTGCCAATAGCCCAATTAAACAGTTAGCTAAATATATTAACGGCACATTGCTGTGTATTTGGCTCAAATGAGGCTTACAGGAAATGTATTTCCCAAACCACAAGGGTTCCAAATATGGAAATTGCTGTGGCTTGGCTCTCCTTGGCCACAGCCATTGGCCCCAGGCCAGCCATCCCTAAGAAAGAACCGCCAGCTAAACTGAGATCCGGAGCTTGAGCAAGGAGTTGGGAAACTTCCTCAGTTTTCCCAAGAGAAATAATCAGTGTTAGTGTCTGCTAAGGCTGCCCTAACACAATACTACAGATTGGGTAGCTTAAACAACAAAAATTTATTTTCTGTTTATTTATTTATTTGTTTGTTTGTTTGTTTGTTTATTATTTTTTTTTTTGAGACAGGGTCTCACTCTGTCACCCAGGCTGAAGTGCAGTGGTGTGATCTTGGCTCACTGCCACCTCCTCCTCCCAGGTTCAATCAACTATCCTGCCTCAGCCTCCTGAGTAGCTGGGATTACAGGCATCTGCCACCAAGCCCATCTAATTTTTGTATTTTACTAGAGATGGTATTTCACCGTGTTGCCCAGGCTGGTCTTGAACTCCTGACTTCAAGTGATCCACCTGCCTCAGCCTCCCAAAGTGCTAGGATTATGGCATGAACCACTGTGCCCAGCCAACAGAAATTTATTTTCTTAAAGTTGTGGAGATTGGAAGTCCAAGCTCAAGGTGCCAGAAGATTAGGTTTCTGGTGAGGGCTCTCTCCCTGGCTTGCAGATGGCCACCTTCTTGCTATGTCCTCACATGGCCTTTCCTCTGTGCGTGTGAGGAAAGAGAGAGAGCTCTTTGGTGTCTCCTCCTCTTCTTACAAGAACACCAGTCCTATCAGATTAAGAACCCACCCTTACGATCTCATTTAACTTTATCTCCTTAAACACTCTATGTCCAAAGACAGTCACATGGGGAGTTAGGACTTCAACATATGAACTGGGGGTGGAGGAAAACAATTCAGTCCATAACAGGATGGTTGAAGACAGATGGTTTAGAGAAGCCACTGATTGGAACAATCAAATGACCAAAAGGGACCTTGGTCACCTCTGCTGAGAAGGACATATCCCTGCAGGACTGGATAGTATGGTGGTCAGAAGCACCTCATGCTCATACAACTAAGGCTTACTGAGCACCTAGTCTATGCCAGACTTTGAGCCAGGTGCTGCAGCTACAGTGGTGAACAAGAGGTGCTTCCTGCTCTTGGAGTCTGGCATGTCTGGAAGAAAGTGCAGGATACTGTGAAGATATATCAGAGCATGCCCAGTCCTGACTTGGAGAGCCCTAGAATGCTTCTCCAAGGAAGCAACATTTAAGCTGATTATGGATTTGCCAGGTGAAGGAAGTAGGAATGGGAGCAGAGGAGTGTTCCAGACATTGAGGACAAAAATCTATGCAAAGACCTGGAATTAAGAGAGTGTGGCCCAGAAAGTTCAATGTGTCTGGGAAAAGCCCACTGCAGCACCACCTCCCACCCCCATAGAGCAGCTGCTACACATTGCTAAGATTTTCACCACCGAAAGGGTTGGGCTTTATTTTCTGAAATTCTCTCTTGGCCCTGGGAGGCTAAGACAACTTGGCGAACAGTGTCCTCTCATATCAGGGAGGCAAAGGGAATCTCACCAGGCAAAACCTTGCTAGTCTGAACCTGAAGATGTGGCTTCTTTTATTTATTTATTTATTTTATTCTGTTTTATTTTTTTAGAGACAAGGTCTCTATTGCTCGGACTGGAGTGCAGTAGTGTAATTATAGCTCACTGCAGTCCCAAACTCCTAGGCTCAAGCCTCTTGAGTAGCTGGGACTACAGACACTCACCACCACGCTCAGGTAATTTTTTTGTAGAGACGGGGGATCTTGCTATGTTGCCCAGGGTGGTCTCAAACTCCTGGCTTCAAGTGATCCTCCTGCCTTGGCCTCCCAAAGCACTGGGATCACAGGCATGAGCCACACACCTGGCCAGGGAGTTGGCTTCTTGAACCCCGTGGTGACTCCTAAATTACCTACCTGGAGACACCAAGTATGGCCAGGTGATTGGTTTTTACAAAGCCAGTTAAGAGACAGCACTTTTGACCTAACCACACCTTCAGGCAGCAACCCAGATCTCCAAGACACAGCCCCAGTCCGGAATTCCCTGTAGGGTAGTGAACAAAGACTGGGCACTAGAGCAAGAAAGACTAAGACGAGTCTCAGTTCTGCCTCTCTGGCAATGGGCCCTTGGAGAAGTTGCTTGCCTCTCTAAGCCTCAGTTTTCCCTCTACAAAATGGGAACTCATTTCACAGATATTTATGGACTGCCTACTGTGTGCTGGGCCAGGTGCAGGTCAGCAGGTGGTAAACTCAATACACATGGCCATTGCCCTCAGATCACTTTCAGTCTAGCAAGGGAAACAGACAACCCTCAAAGAGAAAATAATAAAATATGACCTGAACAATAAAGGAAGTGCGGCTGGGCATGGTGGCTCACGTCTGTAATCCCAGCACTTTGGGAAGCCGAGGCAGGTGGATCATTTGATGCCAGGAGTTCGAGACCAGCCTGGTCAACATGGTGAAACCCCGTCTCTACTAAAAATACAAAATTAGCTGGGCATGGTGGCGTGTGCCTATAATCTCAGCTACTCGGGAGGCTGAGGCATGAGAATCACCTGAACTCAGGAGGCGGAGGTTGCAGTGAGCCAAGATTGTGCCACTGCACTCCAGCCTGGGCGATAGAGTGAGACCATCTCAATAAATAAATAAGGAAGTGCACAGAGTGACAGGATGGCAAGAACTGGGGGGCTCTTGTATATAAAGTGTTGGGAAGGCTTCTCTGAGGAGGTGACATTTGAGCCAAGACCAGAAGAAGAAGAATAATGCTAACTCCCAGGGTGTTTGTAAGAACTGAATGAAATAATGTCCATAAGCACCAAGCAAGTGCCTGGCACATGGGAAGAACTCAAAAAATACTTGCTTTAAAGACTTGGAACCAACCCAAAGCCCATCAGTGATAGACTGAATAAAGAAAATGTGGCACGTATACACTATGGAATACTATGCAGCCATAAAAAAGAATGAGTTCATATCCTTTGCAAGGACGTGGATGAAGCAGGAAACCATCATTCTCAGCAAACTAACACAGGAACAGAAAACCAAAACACCACATTTTCTCACTCATAAGTGGGAGTTGAACAATGAGAATACATGGACACAGGGAGGGGAACATCACACATCAGGGCCTTTCAGCGGGTGGGGGGCAAGGGGAGGGAGAGCATTAGGACAAATACCTAATGCATTCGGGGCTTAAAACCTAGATGATGGGTTGATGGGTGCAGCAAATCACCATGGCACATGTATACCTATGTAACAAACCTGCATGTTTTGCACATGTATCCCAGAATTTAAAGTAAAATAAAATTTTTTAAAAAAATACTTGCTTTATCATCATCCACTAAAACCTAAGCTCCTCTAGGGTAAGGAGCAGGTATGTGTTGTTTGCCAAAATTATGCCTAACATGAAAAAAAAAAGGATTTACTAAATTAATTTACTTATAAAAGCAATGGTAATAATAGTAGTAATCAAAGTAATACTTGTTAGTAGTATTAGTCATTGGAGTAACAATAGTAGCAGCAGTGGTCATAGGAGTAGAAGTATCAGAAACTCCCATTACTACAGAGCCTCTTGGCAGGCTAGGGGTGCCATGTTGCAATGGAGAGAGTGTGGGATTTGGAATCAAATAGAGTCACTCTTGAATCCTGGCCCAGCTACCTACATTGTCCTGCAAAATAATGGAAACACATTTTACTCAGCCTCAGTTTCCTCATCTATATGAGACAGACAGTGACATGTATCTCACAGGGCTGCTGTGAGGACTGGGGAGGCATCTGTATGGCCACTCAGACAGAGTGAGACCACAGTACATGGTGGTTATTGAGAGGACAAGCATGCCACTTCAGCTAACTGAGCTCCAAGCACCTGACACTCAGCCACATTCTTTTGGGAGAGGCTAAGGGGGCCATATGCACACATGTGGCCGGGGCTTGCAGCTTCCACAGGCTTCTGCTCACCAGGCAGCTGGTACTTCCCTGGGTTAATGTAGCCCAGTTTGCTCCTCACTCTCAGACATCTCTGGTCCAGGAAATAGTCTCTCTAGAAAACGACTGAATTGAATTAAACTAGGCAAAAGTTCTCCATTGAAATTCCAGTGAGCAGAAAAAAGGTTTTCAACACATGTAACTGTCAAAAAATTCATACCAATCAACAAGAAATAGTAAAACAACCCAATGGGGCAATGGACCAAGTGTATAAACAGGCAACCCACACCCAACAAAGACTAAGGGCCAGCTAACATATGAAAAAAACATGGGAATAGGAATTAAAACAATGGCAAGACCTTTCAGGCCTATCAACTGGACGAACAGAGCAAGATTGAAAATGTCTGGGGCTGGCGAGTGCCTGAGGAAATGGGTACTTTCATGTACTGGAGTCTTGTTTGTTTATTTGTTTAAGGTTTTACCCTGTTAACCAAACTGGAGTGTGGTGGAGTGATCATGGCTCACTGCAGCCTCGACCTCCAGGGCTCAAGTGATTCTCCCACCTCATCCTCCCAAGTAACTGGGACTACAGGAACACACCATCATCCCAGCTAGTTTTTTAAATTTTTTATAGAGATGGGGTCTCACTATGTTGCCCAGGCTGCTCTTGAACTCCTGGACTTAAGCAATCCTCCCGCAAAGTGCTGGGATTGCAGGCATAAGCCACTGCACCCAGCCTTACTTTCATGTACTGTTAACATAAAATTGGTAGATGTGGGGAGGGCAATTTGACAGTGTCTGTTAAAATTTGAAATACAGCCAGGTGTGGTGAGGGTTGGGGAGGCATCTGTATGGCAACTCAGACAGAGTGAGACCACAGTACGTGGTGGTTATTGAGATGACAGGCATGCCACCCTAGCCAACTGAGCTCCAAGCACCTGACATTTAACCACCTTCTTTGGAGAGAGGCTAAGCCAGCCATATGCACACGTGTGGCCGGGGCTTGCAGCTTCCACAAGCTTCTGCTCATGGAATGAGCCCCGGCCATTTCTGACAGTGCCAGTCACTGGGCAAAAACTGGGGTTCAAGCTCAGGCCATCCAGAATCCCCAGGGTGATGAGTACGTGGTTCTTCAACAGGTTCATTTTATCCTTCATTTCGTTATCTGTTCATCTTTCAGGTGCACACCTCCTCTGTGCCAGGTTCTGTCCCGGACACAGAATGAATGAGCACCATCCTGTGGATTCAGAGTCACAGCCCAGTGGGGCAAGCATACCCAGAACCATATGACATGGGAGATGCTGGTGGAGAATAGACACAGGGCAACATTTTCAGAAGCAGGTACCAGGACTCACAGTCACACGAGCACTGCCTCACTCATGGGGACATGATCAGGAATGCAGAGGCTCTGAGGGAAGGGGTGTGGCCAGGGATGAGGTAATTACAGACAAGGGCATGGCTAGAAAACGGGATATGGGCCAGGCACAGTGGCTCACGCCTGTAATCCCAACCCTTTGGGAGGCTGAAGAGGGCAGATCACCTGAGGTCAGGAGTTCGAGACCAGCCTGCCCAACATGGAGAAACCCCATCTCTACTAAAAATACAAAGTTAGCTGGGTGTGGTGGCGCATGCCTATAATCCCAGCTAGTTGGGAGGCTGAGGCAGGAGAATCGCTTGAACCCAGAAGGAGGAGGTTGCAGTGAGCCGAGATCGCGCCATTGCACTCCAGCCTGGGCGACAAGAGCGAAACTCCATCTCAAAAAAATAAAAAAGAAAAGAAAACTGGGTATGGCCAGGGAAGGGAAGGCAATCAATAGGAACGTCATCAGGGCCATTCAGGAATATTTAGTCTCCCCTCCTTCTGGTCACATGCCAGGATTGCATTTCCTTTCATATTAGATGTGGCCACGTGATGTGCTCTAGCCATGATGTGTAGGTGGAAATGACATATGTCGCTTCTGCATGGAAACTTATGATGTCTCCAGATGGCAGAGGCTTTGTCCACCAGGGTCCCTGAGTGAGGAAGAATTGAACCAAGCCCCCAACAGACCTAGGAGGGACATGAAACACACCTGAGAGTGAAAACTTGGTGGTAATCAGCCACCACAACTAAGATGAGGGGCTGTTTGTTACTGTAGCATCACATGGTCTGGCCTGACTGATACAGTCAGGGAAGGTGATGAAACTGGAGTTGCACTTGGCCAGGGTGAGGAAGTACTGAGACTCAGCAGCTCCTTCTCCTCTCCTTTCCACCCCTCCACCCCTCCACCCCAAGCCTCACTCCTCAGATAGAGCTGCTGTCTGAGCCAGAGCCACATCCAGGCCCTTGACGCTAAGGAAGACAGACAGGAAAAGATGCCAGCTGTCTTCATCTTCATTCCAGAAATTTCACTTGATTTCCCTGGAAGGGGCCTTGGGAGCTCTCCCTCTCTTTCTCTTTATTACATTCTGAGGATTCCTCATTCCCTCTGTGGAGCCTGCGTTTATCCTGAACTCTATCAGCTCCACTGAGCAGCCATAAACCAGGAGCTGTCGAAAAGAGAATCTGCACAGAAGAAAGTCAAAACCAGGTTCTTGGGCACAGAAGGGGCCTCTGAGAATGGAGCCCCCACGATGATGCCAGTTCCTCCCAACCAGCAGGCTCTCCAGGAGCTCCAGACCCCCTAAGGCAGCTAACGGCAACAAACTCTGCCTCCCAGGATCTACACGGACCGTATTTCAGCAAATCTAAGATGCCATATTGATTGTAGGGTGCATCTTTGTGTACCACTAAGAAAGAAAAAACACTGCCAATTAAACCAAGACACGATGTTTTACTATCACTTAGAATTTTTATTTTGTAAGTATTGAAAGAATGCTCTTGGACTTGTTTAGACATAGATTTTTTATCATATATCCCTATTGTGCATATATAAAATGGGAAGTATTAGCAAAATAAATTGGTCGCAGTATCCTAAAACATCTTCACATTCAGAGTTCAGCTCTTGTGAATCTCTTTTCAACACAGAGGCATTGATGTTTGTGTTTTTCATGCAATAGCATCTTCCAGGACATCAAGAATGTAAGTGATGCAACATTTCTTAAAAGAATGTTCTACCATTGTCCCCGAGGTTTTATTTCAAGCAGACATTCATTCGTTCTTCAAGTTTCGATGTTGGCCCTTTATGTTTAAAGAAAATCTTGCCAAAAGATACGAGGCAAAGACAAAGCTCACACGACCAACAGGCCAACAACTGTTGTGAGGTGCCATTGATTATCAGACGAAACCTGATTTCAAAATGTTAAAATGCAGAAGGTGGGGAAAATGTGTGTCCCTGAATCTACAACCATCTTCCCTGATTCTGTTTTCAGTCTGTGGTCAGAGAGATCTGAGTTCAAATCCCAGCCGCACCAGTTCCCAGCTGTAGGATGTGTTAATTGAGGTAGGCTGAGATTTGCTGCAATCCCTCAATCTCAATGACTTCACAAGAGAAAAGTCCCTTTGGCGTCATGCAAATCTGCTGCAGATGTGGCCACGTAGCAATGCGAGGAACCACTTGGAACTTATGGTTCCAGGACCACAACACAGCCTCATCTACCACCACCAGGGCAAGAGAGAGAAAGACACTGGATAATTACAGAAAGTCTCTTCCTGCTTCAACCCGGAAGTGGCACCCATCACTTCCACCCACATTTCATTGGCTGGGCTAACCACATGGCCCTGCTTAACTGCAAGGGGCTGGAAAATGTACTTTCCTGGATACTCAGGAAGGAGGAAAGACCAAAATATTAATGCCAATAGTTAAATCTAGCATGGTAAATTTCAACCTTCCCTGAGCCTTCGTTTCTTGTAAAAAGGAGGGTTATAAATGTGTCTATGTCTGCTGGGCACAGTGGCTCAAACCTGTAATCCCAGAGCTTTGGGAGGCTGAAGCAGGAGGATCACTTAAGGCCAGGAGCTTGAGACCAGGTTGGACAACATAGCAAGACTCTGTCTCTACAAACAAAATTTTATAAAGGAGCCAGCTGTGGTGGTGCAAACCTGTAATCCCAGCTACTTGGGAAGCTGAGGCAAGAGGATGACTTGAGTCCATGAGTTCGAGGCTGCAGCGAGCTATGATTGCGCCCCTGCATTCTGGCCTAGGAGACACAGCAAAGACCACATCTAAATAAATAAATAAATAAAATGTTTAATGCCTATTTTATTGGCTGTCATGAAGGAGAGCGCATGAGTTCATTCAACACACTTTGCACTGTGCCTGGCATATGATAAGTGCCCAGTGAATACTGGCTGTATTCCTAAAATCACGTAGAACACCTTCATTCCTTCCCACCTGGAAATGACTATCCAGGACCCCACTTCTTCCCTGAGGCATCTCTGCTCTCAGGTGACACAGCCCAGCTGCCCCATCTGCTTCTCATGGCTTCCAGACCACTCCCCATTCAGTCATTCCATTCTCTCTCCAGAAGAGACCCTTGTGAGAACGGACCACCCGCCTCTTGCATCTCTGTATCTGACCAGCGTGAGTTCTGATCCCAGCTCCTCCAAACATTTGCTGTGTGACCTTTGCCAAGTTTACAGCCTTCGCTGGGCCTCAGCTTCCTCCTCTTTAAAACAGTCTCAGCAGAGCTCCTCACCTCCAACGTGCCTGAGGCCAGGAGGGTGTGTGATGAACTGGAGGAAGCTCACACAGTCTAAAGGGAAGCCATGCCTCGCTTAGCCAACTGGTGCCAGTTTTATATTACCAGAGTTTTGGGGTTTTGAAAAGAAGGTAAAAATCCCCAATTTTATGTGAAATCTGCCAGTTTTTAAATATCGACAACTACTTCTTTTTTTTTTTTTTTTTGAGACGGAGTCTCACTGTGTTGCCCAGGCTGGAGTGCAGTGGCATGATCTTGGCTCACTACAACCTCCGCCTCCTGGGTTCAAGTGATTCTCCTGCCTCAGCCTCCCAAGTAGCTGAGATTACAGGCAGCCACCACCACACCTGGCTAATTTTTGTATTTTTAGTAGAGACGGGGTTTCACCATGTTAGCCAGGCTGGTCTCGAACCCCTGACCTCAGGTGATCCACTGCCTCTGTCTCCCAAAGTGCTGGGATTACAGGTGTGAGCCACAGAGCCCGGCCACGGCGGCCCATTTTTAATTCTAAGTGTCTTAGTATAGGTTTAAGCAGGTTACATGGAAATAAGGAGATAAAGCAGCAGAATGTACTGAGCCACCACCCCTCTCTCCTTCCTGCTTTCTACTTTCACTCGGCAGCCAGGCGCCTATGGGTTGGAGCCCCCCCTTAACTCCCCCTCCCCAGTAAAGAATTTAGTTTAGGCTAGCTTGCAACATAAATAATTGTACCCTTTCTTATCAGCCAAGTGCAGCCACTAGGGCCATAAGTCAAATGTTTAAAGAGTCCTGAGATAGTCGCAATGCATTATGGGCTGCAATAAAAGGCAGCAGAAAGACCCTAAAGAACATACTTGAAACCTTAATACAACCACCAATAGGTGACGTCCGGGAAGATTGTAACCCCATAGTACTCAGCCAATGAGGAACTGGGGGAGGGACTTGAGCGCTAGGGAGTAAATAGCTTGTTAAAACCGTTCTGGGTGTGCCTGCATGCCAGACACCAATCTTGCAAGACCACCATTAAAGTCTCACTTCTGCTGTTCTCCATGTCCCTGAGTCCATTCTTTGGGTTTGGATGGGTAAGAATGTTTCTTACAGTCTTGAACTCCTGATCGCAAGTGATCCAACCACCTTGACCTCCCAAAGTGTGGGGATTACAGGCTCGAGCCACTGCACCTGGTCTACTTCTTGGGAAAAAATAATAATTATCCGCATGCCAAACAAAATGTTATCAGTGGGGGAAGTCTGACCAGTTTACAAGCTCTGGGTACACCCAGGAGAGGAGTACCACACCCAGAAAGTAGACTCACCCTGAAGAGCCACTGGAGCTGGTCCTGGGGGGCCCAGGCAGGAGGGAAAAGGGGTATTTGCTGGTGACCATATCACTGGTTTTATCAAAAGCAAGTCCTAGCAGCAAAACATCAGTGCATCCGCCTCTATCAGTGCCTCCTCTGGGCCAGGCTTGGGACACTCAGAGAAGAATCAGATCTAAGCCCTGTCCCTGGGGCACCCCCACACACAGGAGAAGATGGGGGCAAAACAGGCAACTGCAAGGGATTATGTGGGGGTGCACAAGGGGCACACTGATTGCCTGGGAACTGTGGCCAGGGAAGGGGCATTGGCCCAGAGTGCTACAGAGGGGTGGCCTCCAGGCATCTGTATAACACATCAGGCAGGCAGGTGGGGGACGGCATGTGCAGAGGAAGGCCTGGGGTGTGAGTGTGCTTGGTGCATTGCGGCAGGAGCACCGCAGGGATCCTGGAGTCCCCAAGACTCCTAGAGGAGCGGGAGGAGGGGAGATGTGCCAGTGGGCAGAGGGTGCGGTCAAGTCCCACTGCCTCTGTTCACCCCCATACCCCCATTCACCTGGCACTAGTTGGCCTCTATCAAAAACAACGTGAGCATCATTTCTCCACCCTGGCTGCCCATTAAAATAAAAAGCAAACGCCAGGCGCAGTGGCTCAGGCCTGTAATCCCAGCACTTTGGGAGGCCAAGGCAGGCGGATCACTAGAGGTCAGGAGTTCGGGACCAGCCTGGCCAACACGGTGAAACCCCCATCTCTACAAAACTGCGAAAATTAGCTGGGGTGGTGGCAGGCAGCTACTCAGGAGGCTGAGGCAGGAGAATTAATTGCTTGAACCCGGGAGGTAGAGGTTGCTGTGAGCCAAGATGGAGCCACTGCCCTCCATCCTGGCGACACAGGGAGACTCTGTCTCAAAAATAAAATAAATAAAATAAAATATAAAATAATAAAATAAAATAGTGTCTGGGACCCACCAGAAGTTCTGGTTACCGGTATGTCTTAAAGGCTCCCGGGTGATTCTAAGGCGCAGCCAGATTAGAGAAGTAAGGGCCTGGACGTGCCCCTCCTGGCACAGCCCTGGGCTCTCACTGGTGCGGAGCCTGTGCAAGGCTCTTCTGCGACTGTCCGGTTCGATCCTGCCCGCGGCTCTGTGAGGCTGGCCAGGCGTCCTCCCCTCCCAGGTGCAGAAACAGCCATGCAGGCCAGGTAACCACGTACCCAGAGACTGAAGTTAAATCTGACTCCAGAATCCAGAAGAAAGGAAGAGAAAGGGAGGAAAGAGGGATGGAGGAAAGGAAGGGAGGAAAGAGTGGGGGAAGAAAAGAAGAGGGAAGGAAGGGAGGAAGGGAGGGAGGAAAAAAGGGCAGGAGGGAGGGAGGAAGGGAGGGGGAGGGAGGGAAAGAGAGAGGGAGGAAGGGAAGGAGGAAAAGAGAGGGAGAATGAAAGGGAAAGAAGGGAAGAAAGGAGGGAGGGAGGGAGGAAAGGAGAGAGAGTAAGGAAGGGAAAGAGGGAAAAGGGAAGAAGGCAGGGAGGAAGGAAAGGAAGGAGGGGAAGTTGGAGGGATAGATAGATGATGGGTGGATGGACGGAAGAATGGATGAGTGGTGGGTGGGTGGGTGAAAGGATACGAGGGAGGAATGAATGAATGAAGAGGAGGAAGGGAAGAAAAGAAGATAGGGAAAGGAGGAGAAGGGAGAAAAAGTGATATGTGGGGGTTGGAGAAACGAAGGCGGAAAGGACGGATGAATTAATGAATTAGGGATAGATGAAAGAGGGGAGGAGCAAGGAGAGCGGGCTGCTGCCTCGGCGACCTCTGGTCCCCGGGGTCCCGTGAGCAGCCAGGGCGGAGGTCAGGGAAGGCGGGTCTGGGGTACGAGACCAGGAGCTGTGCGGTCTCCGACGGGACTTGGCCTCCGCGGGGCCCTGCTGCCCCCCAGCGGCGATGCGCGGCACTGCAGAGGCGGCGGCGGGACCGGGGGCGGCCGCCCCTCCTTCCCCGGGCTCCGGGAGCCGCCCGCGCGTTCCCTTAGCAGCCGCCCCACCCGCCGCTCCCCGCTCCCGCCCCGCCGCGCCCGCTGCAAACTTTGGCCTCTGCAGCCCCGGCATCCGCTGGACGGAAGAGAGAGAGAGGAGCTCCTCCCGTAGCTTTCTCCCGAAAACGTTTTCTCTTCCCTACTCTCTGAAAAAGGATAACGAGGTGGGGGAGGGGAAGGAAATAGTTTAAGTTAATTTAAATTGTGTCTGCCGTGGGCAACTCTCCAAGAAAGGGCTTTCCTTTTTTTTTTTTTTTTTTTTTTTTTTTAAGAGGCACGTTCGAAGCACTCAGAGAAGCTCTTTGCTGCAGCCCAGCGGCCACGGATAGAGCCTGGGAAGTGGAGAAGGAGCTGCTCCGAGAGGGTCCCAGGGAGCAGGGGGACCCCAGGCGTGGCCCTGGCCCTTGGGATCTCTGGGACCAGGCCTGGACCCTCGAAAGGGCGCGGCTGATCCTGCCTAGGGGCTTGCTCTTGGCCGCCACTTCTCCTAGGCGGACTCCTCTAATCCAGCCGGAGCCATGAGGTCGTACTATTTATCCCCACTTTGCAGCTGGGCCCAGAGAAATCAAGCGCGCACAGCTAGGAAGTGGCAGTGCCCCGGTTTGAAGGCACCAAGGCCCATCCTGAGCCCTCAGGCTCGGGACTCCACCATACAGCTCAAAGTGGATGCTAGGATCTTCCCATCCTACAAGAAAAGATGCTGGGAGCTCCAGAGGTTTGCTCAACGCCACCTGCCTACAGTCTGCTGCCCAGACCCTCCAGACCAGCCTTACATCAGGAAACTCCCATGAGCTCCGGGAGCTGACCTCAAACAGCTGCCAGACCCGGGGGTGTGTGGGGAGCCAACCTCCAAAGTGGCCAGAGGCTGCAGTCCCTGCCAGCATCCCTGGTGACCTCAGCTGTGGGCAGGGAGCTCAGGGAGGGGGTCAGGAAAGACAGGGAGGGGGCGAGGGAGGGGGTCGGGGAGGCTCAGAGGCAGAGCCCACACAGTCCCTGCCACCTATCTCCTGCCTCTCTCCTCCATGTCAGGAGGGACAGTGCTGACTTGTGGGGCTTCATTTCACCCAACAACTCACTGGTACATTCAATTAATATTTACGGAGTGTCTGCTGGATGCCAGGAGCTATGTTAGACAGTGAGGAGATCGTGGTAAATATGGTACTTAGTGCTGAAGACAGGCGATACAAAAGTCAACCAACAAATGCACACGATGATCTGAATATTAATAAGTACTAAGAAATAAATACAACAAGGTGATACACTAAAAAGTGATGGGTTGGGGGCCGGGTGTGGTGGCTCACGCCTCTAATCCCAGCACTTTGGGAGGCTGAGGTGGGCGAATCACTTGAGGTCAGGAGTCCGAGACCAGCCTGGCCAACATGGTGAAACCGCATCTCTACTAAAAATACAAAAATTAGCCGGGCCTGGTGGTGGGCGCCTGTAATCCCAGCTACTTGGGAGGCTGAGGCAGGAGAATCCCTTGAACCAGGGAGGCGGAGGATGCAGTGAGCCGAGATCGTGCCACTGTACTTCAGCCTGGGCGACAGAGCGAAACTCCGTCTCAAAAAAAAAAAAAAAAAAAGTGACGGGTTGGGGGTCACCATTATCATGGCTCTTATTTGAACTCATCTTTACAATTGCACTTAACTACATGGGGGTGTATGTGCCATGTCCCTGCATCTGTCTCCTGCACCAGGTATGACAGCTCGAAGGCAGAGTTTGTCCTGCCATCCCTGCGCCCCCACCCGCAGGACCTGGCCCTGCAGCATCTCAGGGAAGGCAGCAGAGTTGATCTGGTGCTTGTGAGTTAACAGAGCCCAGAGATGGCTGAGAAGCCTCCCTCAAGGAGCTTGAACTTGACACCGATTTCGGGAAGGGAGATCACAGTGATAGCCAAAGTACTCTGAGCCCTTGCTCTGCAGGCATTTGTATCCCTTATCTCCATCAATCTCCACAGCAGGCCTTTGATGTAGATACCATTTCTAACCCATTCTACAAATGTGGAAATCAAGGTCACAGCTCTATTAAAGGGGAACCAAGATTTAAACAGACAGCCTGGTTTCAGCACCCCCTGCCCTCTACAGTCTGCTGCCGGGTGGATGCTACGCTGAGGGGAAAATGTTTTAGGGAAGAGAGAGGGGGTGGGTCTGTTACCTTGAGCAAGTCACTTCCCCTCACAGAGCCTCCATTTCCTCAGGCCTGCAAAACAGGGATGAAGCGGGGTTCCTGCCTTGGCTGGATTGTTCATTTGGGGGATTGAATGAGACAATGCAAGTAACTTGCCTGCCCAGCAAGAAACCTGGATCATTGAACCAAAGGATGGATGGATGAATGAATGAATGAATGAATGAATGTCATAAATGTTAGTCCCCTTCCTTGTCCCCCAATTCTTTAACAGTAAAAAAAAGAAAGAAAAGTCTGCTAGGCTCCTGCTCTGCTCACTTTCTTGCATGCCACAAATGCTCATGTATTTCCTCCAGCTAGTCCCAAATGATGTGCACGTGATGGTGCACTTACATCCCGTCTCTAGAGCAGAGCTCCTGGGGCAGTAAAGCTCCAGTTCCAGGCTGATGTCTAATGCAAGATATCTCACCTGAGTCCTACACAGGGCTTCCTTGAATCAGACAGACCCAGGTCCAAATCCTCACGTGCACAGATGTGCTGTGTGACCTTGGGCAGATGGCTTAACTTCTCTGATGCCAGACTCCTTCAGCTGTAAGGAGGACATCTGCCACATAGGTTCTCCTAAGGACTTCATCTAAGCCCCCTTTCCCTGTGAAGTGGTGAGGGTAGGCAAAGGGAGCAAATCCAGAGGGTAAAGTCATATGCACTTTGCTGTGAGCTTCCTGAGCTTCAAGAGAGGCTGAGATTAAGCCATCCATTATTTTTCTTCCTTTTTTGTGTGTGCATCTTTTTTTTTTTTTTTCTTTTTTTGAGAGGGAGTTTTGCTCTTGTCGCCCAGGCTGGAGTGCAGTGGTGCAATCTTGGCTCACTACAACCTCTGCCTCCCGGGTTCAAGTGATTCTCCTGCCTCCGCCTCCCAAGTACCTCGGATTACAGGCACTTGCCACCATGCCCGGCTAATTTTTGTATTTTTAGCAGAGATAGGGTTTCACCGTGTTGGCCAGGCTGGTCTCGAACTCCTGACCTCAGGTGATCCACCTGCCTCCGCCTCCCAAAGTGCTGGGATTACAGGAGAGATCCACTGCGCCTGGTCCCTCGTGCTTCTTTATCACATGACCTGACTCCCTTGCACCCAATCCACCACCACCTGTCAGTTTCACCTCAGATATCAACACAAGGCCCTGCTCTCTTCTCCAGCCTTGCTGCTTCCTCCGGGCCCAAGCTCCCATCACCACCAACCCGAATAGCTCCGGCAGCCTCCACTGCCACGCACCTCCCCACCCTCCAGACAGCAGCCTGAGAGGGTAAGACAATCCAGATCAGATCCCACCCCGGCTTAAACCCAGCCATGGCTTCTCATTGACCTCAGAATAAAATGCACGCTGCCTGTTCTGACTGTGCTGCAGTTTCCGTTTGTCCTCGGGCTTCCTCTCCAGCCTTCTGCACCCGGCCCAGTACTCAGACCTGACCTGTGTCTGGAGGCTGACCTGCAGAGGCTGCATCAACCTTTGCTCTCTGCCATCTGGCTCCTGATTGACTTCAACCAATAGGAGTAAGAGGTGAAGCAGGAGGTCAGCGAGCAGGAGGAGAGAGAGGTGGGGTATTACTCCCCGGCTTCCTCTCTGCTTGGCCATGGGTGACAGCAGCTGGGTCCCTTGGGTGAGAGCTGTGGGCCACCTCCTACAGCTACCGCTCTGGCTGGGTTCCCCTAACTAACAGGGCCTTCCTGGCCCATTTAGGACTGAAGATGGTAACAAGTGCCCCACTGCTGCTGGTCCCAAAGTCCTTTGTTACCTCTTTTCAGTTTCTCTCAACCTGATCCACACCTCCATAAAGAGGGAGGCTGAGGCAAGAGGATCACCTGAGCCTAGGAGGTCGAGGCTGCAGTGAGCCGTGATCGCACCACTGCACTCCAGCCTGGGCAACAGAGTGAGACCCTGTCTCAAAAAAAACAAAAAGAGTCCTTTCATTCTTTCACTAAACTTTCACCAATGACCCCACCCCTTGAGTGTGCTGTCTGTATCCTGCCTGCACGGTAACTGGCAATAAGACCCTCATGCTCTAGCCCCTGCCCAGCTCCCAACCCCCTCACACAACTCTTCCAGCTCCTTTGCTATGCTCTGGCCATACCTGGCTCCTTTCTGTCCCTCAGCTGCACCAAGCCTGTGGCCTCGTTAGTGCCACATATTTTCTGTTCCATCTACCTTGGGACACTGTTCCCAGATCTTTATGCAGCTGGTCTCAGCCCAAATGTCACTCTTCAGGGAGGCTTTCCCTGACCACCTGTCACACACACTCATCCATATCCTTCACTTGACTGATAACCAATCCAGAATTAACCTCTTCAGTTCTTTGTGGGTTTGTTTCTGTTTATACCTATAGCAATGTTGATTCTGGCCAAGCATCATGGTGGCTCACATCTATAATCCCAGTGCTTCGGGAGGCTTAGGCAGAAGGATTGCTTGAGCCCAGGAGTTTGAGACCAGTCTGGGCAATATAGCACAACCCCATCTCTACAACAATACAAAAAAAAAAAAAAAAGATTAGCCAGGCATGGTGGTGTGTGCCTGTAGTCCCAGCTGCATGGGAGGTTGAGGTGGGAGGATTGTTTGAGCCCAGGAGCTGGAGGCTACAGTGAGCTATGATCTCACCACTGTATTCCCAGCCTGGGTAACAGAGTGAGATCTTGTCTTTTGAAAAAAAAAGAGTTACTTACACAAGGGCAGTCTTTTTTTCCACTAGTCTTTTTGTTCACTGCTGTAGTCCTGGCAGTAGTGAACATAAGGGGTCTTGATAAATATTTGTGGAATTAAAAAAAGCTTTATGTTCACTCTGGAGAGAGTGAGGACACTCACTCTGGAACCCCTGAAGGCAGAGGGTGCCCTGGGGTCTCTTTTCCAGGTTATGATCAGGCCTTTCTTGCCTCAAATCTCTCCACATCACCTCTCAGGGTCCACAAATTCTCGCACTTCAGTAACATCCCCAGTTGTGCTTCCTGAGAAGTAGCTGGGTGCTGATGAAAGAGCTTTGGCACAGGGCTCAGACACACCTGGGTTTCACTCCTGGCTCTGCTATGCCCATTGCCTCTCTGGCCCTCAGTTCCGCCATCTATTAAAAAGGAAACCCAAATGGAACCCAACATACTGGGGTCGTGGAAAGGAGCAATGAGACCCAGGCACGTAAGGCAGCCAGCACTGCCCTGCCCCATGCCAGGGATTTGAAGAGCAGCAAAGAGAATGAGATGCTGAAGGGTCCCTGGGAAAGGGTCCCGGGTCTTCCCCACCCAGGCTGAAGCCCAATCAGGAGAGGAAGGTGGACCTGTGAAGGTAGGGGCGGTGCCTAGACTAATGTAGCTGGGAGAGGCTTCCAGAGCTCTCCATGCACAAGCTGGTGTGGAGCAGTGCAGGAGTCCCAGGCGTGTAAGAGCAATGTGGACGTGGTGAAGGACTCAGGAGGGTTCAGAAAAATTCAGTAATTGTCTGGGCGTGGTGGTTCATGCCTGTAATCCCAACATTTTGGGAGGCTGAGGCAGGTGGATCACCTGAGGTCAGGAGTTTGAGACCAGCCTGGCTAATGTGGTGAAACCCCCTCTCCACTAAAAAGACAAAAATTAGCTGGGCATGGTGGCGCATCCCTGTAATCCCGGCTATTCAGGAGGCTGCGGCAGGAGAATCACTTGAACCTGGGAGGTGGAGGTTGCAGTGAGCCGAGATGATGCCACTGCACTCCAGCCTAGGCGATAGAGTGAGACTCCGCCTCAAAAAAAACAAGAAAAAAAAAAAGGAAGAAAAGAAAAAGAAAAGGAAAGAAAAGCTCAGTAACTTCCCAGTGCATCTCATTGAACTTAGCATGGGCACCCACCTGATCTCAATGCACCCAGGAGTTGGCATTCGAGGGCAGCAAGGAGCATCCCTCAGACTTGGATGCAGTTATACACAGCGCCACAGCAGCACGCATGGCCTGACGTCAAAGACTGGCTGAGAATCTCAGAAAATCATGGATGTCCCCTCCCCAACACCCTGACCTCCGCCCCTGCCGAACTTAGGGGTAACCCCAAGGAATGTAAGGAAACCTAAATTGATTGGAAGAATGGACACAAATTAAACATGGTTATGAACTTTGTTAGTCCATTTTGCATTGCTGTAAAGGAATACCTGAGGCTGGGTAATTTATTAAAAGAAAGGAGGTTTATTTGGCTCAAGGTTCTGCAGGCTGTGCAAGCATGGTGCCAGCATCTGCTCAGTTTCTGGTGAGGCCTCAGGAAGCTTTTAATCATGGCAGAGAGGAAGAGGAGCCAACGTGTCACATGATGAGAGGGAGCAAGAGAGACATGGGAGGTCCTAGACTCTATTCTTCCTTTAATTTTTCAACTTTTGTGGGTACATAGTAGTGTATATATTTATGGGGTACATGAGAGATTTTGATACAGGCAGGCAATGCATAATAATCCTATCAAGGTAAACGGGGGATCCATCATTGGAAGCATTTATCCTTTGTGTTACAAACAAGCCAATTACACTCTTTTAGTTATTTATAAATGTGTAATTAAATTATTATTGACCATAGTCACACTGTTGTGCTATCAAATCTATCAAATACTAGGTCTAATTCTCCTTTTTTTTTTTTTTTTTTTTTTTTTTTGAGATGAAGTCTCGCTCTGTTGCCCAGGCTGGAATGCAGTGGCATGACCTCAGCTCACTACAACCTCCTCCTCCCAGGTTCAAGTGATTCTCCTGCATCAGCCTCCTGAGTAGCTGGAGCTACAGGCACCCACCACCACACCTGGCTAATTTTTGTATTTTTAGTGGAGATGGGGTTTCACTATGTTGGCAAGGCTGGTCTTGAATTCCTGACCTCAAGTGATCCACCCGCCTTGGCCTCCCAAAGTGCTGGGATTACAGCCATGAGCCACTGCACCTGGCCCTTATTCATTCTTTCTAACTATTTTTGTACTCATTAGCCTTCCCAACTCCTCCCCGCCACCAACCGGCACCCCCCACTACCCTTCGCAGCCTCTGGTCACCATCTTTCCCAGGCTCTAAATTTTTAACGGCCAGATCTCACATGAATAGAATGAGAACTCACTCATTACCACCAGGAGGGCACCAAGACATTCATGAGGGATCTGCCCCCATTTCCCACTAGGCACCACCTTTAACATTGGGAATCACATTTCAACATGAGATTTGGAGGAGACAAACATCCCAACCATAGTGTGAAGTGAATGAATAAAGAGAGTGATATTTCCCATGCACCTGAGATGTGGACTGACATTTCTACCACATGGTACGTTGCCAGAATCCTCCATTGGGTGTGTGTGTGTCTTGCGACTTGAATGAGCCTGAGAAGCCTTGAGACTTCTTCCTGGGCCTCGGAAGGGCTGTCCTTATCAGGGACAGCTATTCTGCAAGAACTCTGCATGGGGAAGAGTAGAAATGACTGGGGGTGTAAATGTTGTCTGATTAATCACAAGAGAAAGTGCCTCTTAGATGGAGCTGCCCAGTGATGGAAAGGACTACCATGAAAGGAAGCGAGTTTCCTATTCCTGCAGGTATGCAAGTGACACTGTCAGAGGTGTGGAGAAGTAACTCCTACCTGTGGAGTTTGCCTGACTAAAATAACACTGAGGCCCCTCTGAAGCTTTATAGGCTCTGAGTCTTCCAGCAGAGCCCAGAGTGATGTTGGGTAATCAGAGACGGAATTAGCTGAATGCATGGGGAGGGGAGGAGGAAGAGAGAAGGAAGAAGAATAGGAAACAGTAAGGGAGGAGAGTAGGAGAAAGGAAATAAGGGTCCCAACTGAGAAGGCCCAACATTAGTCAAAAGTTTTTCAAAGAAAGGCCGGGCGTGGTGGTTCACGCCTGTAATCTCAGCACTTTGGGAAGCTGAGGCGGGCAAATCACTTGAGGTCAGGAGTTCGAGACCAGCATGGTCAACATGGCAAAACTCCATTTCTACCAAAAATACAAAAGTTAGGCGGGCATGGTGGCGTGCACCTGTAATCCCAGCTACTTGAGAGGCTGAGGCAGGAGAATTGCTTGAACCCAGAGGGCAGAGGTTGCAGTGAGCTGAGATAGCACCACTGCACTCCAGCCTGGGCAAGAGAATGAGACTCCATTTCAAAAAAAAAAAAAAAAAAAAAAGTTTTTCAAAGATAATATTTCCCAAGTGGGGGCCACATGTTCACAACAGTCAGAATAGCTTAAACCAAGCTTGTCCAGCCTGCAGCCTGCAGGCCACATGCAGCCCAGAATGGCTTTGAATGTGGCCCAACACAAATTCAAAAACTTTCATAAAACATTATGAGATTTATGCATGGCGCTTTTTTTTTTTTTTTAGCTTATCAGCCATCATTAGTGTTAGTGTATTTTATGTGTGGCCCAAGACAGTTCTTCCAATGTGGCCCAGGGAAGCCAAAAGATTGGGTGCCCCTGGACTATGCTGCAGTAACAAATTAACCTGAAATCTCAGTGCTTTGGCACAGTAAATGTATTTCTCACTCATGTAGAGTCCAGGTGTCCCTATGGCTGTGATATCTGGAATGCAAGGAGGAGGATGGAATGCAAAAGGGAGCTGGAAAAAGCCCACTAGCATTACACTGCCACAGCCCAGCAGTGAAACGGCACTTCACTGCCACAGCCCAATAGTAGCACTCACCAGCCAGTGCCCAGAAGAAGTCACATGATCCCAACCATCTGCAAAGGAAGTTGAGAAACTTAGAGAAGACGGTGGATATTTTGAGAGCAATAATTTTCTCTACCACAGACACAGACCCATAATGGAACACAATTTTAGATGGTAAATACGATAATTTTTGGTGAAAATAAATAAAGCGTTAAAAAACATTGAGCTGCGTAATGAGAAAATTCTTCCCAGATCAATTATCTCAAAAGCCTCATAATTATGAGAAAGTCTCAGCTTGGTGATAATATGTCTTTAACACCTCCCTAAAAGTCTAACACTGCTAGTCTTTATCAATATATAAAGCACTGACCTCAGATTTAGAGCCTTCAAGAGAAAAGAGAATATTCTACTTAAGCTTACAAAACACTGGTGTGTTCCCATCATATTCATTTTCATGATTACCTCCTATTTACGGAAAATGATGCCAATTTTCCATGTAGGGTGACAAAGTAAAGTTTCCTTTTAAATAAATTTATTTTTTAAAATTGACTCTCTTTAAAGAAGACTATTAAGTTAGTAGTAGTATAGGTGGTACCCGAATATGGCAAAAAAGCATTAATGATGCAGTGTGAGTTATTGAAGTTTGTAAAATTCTGTTCCACCTCCAATTCAGCAGTGCATATATTGGATTTTTTATGTGTTTGTTTAGTATTTAATTGACAAAAAGATTTTATATTTTAAGGTGTATGACTGATGATTTGATATACATTGTTTAATGATGACCACAATCAAATTCATTAACATATCCATCATCACCCATGTCATACACCAGATCCCCAGAATTTGTTCATGTTATAACTGAATGTTTGTGCCCTGTGACCACCATTTCCCCATGTACCCAGTAACTACTGTTCTACTCTCTACTTCTATGAATTCAACTTTTTAATATTCTACATATAAATAAGACCATACATTATTTGTCTTTCTGGGTCTAGATTATTTCACTTCCCATAATTTCCTCTAAGTTCATCCATGTTGTTGCAAAAGACAGGATTTCATTCCTTTTTATGGCTGAATAATATTCTCCATTCATCCATCCATGGATATTTAGGTTGTTTCCATATCTTGGCTACCGTGAATACAGCTGCAATGAACATGAGGTGCAGATACCTCTTCGACATAGCAATTTCACAGCCTTTAGCTATATACCCAGAAGTTAGATGGCTGGATCATGTGGTACTTGTATTTGTGGCTTTTTGAGGAACCCCCATACTGTTTGCCCTAATGGCTATACTAATTTCCATTTCCACCAACAGTGTATAAGCATTTCTTTTTCTCTACACCCTCACCAGCACTTGCCAACTCTTATCTTTTTGATAATAGTCATCCTAACAGGTGCGAGATATCTCACTGTAGTTTTGTTTGCATTTATCTGATGATTAGTGATATTGAGCACTTTTTCATATACCTGTTGGCCATTTGTATGTCTTCCTTAGAAAAATGTTTATTCAGATCCTTTGCCAATTTTTTTTTTCCAATCTATACTCTTACTTTACTTTTTTTCCTTTTACTTTTATTTTGAGTTCTGGGGTACATGTGCAGAATGTGCAGGTTTGTTACATAGGTGTACCATGGTGGTTTGCTGCACAGATCAACCCATCACTTTGGTATTAAGCCCAGCATCCATTAGCTATTCTTCCTGATGCTCTGCCAATTTTTAAATAGCATTATTTGGGTTTGGGAGTTTTTTGTGTTGTTTTGTTTTGGGGGGTTATTTGGTTGATTGGTTTTGCTATTAAGTTATGTGAGTTCTTTCTATATTTTTGTTATTAGCCCCTTATGAGATGTACAGTTCACAAATATTTTATCCCATTCCATAGTTTGCCTTTGCATTTCACTTATTGTTTTCTTTGGTGTGCAGAAGCTTTTTAGCTTGATGTAGTCCCACTTGTTTGTTTTTCCTTTTGTTGTCTGTGCTTTTGATGTTATATCAAAAAATTCATTGCCAAGATCAATGACAAGGAGCTTTTCCCCTATGTTTTCTTCCATGAGTTTTATGGTTTCAGATCTTACATTTAAGATTTAAATACATTTTGAATTAACTTTTGTATATGGTGTAAACCAAGTGTCCAATTTTATTCTTTTGCATGTGCCTATCCAGTTTTCTTACCTTTACTCATCAGGGATATTGACCTGTGATTTTCTTTTCTTGTAGCATTCTTATCCTAGCTTGTCTCCTTTCAGGAATTGACAAGCTTATCCCAAAATTCTTATAGAAATCCAAGAATTCCATCTTGAATCTTAAAAAAAGTAAAAGTTCAAGAATTCACACTTCTCAGTTTCAAAACTTACTACAAAACTACAGTAATCAAGACAGTGCAGTATTGGCATATGTATCAGTGGAAAAAATTAGATTCCAGAAATAAATCCGTATAACTATGGTTGATTAATTTGGGGCAAGGGCCTATTCAATGGGAAAGGGATAGTTTTTTCAATAAAAGGTGCTGGGACAACTGGATATCTACATGTAAAAGAATGAATAATGTTGAATCCCTACCTCACACCATATACAAAAATTACTCAGAATGAATCAAAGGTTTAAATTTTAACAGCTAAAACTATCAGACTCTTAAAAATCAGAGAAAGAATTGAATTTGGACCTTAGATCTGATACCAAAATCATAAGCAAGAAAAATAACACTAGATAAATTAGACTTCATCACAATCTAAAACTTACTTCAGAGGACACCATTAAGAAAGTGAAAAGATAATCCAAAGAATAGGAGAAAAATTTTGCAAATCATATTTGTAAGGGATTTAAGTCTCAAACATATAAAACTACTACAAATCCATAATAAAAGCACAAATAAGGCCAGGCTTGGTTGCTCACACCTGTAATCCCAGCACTTTGGGAGACTGAGGGGGGCAGATCACCCAAGGTCAGGAGTTTGACACCAGCTGGGACAACAAAGTGAAACCCCATCTCGACTACAAATACAAAAAATTAGCTGGGGGTGGTGTCACATGCCCATAATCCCAGCTACTCAGGAGGCTGAAGCAGGAGAATCATCTGAACCCAGGAGGCGGAGGCTGCAGTGAGCTGAGATCACACCACTGCACTCCAGCCTGGGTGACAGAGTGAGACTCTGTGTCAAAAAAATAAATAATAAAATCAAATTAAAATTTAAAAACACAAATAATGCAGTTTGAAAATGGACATGCCGAAATCTGATACACATGCCTCCAAACAAAATCTACAAATTGCCAATAAGCACAGGAAAAGATGTTTAACATCATTATCCATCAAGTACATGCAAATCAAAACCACAATGAAATACTACTTTACACTCACTAGATGGCTACAATCAAAATACAGATAATAACAAGGTAAGGATGTGGGAAAATAGGAACCCTCATACACTGCTGATGAGAATGGAAAATGGTGCAACCACTTTGGAAAACAGTCTGGCAGTTTCTCAAAAAGTTGAACATAGAGTGTATTTGTCAAGGTTCTCAGAGGCAGAGAACAAACAGGATATATGTATATATGAAAGGGAGTTCATTAGGGAGAATTAGCTCACATAATTACAAGGCAAAGTCCCACAATAGGCCGTCTGCAAGCTGGGGAAGAGAAAAGCCAGTAGTGGCTCAATCTGAGTCCAAAAGCCTCAAAACCAGGGAAGCTGATAGTGCAGCCTTCAGTCTGCAGCCAGAGGCCCAAGAGCCCCCAGCAAGCTGCTGGTGCAAGTCGCAGTCCGAAGGGCTGGAGAACCTGGAGTCTGATGTCCAAGAGCAGGAGGAGCAGAAGCAAGCATTCCCCATGGGAAGAAGAAAGAAACCAGAAGACTAGGCAAACAAGTCTATCCCACCTTCTTCTGCCCGCTTTGTTCTGGCTGTGCTGGCAGCCGATTGGATAGTGCCCACCCACATTGAGGGTGGGTCTTCCTCTCCCAGTTCACTAACTGAAATGTCAATCTTCTCTGGCAACACCCTCATAGGAACACCCAGAAACAATACTTTACCAGCCATCTAGGCATCCTTCAATTCAATCAAGTTGACACCTAATATTAACCATCACATAGCGTTATCATGTGAATCAGCAATTCTCCTCCTAAGGATATGCCCCAAAGGATGAAAACATATGTCCACACAACATCTTGTCAAAAATATTTATGGTGGCATTATTCATAATAGCCAAAAAGTGGAAACAACCCAACATCCATCAACTGATGAACAGATAAATAAATTGTGGTCTATCCATACCATGGAATATTATTCAGCAATAAAAAGAAATGAAGCGGCCAGTCACCGTGGCTCACGCCTGTAATCCCAGAACTTTGGGAGGCCGAGGCGGGTGGATCACCTGTGGTTAGGAGTTTGAGACCAACCTGACCAATAGGATGAAACCCCATCTCTACTAAAAATACAAAAATTAACTGGGCGTCATGGTGGGCACCTGTAGTCCCAGCTACTCAGGAGGCTGAAACAGGAGAATTACTTGAACCTGGGAGGCGGAAGTTGCAGTGAGCCGAGACTGCACTCCAGCCTGGGCGACAGAGCGAGACTCTGTTTCAAAAAAAAAGAAAGAAAGAAAGAAATGGAGCACTGATACATGCTACGACATGAATGAACCTTGAAAACATTATTCTAATTTAAAAAAAGAAGCAAGTCTCAAAAAACCATATAGGATTCAATTTATTTGAAATGTCCGGAATAGGCAAATCTACAGACGCAAAACGTAGATTAGCGGTTGTCTAGGGCTGTGGCCATGGGATGTGGGAGAGTGGGAGAGTTTGGGGTGATGGCTGAGGGATGAATATGTTATTGGAGTAATGAAAATGTTTTTAAATTGATGGAGATGATTGACGCACAATTGTGTGAATATACGAAAAGCAAATGAATTGTAAGAAAATGGCTTACATTCCTTAGACTTACAAAATGGGGAGCAGGAAATGGAGATAGGTGACGACAGAGAGGTCAGCAGAGCGAAGCTGAGAATCATTAGGTTAACAAAGGTGGATCAGGAGCCCACCAAGTGGAGGCAGCATCAGGGCAAGGGAGTCTGTCTGAACAGGGACAGGATCATTGTTCATGGGCGTGCACGTTCCCACACCAGGGCATCCTATAGAAGAGCGAATGGGGGCTGAATTTACCCAGGCTCTGCTTACCAAGCCCGTGCCCACACGGCTGATCCTGCCCCCAGGCTGTTTTTAATAACTCACACTAAGGCCCTGTTTGGGGCTCGTGGCCCTCCTGCCAAGCTGACTCACTCCTGCTCTAACAAAGCTGTGAGACCATGTTCCTCCCACGTCTGGGTCCATGAGTCTCTGCTAGGGCTGACCCCAGCCCTGGTCCAGGAGTAAACATGACCCAGGACCAGCCAATCAGAGGTCTCCATCCCCTTGAACACAGGGATTGGTTCAAAGACAAACATGTGACCTAAAATGATCCAATAAGATTCTCTCTCCCAAGAATTTGAATCTTAAATGAAGTGACCCAGTGCTGGAAAGTGATTGCAGCTATTTCATCGTGATGGTGAAGCTGTGAGCAGAGTGCTACCAGGCCCTGCCTCCCAGCCCCCCATCCAGCTGTGGTGGTTCAGTGGTTCCTCCAACACGCTGATCCACCCCACAACCTTGCCATAAAGCCTGTGTTTTCTGCCTGTGTTGCTCTCTGTCACTTGCAACCACAGACTGGACCCTGCAAGTGCTGTATGGTCTAGCAAGGGGTCTCCCCAGCCAAGCACCCCCTGAGCCCAGCCTCCGGAAGATTCCTCTCCACACTCTACAAGGTCTTTGTGTCTATGTGCTTCTCGGTACATACAAGGTCAATAGCAGCTTTTTAGAGGTAACTCCATCAACTGGCCAGGAAACCCTTCCCAGGCTTCCTCTCCAGCTTCCTGAGGTTAATCTGACCCCAAAGGAGAGGCAGTGGGTGCCAGAAGCGGATCCTCCTGGGTGCCAGGACACTCATGGACTATGGGACTTTGGGCAGGGTGTCACCCCTCTCAAGCCCTCCATTTCCAAATTAGAAAAATGAGAGGGTCAGAGTGGACCCAACAACTCCCATTTACAGAAGCAGAAAGGGGTGGGATGGCAGAATGTTTAGGAACGTGGAGGCTGCCTGCTTAGAATCCCAACTCTGCCCGTAACTGCTTCTCTGCCTCAGCTTCCTCCTCCACAAATTAGGGACAGAAATAGGACCCACTTCCTTGGGTTGTTCTGAGGATCAAATAATTTAACATTTGTGAGGTGCTTAGAACACTGACTGGCAGGTGGAAAAGGTCGACGAATGTGAGCTATTAATAAGATTATATTACATTGTATAAGGGCTGCATATATATCATATCTTTTACATATCACAAAGACCTGGGAAGTCAATTCTATTATCACTGTTTTATATATGAGAGAACAGCTTGGAGATGTAAAGTGACTTGCCCAAGGTCACATAGGCAGGAAAGGAAGGACCCTGGATCCATACCCAGTGTTGCCTGACTCAGATAAGCCTGTGATTTTGACTATTTGCCCTTCCTGCTCTGATGTTCTCAACCACTGTTTCCCAATGTGTTACCACTAACAGGACACAAGATGATATGAAGTCATATGTGAATCATTTGTTTTATGATATTATTCATTTATTTTCATGCTTACCTTCTGTTCATGGTAAGTGAATGCAGGCTTTCCATTTACTCAGTGTATTTAAGTAAAAAAGAAAGTCTCTTAGCCTGGCACAGTGGCACATTCCTGTAGTCTCAGCTACTAGGGAGGCTGAGGCAAGAGGATCTCTTGAGCCCAGGAGTTTGAGTTCAGCCTGGACAACATAGCAAGACCCCATCTCTTTATTAAAAAAATAAATAAAACTGTTCTTTCATCAAAAAAGAAGGGTGGTAGATGTTAGTCCAAACTGCACCATTTTGTAAGCCCCCCACCATTTCGCAGACCTTGGTCAAAGTGAAACATTCCATGGGGGTTCAGGCCATGAGAAACAGCCTGCCTCTTATCATATTCTGCTGAGGGAAAGTTCAAGGAAAACCACATTCTGCTGGAACAAGGGCCAGAACCACCCATCCTGGGAACACATTATGAACATTCTCCCATGAAGCAGGCTATGCCCCCACATTCCAGACTCTTCCCCACAGGCCTATAATTGCCCCCGCCTATAAGCAGTGGTACACACTGATATTAAGCTGAACCCCCACCTCTGCAGGTTTATGCTGGACATAAATGCCTGCATTTGCTGTTGAGCCACGCTCTCTCTCTCTCTGCATCTTTCTTCAACCCTTGTCTTCTCTTCAAAACTTACCCAAAGGATTATAAACCATTCTACTATAAAGACACATGCACACATATGTTTATTGCAGCACTATTTACAATAGCAAAAACTTGGAGTCAACCCAAATGCCAATCAATGATAGAGCAGATAAAGAAAATGTGGCACATATACACCAGGGAATACTATGCAGCCATAAAAAAGAATGGGTTCATGTCCTTTGCAGGGACATGGATGAAGCTGGAAACCATCATCCTCAGCAAACTAACACAAGAACAGAAACCCAAATACTGCATATTCTCACTCATAAGTGGGAGTTGAAAAATGAGAACACATGGACACAGTGGGGAAACACACACCAGGGCCTGTCAGGGATTGGGAGCAAGGAGAGGGAGAGCATTAGGACAAATACCTAATTCATCATGGGCTTAAAACCTAGATGACAGGTTGATAGGTGCAGCAAACCACCAAGGCACATGTATACCTATGTAACAAACCTGCACATTCTGCACATGTATCCCAGAACTTAAAGTAAAATTTAAATTTTTTTAATGAGAATGGCTCAAGATGTAACTGAAGCTTTATTCCTGTGTTCATCATGCCCTTAAACTTCATTCAGTAAGACATATCTTCTTCTGCTTTCGTTGGAAACTTCCCCTAGACTCTTCTGCTCTTGACTGCCCGATGACACCAGCACTAGAAATGTCAGCCCCACGAGAGCAGACATCTGTGTTGGTTTGACAATGTAACGCAGCATCTAGAGGAGTGGTATGCAGTAAATATTTGTTGAAAGATTAAAATAGAGTCTCAATTCAATAAATAGTGTGTCCAGACCAAAGTAGTCATCCAACTCTGAACTCAATTTAACCATCGATCTTGCAGTTTCCCAGATCCACTCTATGTCGGACTGGAAGCTAGCACTGGGAAGGCGGGTGTGATTGGCTTCTCTCTTCCTTCAATCTGTCTGGCCCCATTGGGAAACTAGCACCTCTCCCTTCCGGGGCTGGTACATGGGAAGGAAAGAGGGCAAAGCAGTAGGAGTTGCAATTACATGAACTCATGCTGTGCACGCTGGCTTTGTCGCCTCTAGACCTGGCAGATGTTGAATACTGATCCTCTCATGGAGGACTTGTTAGCACTTTAGAGTTTCCTGCTGGAGTCTTTCCATCTGAAATCTGGGTGCATCTCTATTACAGGTGTTCTTTCCTTGTCCCTATGCATTCACCTCCACATTCCAGAAGGCCCTATTGGATGGGTCCCACGACGATCCCACATCAGCTCCCCCTCCCCTAGCTAGTCCATAGGAAACAGCCATACATCCCTTGCCTTGACAACCTCTGCAAGTGCAAACTGAACCCAACAGTTTTCCTGGTACCACTGGCTGCTTTGCCTTTTGCAAGGGGGGAAGTGACTCAAGCACTGGTATTCCATGTCTCCCAACTGCATGCAGGAAACACATTTCAAGCTCATCTAGGAGAAGAGTCTCTAAGAGTTGATAGTGCTCACCAAATAGCTATGTGCTCCTCTGTTTCTCAGTCTCTGTTGCATTTGGATGGAGGCCATGAAACAAGTTCTGGCCAGTAAAGTGAATGGAATGGCCATATGTCTCTTCTGGATAGAGGCACTTGAGAGCCAGATGTTTCCATCCTCTCTCTTCTCCCTTAAAGGCAGTAAGTTCCAGACAGCACTATCATAACAGGAAGAGGACAACCTGAACTGCACCAGACTTCAACTTGAGCTTGAAATAAATTGTTTTTGGATTAAGCAACTGAGATTTCTGGGTTTATTTGTTACTACAACAAAGCCTGTCCTATCCCAACTAATATATCCCATATTCTAGTCTTAAGGTTGTACTCTGCACACCCATCCCTAGCTTTGAGATAAAGAGAGCAGGTACCATATATTCCCTAAAGTAGGGAGAGGATAAGGTTTGCAGCAGTGCTTTCTGTACAGATATCATCTTTACAAATTATTTGTCTCTTCTTCATTCCCAATTATTTTCTATTTCTGAAACAGGTAAAAGGGGATTGAGAATTGTGGTATATGTGCCCAACTATTTCATTCGAAAATCTACATAGCTGGGTGCAGTGGCTCATGTCTGTAATCCCAGCACTTTGAGAGGCCAAGGCTGGCAGATCACTAGAGGTCAGGAGTTCGAGACCAGCCTGGCCAACATGGTGAAGCCTCATCTCCACTAAAAATACAAAAATTAGCCAGGTGTGGGGACAGGCACCTGTAATCCCAGCTACTAGGGAGACTGAGGCACTAGAATCACTTGAACCTGGGAGACGGAGGTTGCACTTGAACTCCGGGAGACAGAGGAGCTGAGATCACGCCACTGCACTGCAGCCTGGGTGACAGAGCAAGACTCTGTCTCAAAAAAAAAAAAAGAAAAGAAAAGAAAAAAATCTGTATACAGTGAATTGGCACCTCAGTTCAAAATTTCCCTTCTATCTTATCTTCGTGCCTAAGTGAAACTTCAATTTTAACATACTATTACACAAGACCGTTGTGCAAATAACAAGACTGAATAGTATTAATTACCATTCCATGCATTAAGTTGTGCTGGGCAAATAGCATTCATTATTATATTTAATTATCATAGCAACTCTGAGAGACAAGTTACTTTTGTTATGATCCTCATTTTACAGATGAAGAAACTGAGGGTCAGAGAGGTAAGTGACTTGCCCAAAGGTACACACTAGGAACCAGAAAAACAGGGACTTCAACCCAAGTCACGCTGGTGCCAACATCCCTACTGGCAAGCCATATGAACCTCCCTGCCTTGAGCTTCTTCAGTAACAAGGTCAGGAAACTAAAGTTCCCTGACATCAGCTGTCTGCCTGTTGGTCAGCAGTGGTAGTGACAACACCAGTATTTGTACCCAGGTCCCTGTCACCAAAGCTGGTGACTATACGACCTCCATGTTTGTCAGGCATCCAGTAGGTAGTAGGTACATGATAACATCAGCTCCTCCTTCCATCTGCTGGGAACAACCCAGTTAATCAACCTAATGGCTTTCCTTTCAAGAGTACCAATCTCTTTGGCATATCCAGCAGATATACCCAAGGTTTCTTAAGATTTACACTTCTCTGCACCCCATTCCCATGACCATCCCTTAAGAAGTCCCCTCTGTTTCACCCCCAACTTCCCTTTGAAAGATCTATTCCCGTCCCTCCTCCCAGAAACTGTCCAACACCGCTGTCCTCCTTGGTCAATTGTTCTAGACGTATTATTTATGGCAAACTCATTTGTCCCTAACACAAATGTAAGATGTAATTCCCCAAGAATTCAAATGTAATTTAAAGTTATTTTCCAATATCTAATTTGCCTTTTATTTATTTAGGGCAATATTTCAGCAGGAACTTCCCAGCCAAAGTGCCAGCATTTGTTTACAGTGTCAGGCCCAGCAATGGTGGGTAACCACACACCCCAGACACAGACATTACCGATTAAAAAAGTAATTACAACATTGAACACAGCCTTAAATAAAAGCAAAAATGCAGGAGACAAGAGGGGAAGCAAAAACATAAATGGAAACAATGCCGTTTTCCCCAGACGTTTTGTAATATTTGCAGCCTGCCTGGTACTGGCACCCTGCCCTGGCTGTGCCAGACACAAGCAAAGCATCCAGTGAGGAGGGGTGGGGTGGCTCTGCTCTGAAAAGAGGTGGAAAGAAGTGCCTAATCATCAGAGAACATCTGTCTGCCTGTTTGCCTGTCTGTCTGTCTGTCTTTTGTTTAACATCTTGCTCTGCTGAGCACCCACTTATACTGATCCTCAGGGGATTAATTGCATACTGTGTTATGGCAAATGACCAAAACCCCACACAATCAAACTGACTTAACTAGGAAATGGGTATGTTCTGGTTCATGACAGACCATCTGTAGTTCTAGTTTCAGGCACAGTTGGATCCAGGGGCTCAACATCATGTAGAATCTCTCAGTCTCTATCACTTGGCTCTTCTTTCCACAAAGTTGACTTCATTTTCAATCAGGCATTCTCTACCTGGTGGCTAACATAGAATCCTAGCAGCTTTAAGCTTACATCCCATCAGCTTAGTGTTCCCCCAAAGAAAGGAAGTGCTTCTTTTCCCACCATTCTAGCAAAAATATCAAGTCAGCCTTTCATTGGCCCAACTTGGGTCATGTGCTGATCCGTGAACCAATAATTGTAGCCAGGGAGTTTCAGTCCTTTCATTGGCCAGGCCTGGTTCAGATTCCCACCCCTTGAGAACAAAGGTAGGACCAGTCCCACCCAAACTGAGACTGAGAGCGAGGAAGAGATAATTCACGAAAAGAAAATTGAGGTTCCCATGAGAGCTGAAGGAGCAATAAGACACTGGGTGAGTAAACACGACTAATTTCCACCACAGATTTGAACACTTTCTGTCTGTTTCTAACACCTCTACTCTTCCTACAGTATCTCCAGACCACATTTTTAGACTTGTGAGCACAGTACAGTGACCTCTGCTCCATTCTTGGGAGGATAATAGGACTGTCCTATAGAATGTCAAACTTGCAGATTCTTCCCTCGATTTTATTAAAAGATTCTGTAAACTATAACATAGCACAACTGGGAACAGATGACATTTTGTAGCCACCAAGGGTAGCCTGCTTCAAGTGGCCCAGGACTTCCTTCAAGATGAATATAACAAGAGTTTTTGGGTTTGAATGAGTCAAATAATTGCTGTCTAATTGTCTAACAATTAAGTCACAGGAGAGGCAGGAAGTATAGTTGCTGTAAGCATTTTTGAGTAGTCACACTTTGGACCTGACCCCAAATCAGTGTTCCTGGTTCCTGCTTATACCCCAAGGAGTGACTGTGTATGCGAACTGATAGAATTGATTGTAGAGATGTAACTCTGGGGCCAAATGTGTGTAGCTCTTGGCCACACTTAGCACTGAAGGAGTCGGATCATTCTCTCTCAATGGATATCCAGAAACTGGGTCTCACATAATCACAGAACAAAGCATTCACAAGACTGTGCAAAGCTTTCTTCAACAGCAACCCCTCTGGCAACATGAGGCAACTGCAGCAGTGAACTAATCAGACCCCTGTCCTTAGCCACTTGTAGGTTAACCATGGGCAGACATTCCCCTTGGAACTAAGAACACCTGTATGGTTCACAGATCATTTAAGAGGGCACAGAGAACTCCACAAGAAAAGTGATGAACATTCTACTAATAAGGCAGGTGGTTGCGGAAGCAATTCGTAGGGAAAATGAAAGCACTCTGCCTCATTCAGGCCCCAAGTTTGTGGAGATGTTCTTGCTGCCAACACAAGGAATAAATGAGAGTCTGGATCTAGGTTCCTAAGAACCATTCCTGGTATATAGGAATATAGTAATATTTGGCCTTTTATAATTCCAGTCAACAGCACTTTTTCCCCTTTTAAATTTTTTTTTAATTTTTTGAGACAAGGTCTTGCCCTGTCACCCAGGCTGGAGTACAGTGGTATGATCTCAGCTCACTGCAACCTCCACCTCCTTGGTTCAAGCGGCTTTTCTGCCTCAGTCTCCTGAGTAGCTAGGACTACAGGTACACACCACCTCACTTGGCTATTTTTTTTTTGTATTACTGGAGATGGGGTTTCACTGTGTAGGCTAGGCTAGTCTCGAACTCCTGACCTCAAGTGATCCATCTGCCTTGGCCTCCCAAAGTGCTGGTATTACAGGCATAAGCCACCACATCCAGCCATTTTTTCAGTTTTTATTGTTGTTGTCACTTGCCAGAGACCATGATTGTCTCTTACTCAAACACCACTGTATTTAATGTAATCCCATCTGAAATTCTGTGAGGTAGATAGCATTATCATTCATCCCCACATTATCGATTTTTTTTAATGGAGGTTCAGAAAGGGAAGATGATATGCCCAAAGTCACACCATGGTAGAACCAGGACTAGAACTCAGATTTCCCGCTCCCCAACTAGTGCTTCCATTAACTAAGGGCTTTGTGTTCTCAAACACAATGGGCAAAGGGAGACAGAAAACTTGTGTTTCTTGAACATCTGTGATGGCAGGCACCACGCTGGGCATGTTTACATATATCAGCTCATTTACTCTTCTCCACAGTCCCATGAGGCCTCTGTGGTATCATTTCCCCCATTTTAGTCAAACGGAGGCACAAAGAGAGAGGCGGTACCTTTCCCTGAATCACTGTACAGCAGGAGTCTCTGATGGGATTCAGCATAAAGAGGACATTTTTCCAGGAAGGAAGCTCCCTGCCCAATGGGACTGGTGGAGTCTCATCCTCACTCCTACTCTCCAGAAACATCACTGAACCACTCCACTCTTCCCAGGAAACAAATTCTGGGCACACTCCAGGGTCCCTGAAAAAGACTCCCTCACCTCCAACTTTACCAGCTGGCTCCATCCAAGAGTGAAACTGGCCCAATTTTCCCATAGAATTAGGGGTGTAAACATATACAACTTTGGTATAAAAGGAAAAATTGAAGTTATTTGTTAAATATACTCAGTTCCTAATTGGTATCCATCTCTGTACTAAACATCAAAAAAATAAAGTCCAGACTCTCAAGCATGTAAATGAACAATTTTACAATTGTTCATTTGATTATAAGTCTGTGATATGGTTTGGCTGTGTCCCAACCCAAATCGCATATTGAGTTGTAGCTTCCATAATCCCATGTGTAGTGGGAGGGACCCAGTGGGAGGAAATTGAATGATGAGGGCTGGTTTTCCCATGCTGTTCTCATGGTAGTGAATAAGTCTCACAAGATCTGATGGTTTTATAAAGGGCAGCTAGTTCTCCTGCACACACCCTCATGCCTGCTGCCATGTAAGATGTGCCTTTGCTCCTCCTTCCCCTTCCACCACGATTGTGAGGCTTCCCCAGCCATGTGGAAATGTGAGTTCATTAAACCACTTTTTCTTTATAAATTACCCAGTCTCAGGTATTTCTTCATAGCAGTATGAAAATGAACTAATTCAGGCTGCTGCAAGGAACAGGAAAGGGCCAGAGACAAGGCAAAGCTGGAGCATGCTAGAAGACAGATCTTGTCTTGAAGAGTCTAAAACTATCATTAAAGTCTCCCTGAAAGTTTGCAGATTACACTTAGGGATTTATAAGTGCTCAGCAATAACTTATTAAAATTTTAGTGTGTTCACAAATACTAGCACATTCTGGATCATCTCCCTGACAACCAGAATGGAATCCATGCAATGATTTGATTTGTGATCATTTTGGGGTCTAGTAATAATGTGTGTTTTTTCTCATTAAATTTTGTTTTAATGGGTCTCAAAATTCTGTGACAGATTTTTGGTCAAGTTGCTTCCATTGAAAAGTACTGATTTTAAAAACTAATAATTTAAAACTGCCACACGAAAAAACAAAACAAAACAAAAAATCAAAGTGGTCCACAAAACATTCTCCTTTCCTTCTGAAGGTTTTATGATGCATTGTTATCATTAACCAGTCTTTTACCATTAAACTTAAATGGGCAATTGAAACAAACAGTTCTGAGACTGTTCTTCCACCAATTAAGACCAGGGTAGCAGGTATTAGGGATAATATTCATTTAGCCTTCTGAGCTTTCTGGGCAGACTTGGTGACCTTGCCAGCTTCAGCAGCCTTCTTGTCCACTGATTTGATGACACCCACAGCAACTGTCTGTCTCATATCACGAATAGCAAAGCGACCCAGAGGTGAATAGTCTGAGAAGCTCTCAATACACATGAGCTTTCTAGGAACCATATCAACGATGGCAGCATCACCAGATTTCAAGAATTTAGGGCCGTCTTCCAGATTTTTACCAGAATGGAGATCAATCTTTTCCTTCAGCTTAGCAAACTTGCAGGCAATATGAGCCGTGTGGCAGTCCAGTACAGGGGCATAGTCCACACTTATTTGGCCTGGGTGGTTCAGGATAATCACCTAAGCGGGGAAGCCAGCTGCTTCCATTTGTGGGTTTTCTTTTTGCTGTCACCAGCATCGTTGCTATGACGAATCTCCTTGACGGACATGTTCTTGACATTGAAGCCCACATTGTGCCCAGGAAGAGCTTCACTCAAAGCTTCATGGTGCTTTTCAACACAATTTACTTCAGTTGTAACACTGACAAGAGCAAAGGTGACCTCCATGCTGGGTTTGAGAACACCAGTGTCCATTCGGCCAACAGGAACAGTACCAATACCACCAATTTTGTAGACATCCTGGAAAGGCAGGCGCAAGGGCTTGTCAATTAGACAAGTTGGTGGTAGGATGCAGTCAAGAACCTCAAGCAGTGTGGTTCCACTGGCATTGCCATCCTTACAGGTTGCTTTCCATCCCTTGAACCAAGGCATATTAGCACTTGACTCCAGCATGTTGTCACCATTCCAACCAGAAATTGGCACAAATGCTGCTGTGTCAGAGTTGTAGCCAATTTTTTTTTTTTTTTTTTTTTGAGATGGAGTTTCACTCTTGTGGCCCAGGCTAGAGTGCAATGGTGCAATCTTGACTCACTGCAACCTCCACCTCCTGGGTTGAAGCAATTCTCCCGCCTCAGCTTCCTGAGTACCTGGGATTACAGGTGTATGCCACCACGCCCAGCTAATTTTTGTATTATTAGTAGAGACTGGGTTTCACCATGTTGGCCAGATGGGTCTCGAACTCCTGACCTCAGGTGATCCACCCGCTTCAGCCTCCCAAAGTACTGGGATTACAGGCATGAGCCACTGTGTCCTGCCAAATTTTCTTAATGTAAGTGCTGACTTCCTTAACGATTTCCTTGTATCTCTTCTGGCCATAGGGTGGCTCGGTGGAATCCATTTTGTGAACACCAACAATTAGTTGTTTCACACCTAGTGTGTAAGCCAGCGGGCATGCTCACAGGTCTGCCCATACTTGGAAATACCAGCTTCAAATTCACCAACACCAGCAGCAACAATCAGGACAGCACAGTCAGCCTGAGATGTCCCTGTAATCATGTTTTTGATGAAGTCTCTGTGTCCAGGGGCATCAATGATAGTCACGTAGCACTGGCTGGTCTCAAAATTCCACAGGGAGATATCAATGGTGATACCACATTCATGCTCAGCTTTCAGTCTATCTAAGTCCCAGGCATACTTGAAGGAGCCCTTTCCCATCTCAGCAGCCTCTTTCTCAAATTTTACAATGGTTCTTTTGTCAATGCCACCACATTCGTAGATCAGATGGGCAGTGGAGGTTGACTTGCCTGAATCTACATGTCCAATGATGACAATGTTGATGTGAGTATTTTCCTTTCCCATTTTGGCTTTAGGAGTAGTTTTCATAACACCTGTGTTCTGGTGGCAAAACCATTGCAAAAAAAAAAAAGAAGTAATAATGTTTTAATTGTCCCAGAACAAGGGGGAAAAGGCCGGGCTGGACTTTATACATAAATGATGTGTTTGTGCCAGATAAAGACTGTGAGATATGATGAGGTTTCTCTTCAAATAATCTAATAAATCTTTTATTCTTTAATTCATAGTACCCACCACCCCCTGCTTTTCCTTTTTCTCCTTTTTCCTTTGTTAAATGACCAGGCACGCCACAATACCAGGCATTATCAATACCAACTCACATTCCTTTCCTTATTTAAAAAAAAAAAAAAAAAACTAACTTTCTAGCTCATTACAACATCCCTTCCCCTTCCTCTCCACTTTCTTTTACGTGCCCACCTTATCTAAAAAAATTCAAGTGCTTAGCCAATTGAAATTAGTTTAAATTGTGTGACTCGACCCTGGCCAATGGGGAAAGGGTACAGGGACAGGACTTGCATCAAAAATAAAGACTTGTGCCCCTTTGTTCAGGTGTGCTCTCGTGGCAACTGGCCAAAGAAGCACCCCTCTGCACAGAAGTAAAATTGCTTTGTTAAAAATCCATTGTTTGAGTGTTCAATTTCCTTCAACTTTTAAGCATTATTCCCAAGAAGACCAACTGAATGGCTTGCGATGCCAGTTATGTTCTAGAACCAAACTGAGGTTCACTCACCCAGAGCAGTAAATCCAGATACCTACCCAGAGGTGTTTGCAGTGATAGAAAGAAAGGCACTTATTGCAGGGTGCCCAGCAAGGAGAATCAGGTCAGGTCATGCTTAAGACCCAAACTCCCCAGTGTCTACAAGCCAAGTACCTGCAAGGTAAGGGCTTTTTTCGTTGGTAGTGATGGTGGATTTCTTTAGACAGGGTCTTGCTCTGCCCTCTGTTGCCAAGCCTAGAGTGCAGTGGCATGATCATATAGCTCACTGTAGCCTCAATCTCCTGGGCTCAAGTGATCCTCTAGCCTCAGCCTCCCAAGTAGCTGGAACTAAAGGTGCCTGCCACCACACCCGGCTAATTTTTTTATTTTTAGTAGAGATGAGGTCTGATATGTTGCCCAGGCTGGTCTTGAACCCCTGGGCTCAAGCAGTCTTCCCACCTTGTCCTCCCAAAGTTCTGGGATTAAAGGCATGAGCCACAACCCCTGGGGCAGGTAAGGGTTTTTAAAGACAAGGGTAAACTTCAGGAAAGCAGAAACTACAGGCAAAATCGTAAATCAATGCATGAAGGTTACACATTGGTTTAAGATTAAAAGGAGGAGATATCTTGAAGTGTCTTGAAGTGAAGCCTTACAGGTCATAGGTAGTGTATTATTCCATTCTCACACTGCTATAAAGATACTACCTGAGACTGGGTAATTTATAAACAAAAGAGGTTTAATTGACTCACAGTTCTGCATGGCTGGGGAGGCCTCAGGAAACTTACAATCATGGCAGAAGGTAAAGGGGAAGCAGGTACCTTCTTCACAATGTGGCAGGAGAGAGAGAGAGCAAGCAAAGGGGAATGACATACTTTAAAACGACCAGCGCTCATGAGAACTCACTCACTGTCAAGAGAACAGCATGGGGAAAACTGTCCCCATAATCCAATCACCTCCCAACAGGTCCCTCCCTCAACACATGAGGATTACAATTCAAGATGAGATTTGGACACAGAAGCAAACCATATCAGGTAGATTCAAAGATCTTCTGATTTGCAATTGGTTAAGGAAAAGAAGATTTGTTTAAAATTTTGAGGTCAGTAGAATAATGTTAACTGGCTAGGGGGAGTGACTTTCTCCAAGCACCCGCAGGAAGAAACTTAGAACAAAGGGCGACAGTTAAAGTTTAGTCTTCCCTTCCCCCTTATCTGTGGTCTACGGTCAGTGGCTCCAGCTGTTTGGTGGAGGGTCATCTGTGGGGATCTGAGCATCTGAAAGACAATTCGGGAAGCTATGTTAAGATGTTACATTTAGTTTCTATAAGGAAAATGGACATCTCTGGGAGTTTAACTTCCTTAGCTATTGTTTTAGGCTATTACCTTCTTATTTAACAAGTTACTTATTTAGTTCTCAGGGCTAGCTAGGTGCCTGGAATTTCCCTTGAAGGATCTCAGGATTTTCCTTTATTTCCATACTTGGGGTCTGCAGGCGCCTAAAAAAGGGGGATCCCTGCTCTATCTCAGTTAAAGATTCTCAGAGACAAAAATGGTGGGAGAATTGAGTTTCCATGCCACCTAAAGTAATAAAGGAAGCAAAGCTCAAAATAACCTGGGCTAGAACAGCAATTCATTTTGAGTAAGTGGCAGTTTAGTTTCAGCAAAACCACATCATCTATCATATTAAATAAATAATGCTAATTTGAATTTTATCACTTTTAGTGTTCAGTTTCTAATTTGTTTAGTCTTGTTTATAAACTTCTTTTGTCATTGATACTAAAACATAATTTTCCTCTCATTTTGACTCTGAAATTGCGATGCATCTTAAAATCTACAGCCTCTTACAATTTCAAATGACAGCACTTTTTCCCTTTTTAATGCTACATAAAATAATAATGCATCTTACAATTGATGGTGTTTCAGATTCAATGAAGCACAGTATGTGCAAAATGAGTTAATACCTAGTTTTGTTTGGAAATAAGTAAGTAACATTAAAAATTCAAATTTTGAAGTCAATATGGGGTCTATAGAATGTTTTCCCTTCAAACATTTTACATACTACTGCAGTTGGAGTATCGTTGATGACAATGAGGCAATGAGATGAAGTTTTCATCACAGGAGTAAGATGATCAGATTACCACATGAGGAAGATAATCTAGCACCACACTGGCAAGAAAAAGACAAGTTTTGCAGTAAAGCAAGAGAAGACCTAAACTTAGGAAACATAAGGAAAGATGAAGACATAACTTGAAGATCTATGCAGGAGGCAGACTCAACAAGATTTAGTGATTGATTAGATGTGTGAAAGCAAGCATGTGTGGAGAGGAGAAAGAAGGAGAAGGAGGATCCAGGGATGATGCTGGGTTTCTGGATGGAAGGGAGTGGCATCTCCAAGGTACAGAAAGGCAGTGAAGGTTGAGATGATATGATTATAACCATAATCATGGTGATAGTGATACTGGTATTGAAGGCTGTGATGGGTGGTGATAATAGTGTTGGTGATGATGGGTGGTCATGGTGGTGATGGTAGTGATGGTGTTAGTGGTTATAGAGGTGATGATAATGGTGGCGGTGATGTGTGATGATGGTGGTAATAAAAATGTTGGTGACGTTGGGTGGTGATGGTAATGATGACGGAGGTGATGACAGTGGTAAAGAAAATAGTGGTGATAGTGGCGGTGATGGTAGTGAGTGGTGACGATAGTGATGGTAATAAAAATGGTGGTGGGTGGTAATGGTGGTGATGTTAGTGGTGGAGATGATGGAAATGGTGATGGTGGAGGTGATAGTGGTAGTGGTGATGATGTGGTGGTAATAAAACTGGCTTGCATTTTGATAAACGTAGTGGTGATGGTGGTGGTGGTGGTGATGGTGGTGGTGGTGGTGGTGGTGGCGGTGGTGGCGGTGGTGGCGGTGTTGTGGTGGTGGCGGCAGTGGCGGCGGCAGCAGCGGTGTGGTGGTGTGGTGATGTGGTGGTGATGGTGGTGGTGGTGGTGGTGGTGGTGGCAGTGGTGGCAGTGGTGGCGGTGTTGTGGTGGTGTGGTGGTGGCGGCAGTGGCGGCAGTGGCGGCGATGTGGTGGTGTGGTGATGTGGTGGTGGTGGTGGTGGTGGTGGTGGTGGTGGTGGTGGTGATGATGGTGGTGGTGGTGGTGGTGGTGATGATGGTGGTGGTGGTGGTGGTGGTGGTGGTGGTGATGTGGTGGTGGTGGTGGTGATGGTGGTGGTGGTGATGGTGGTGGTGGTGGTGGTGGTGGTGATGATGGTGGTGGTGGTGGTGGTGGTGGTGGTGGTGGTGGTGGTGATGGTGGTGGTGGTGGTGGTGGTGGTGGTGGTGGTGGTGGTGGTGATGGTGGTGGTGGTGGTGGTGATGGTGGTGGTGATGTGGTGGTGGTGGTGATGGTGGTGGTGGTGGTGGTGGTGGTGGTGGTGGTGGTGGTGGTGATGGTGGTGGTGGTGGTGATGATGGTGGTGATGGTGATGGTGGTGATGGTAGTGGTGATGGTAGTGATAAGGGTGATAATGATTGGTGGTAGTGGGGGTGGTCATGATGATTAATATAGCAGAATAATCATCATGGTGTTTTAACCAGGAGGCCTAGAAGTAAAAGTAGTCATACTGGGGATTGGTCGCTTCTCCTGCCCCACCTTGACACCAAGCACCTACTGGAGATATCCAACCTTCTTCAGGCCTCATCCAAGAAATAACTATCATGGCTTTTTCTTCCTATGGCGACTGTAGGTATCACTCTCACTCCCTCCTCACTCAATGGAAAATAAATTATAAGTGAATGCTGGAACCAATGAATTCCCCTCACAGCAGAGAATATCCATTATTTACCCATAAAAATATTTCAAGGATTATTAGCATGTAAACTGTGATTAATTAAATTTGCAAAAATTGTTTCTGATGCATGTAAATGAGGTGGTTCCTGCTGGGTGAGACTAAGGTGTTGCTCTCTCTCCTGCTGCTTGAGGAGACAGTTGCAGGGAAGTTACTCAACTCATCTTCTGTTCCAGAGGCTTTGGAAAAGGTAGAACTACAGAGTCCATCTCAAACGTGGTTCTGCTCTGAGCTTTTCCAGATTCGTCCTTCTAAATCAGGTCTACCCAATTAAGGGGATTGTCTGGGGGACAGTCTTCCCATTTAGGAACTGATTCACATGCAGGAGCACTGAAGGGGCCTAAAGGTCATGGAGCTTGAAGGAACTAGAAAGGAGGAAATCAGCTTTTAGTCCACTCTGACCACCGAACCCAGGAAGGGGCTAAGACTACCTCAAGGTTGCAGCGCTTTCTGTATGCCATCCTAAATTCTTACAGGGTTTTCATGATATCAGCAAGAACCAGGATCACATACCCAGTGGAAGCTGGTCCAGAACTTGCAGCCAGAAGAAAAGGCCTCAGTCTAAGGAAGGCGGTGGGGCCAAACTGGGTTGTAGTGACTTCCAGGATCTGAAGGGTTTGTCCATGGTTTCTGTCTTGTAAGTCTCCAAGACACTCCTGGCTGAATCCCTCAGCATTTGGTGCCACAAAAGTTTCCTAAGGGTTTCAGCTGGCCAAGGACATATCCAGATGCCCAGGGGCCACACTGGTACAGACTCAGTGCTCAGAGAGGGCTGTTCTTCCTGCAGCCTCCCCAGACTCAATTAGGGGAGGTTTCTTCTGTCACTTGCTACAGTGATACCTCTAGCCTTACCTCTCCCCTGAACTCCATATACAACTGCCCACTGGGCACTTCTACCTGGAGTTCCCTTGGGTACCTTGGGTTCAACTAACCTCAAAATCTCTCCATCCCCTTCTCCCACTTCTCCCCGTGTATTCCTACTTTGGCACCTACATCCATACAGTTACCCAAGGATCAGTCAGGAATATTCTTTTAAAACAATTTTTTTGGAGACAAGGTCTTGCTCTATTGCCCAGGTTGGAGTGCTGTTGTGCAATAATAGCTCACTGCAGCCTCAAACTCCTGGGCTCAAGTGATCCTCCTGCCTCAGCCTCCAGAGTAGCTGGAGCTACAGGCACACAGCACCATGTCCCGCTAATTTTTTATTTTTTATAGAGACAAAGTCTCACTATGTTGTCCAGGCTAATTTTGAACTCCTGGCCTCAAGTGATCCTCCTCCCTCAGCCTCCCAAAGAACTGGGATAACAAGTATGAACCACTGTGCCTGGTCAAGCAGGACTATTCTTGACTCACCCCTCCCCTTCTTTCCCTACATCTAGTTGCCAAGTTCTGTTGATTTGACCTGTTCAACATCTCTAAACTGTGACCATACCTCTCCCTTCCCACTGCTACCGACATTCCCTCCAGCATGGATGACCACAGTAGCTTCCTAACTGGTCTCTCTACCTCCACCTTTGCCTTCCTCTTGTTTATTCTATTTATTTATTTATTTATTTATTTATTTTTAGAGACAGGGTCTCACTATGTTGCCCAGGCTGGTCTTGAACTCCTGGGCTCAAGTGATCCTCCCACCTTGGCTTCCCAAACTGTTGGGATTACAGGCATGAGCCACTGCACCCAGCTCTTATTTATCCTTTATAGCCACCTGCAGGTCATATCATGTGATGGTTAATTTTATGTGCCATCTTGACTGGTCTAAGAGATGCCCAGACAGCTGGTAAAGCATGATTTCTGGGTGTGTCTGTGAGGGTGTTTCTGGAAGAGAATAGCATTTGAATCAGTGGATGGAGTGAAGAAGACCCACCCTCCCCAAAGGGGGTAGGCACCACCCGATCCCTTGAGGACCCAGAGAAAACAAAAAGGAAAAGGAAGGGTGAATTCTCTCTCTCTCTCCTTGTGCAGGGATAGAGCCAGAGAAGGGTTGAAAACCCCAACCTTCTCTTACCTTCGACATTAGAGCTCCCAGTTCTCCCAGGCATTTGGACTTTGGGACTCTTGGATCTCAAGCCTTTGGCTTTGGATTGAATTACACCACTAGCTTTCCTGGTTCTCCAGCACACAGACAGCAAACCGTGGAGGACTTCCTAACCTCCACAATCCCAGGAGCCAGTTCCCAAAATAAATCTCCTCTTCTATATCTGTGGATGTGCCCTTGGTTCTATTTAACTGAGGCAGCTCCCAAACACAGACTATGATCACTATTGATGAGCTCTCCTGCTTTAAAGCCCTTGTTAAGTAAAGAAAAACCCAACTCCTCAGCCTGAGATTTAAGGGAGTCTCGAGAGACTGCCTGCCTCTCATCTCATTCCAATCCCTCACTGTCTACACCCCATCCTTTGATGCCATCAGCCCAGCCCCATTTGCTGAATATGCTGCCCCCTTCCAAATTTCTTGGTGCACCAACCCTCCCCGACCCATCTAGCAATGCACCCCTGCTTCATAACCCAACCTTTTCCAGCTGTCCAGGCAGAGCCGCTTCCTCCTGGGCATTCCCACAGCACTTACTGCCTCTCTCTTTCGCAGCGTTCATCATGCCCACCGTCCTCATGGTGAATGTGGCTTTCTTGCCCCTCTGGGCCGGGAGCAGGGTGATGTTCCTTGTGGAGTGGTGAGAGTGCAGGCTGGGAGTTGCACTGATTGGGTTTTTCAACCTTTCTCTGGCTCTAACCAGAGGGCTGCTGGTTGGCTATTTTTATAGTTATTTCTTGATCATATACTAAAGAAGGGGTGGATTATTCATGAGTCTTCCCAGGAAAAGGGTGGGCAATTCCCTAACTAAGGATTCCTCCCCTTTTTAGACCATAGAGGGTAACTTCCAGACATTGACATGGCATTTGTAAATTGTCATGGTACTTGAGGGAGTGTATTTTAGAAGTTAATGCGTTATAATTAACACATAATGAGCAGTGAGGATGACCACAGGTCACTTTCTTCACCATCTTGTTTTTGGTGGGTTTTGGCCAGCTTCTTTACTGCAACCTGTATTATTAGCAGGGTTTTTATGATGTGTATCTTGTGATACCGGTCCTGCGGACCTCCCACCTCATCCTTTGACTAAGAATGCCTAGCCTCATGGGAATGCAGCCCATCACGTTTCAGCCTTAATTTACCCAGCCCCTACTCAATGATGGAGTTGCTCTGGTTCTAATGCCTCTGACCCCTAAGCCCATGGGATTCCTCAACATGGCCACTGGGACCTCAAGCAACCCCAATGCAGCTTCCATCCTGGAAGGCCCTAAAGATCGTGGCACCCAAAACCAGGACCCTCCAGAAACTGAGAAACCCATCTGGGATGGCATCCAGACAGCTACGGGGGTCTGTTCTTGGGGGGAATTTTTGACAAGTTAAGATTGCAGGGGCCTGATAATAATCACAGGGAGGTCTAATAGTTAATAGCATTGGCAGGGACAAGGCACAGCCATGGCAAGAGAGCATTCAAATCCACTTTGTGTCTAAACCTCTCACTCCCTGACTTTTCCACACAGAATGAGCCTGAATAGTCTGATATGCATCATCAGGTTCCTTTCGTCGTTTTGATGTGCAACAAGTTGTTTTTTTTTTTTTTTTTTTTTTGAGATGGAGTCTCCCTCTGTCTCCCAGGCTAGAGTGCAGTGGCCCGATCTCAGCTCACTGCAACCTCCGCCTCCCGGGTTCAAGCGATTCTCCTGCCTCAGCCTCCCGAGTAGCTGGGACTACAGGTATGTGCCACCACGCCTGGCTAATTTTTGCATTTTTAGTAGAGACGGGGTTTCACCATGTTGGTCAGGCTGGTCTTGAACTCCTGACCTCGTGATCCGCCCGTCTTGGCCTCCCAAAGTGCTGGGCCAGTTTCTTTAAAACACTCCACCTCAGCTATTTCCCCAAGTCATTACTGCACGTAAGATTCTGGAGTCCTCCTATGGGAATCCAGCCCCATAACCTCAAAAATAATATGTCGATAACTGGGACCTCCGCAAACTCAATGCTAAAGTTGCCCTTGACCTGGTGATTCCGGACGAGTGAGCCCCAAAATTAGAGCTTATCCCAGGAGGATTGCTGGCTTCACCCAGGAAAGAATCAGAGGGCTAGCTGGTGGTGTTAGACAGCAACTTTTATTGAAGTCCCAATGAACAGCAGCAGCAGAGGGACTGCTTCCCTGTGGAGCAGGGCTACCCTACAGGCAGTGTGTCCAGAGTAGCAGCTCAGAGACTGGTCTGCAGTCATGTTATACCCACTTTTAATTAAATGCAAATTAAGGGGTGGCTTATGCCGACAGTCCCAGAAATAGGATGATAACTTCCAGGTTGTCAGGTCATTGCCATGGAAATGGGGATTAACTTCCAGGTGTTGCCATGGCAGTGGTAAACTGACATGGCACTGGCGGGCATGTCTTATGGAGAGGCGCTTTGGCCTCTTCCCTGTTTCAGCCAATCTTCGATCTGGTCCAGAGTCCGAGCCCCGCCTCCAGGATCAAATCCCACCTCCCACGTCCCTGGGTTGGTGGCATAGATGATGGCAGTGCTTCCAAAACCTGGTGGAATTTTTTTTTCTGCTATTATACAAAAAAGTATACATAAGAGATGTGCAGCTTGGTGCAGTGGCTCACGCCAGTAATACCAGCACTTTGGGAAGCCAAGGTGGGAGGATCATTTGAGGTCAGGAGTTCAAGATCAGCCTAGCCAACATGGCGAAATCCCGTCTCTACTAAAAATACAAAAATTAGCCAGGCGTGGTGGTGCGTGCCTGTAATCCCAGCTACTCGGGAGGGTGAGGCAGAAGAATGACTTGAGCCCAGGAGGTGGAGGTCGCGTTGAGTCGAGATTGTGCCACTGCACTCCAGCTTGGGCAACAGAGCCAGACCCTGTCTCAAAAAGGTAAAAAAAAAAGAGAGAGAGAGATGTGTATAGTAACAATTTGAAGCAGCATCAGAGGACATATAGTCAAAAGATTAACTTCCCACCTCACTCGGCCACCAGTTCCCATTTCTCGTCCCCACTGTAACAGAGCATACGTTAATATACCCTCAAACTCCCCTCCTCAAAGGAGACACACCATGAGGACTTGCACCATCTTGCTTTGCCCCTTAATATTTATTGGCCATTGTGCCATAACAATAGGTATAAATCTGTCTCATAATTGTTAACAGTTATGGATGCATCATTATTTAATGGGTCCCCTCCTGACAGGCCTTTAATAAGTTATTAAACGCCATACCTCATCCTCACAGCAGCCTCTTGAGACACACATATTATGCCTATTGTACCAACTAAAATGATTAGAATAGGAATCCTCAATCCTCTATTCTAATTCAATAGGAATTAGAATAGAATCCTCAATTCTATGCTGGCTGCAGCGTACAATCACCCAGGGTGCCAGTGTGCCCGTCAGAGGCTGAGGTTCAGTGACCGACTCTCCCCCAGCCTCTGGCCCCAGCTGCTGTGTGTGCTGCTCAGACCTGTGCAAGGCACCACCAGGCCTTGCAGCAATTCATCCACCCGTTTTTATTTTGTATTAAAATTGTTATTCCTGCCTGCTGCCGCTACCTCCAGGCTATTTCTCAGGACATTAACCTTTATAGTCCTCCTCTACCACTGTTCCTTGGGGTTGAATTTTATTCCACTCAGGAGACCAAGGGACAGAGCCACTGCAGCCACAATAACTGGGCAGTGAACACCCCAGGATCCCGAAGAGCTGCCCATCCCAGCTGAGACTGGTGGCCTTTGGTTCAGTCCTCTGGATTGTGATTTGGACCCAGACATAAATGCAGAGAAAGACACAGAGAACGGTGGAGAGAATGTAGACAGAGGAGAGAGAGAGAGAGATAGAGACAAAGAGCTGTGTCCTCATGTCCAACTGTACAAAGATGGCTTGTAGGAATTTCCCATCAGGTAAACAAATCAATATGAGTCATGTACTAAGACACTGCTATCGATGAAAACAGCTGAGATTATTAGTGCCCACTGAATGCCAAAGAAAACATAGACATCACCTCTGGTTCTCTCTGAAACCCTACAAGGAACTATTGTGAAGAAACTATGACCCAGTGAATTAAGTGCCTTTACTTAAGTGTATCAGTCAGCATAGGCTAGGTTATGCTGCTATAACAAACAATCCCAAAAATCTCAGTGGGGTGAAATAACAGAGACCATAAGATTAGCTCTCACTCAAACTAAATGTCCATCAGGGCTTGACAGTGACTCTGTTCCAGGCCACCTTCTCTAGTGGACAGGTTCCTCCACTGCTGAGACAACCCCATAAGGAAGAAGGACCAATATAGTCCCCAGTGATGTGTTGGTGAATGATTAATAACAGTTCTGTGAGGGTAGACAGTGTCTGTGTGTGTGTGTGTGTGTGTGTGCACGAACACGCATGTGTGTATACATATCTTTATTATAAATTTTACTGATAAAAGATGTATTGTACACAGTTTATAAATAGTAATAAAATATACAAACTCTTTATTGAAAATTGTCTATAGCCAAATGATTCTCACGGAAAGCTTTTGTTGATTTTTATTATACAACTCTGACATCCATAGCCCACCTAGAGTTCCAATGAATGACTCTATAATGTTTTTTTGCTATTCACAATGTAACAGCTACCAATATGACACTTTTCAGTTTAATTTGCTTTTTCTTCTATTGCTTTCTCACGTCTATACAAGAACCCAAACAATTCATAGAGACCTGATTTGTAGTGTTTGCCCATTTTTGGTGGTATAAATGCTTCCGAAATGGCCAATGTCAAGCTTGCACAGTGAGGTCACTGCATGCAGAACAGGGAAAGAAGTGTGTGTTCACACACTGTTATGTAATATTTCCATCTTACAGATACAATGGACATAAATACATTCAAAAACTTAGAGAGTAGTAAAATGCAATAAAACAAGAAGTGGTGGGTTTGGGGTATTTCTTTCCTTTGTTTTTAATAAAATGTGTTTAGCTATAAATTTACATAATTTAATTTTTAATGATGGCTGCAGTTAATCGCTGGCTTAGAAAACTCCTGCATGCCTCTGTTATATTCCCCCAGCTGCTAGAGTTCCCCCATGGCCCTCAGCTGTCAGCCCTCTGTAGGAATTACCCTCGGATGAAGAGCTCCCTCTCACCCAAGATCACCTCCCTTTCTTTCTTTTTCTTTCTTTCTTTCCTTTTTTTTTTTTTTTTTTTTTTTTTTGAGATAGGGTCTTGCTGTATTGTTCAGGCTGGAGTGCAGTGGCACAATCACAGCTCACTGCAGTCTCGAACTCCCAGGCTCAAGTGATCCTCCCAGCTCAGCCTCCCAAGTAACTGGGACTACAGGCTTGCACCACCAGCTAATTTTTTTGTATTTTTTATAGAGATGGGGTTTCGCCCTGTTGCCCAGGCTGGTCTCAAACTCCTGGGCTCAAGCGATTCACCCACCTCAGCCTCCCAAAGTGCTGGAATTACCTCTCCCCTTCCATAGGGGTAGCTCACATCCAGTGAGCTGTTGACATGAGGGTATAAAAGCCCAGATTATTGCTGCAACTTGGGACATGACTGAAGGACCACAAGTCTCAGAGCTCTTTGTGGAGCCCACTCCTCTGTCTGCCCAGTTGGGCTTTCTTCCTCCCACGTGAGTGCAGGTACTGAGAACACAGCCTGGTAAACTTCACACGTTAGTCTCCGTCTAGAGTGTTCTTCCCAAGGAGCCCCCACAACGCTGCCACTCCAGGCTCCAGGCTGATGGAGCAGCTCTGTCTGGAGCAGTTATTCGGTCATTACCAGAGTAGGAAAGAGACCTCTGAAGGAGCTCACTTCTGCTCCATCCTCATTGGTCAGAGCTAGTCATATGATCCTACCCAACCATCCTTCCTAATTCTCCAGAAGTGGGAGAGCCAGTGATATAGTTTGGAAATTTGTCCCTGTCCAAATCTCATGTTGAATTGTAATCCCCGATGCTGGAGGTGGGGCCTGGTGGGAGGCATTTGGATCACGGGGGGCAGATCCCTCATGGCTTGGTGCTGTATTCGTGACAGTGAGTTCTCGTGAGATCTGGTCATAAAAGTGTGTAGCACCCTGGCTTTTTGCTTCTGCTCTCACTGTGTGACGTGCCTGCTGCCCCTTCACCTTCTGCCATGAGTAAAACTCCGAGGCCTCCCTAGAAGCTGAGCAGATGTCAGCATTATGCTTCCTGTACTGCCACAGAACCGTGAGCCAAATAAACCTCTTTTCTTTATAAATTACCCAGCTCTGGGTATTTCTTTGTAGCAATATGAGAATGGACTAATACAGCCAGAATACTCAGCACACACAGCACTCAATAGTGATCACTGCTGCACAATCACACAGCTGGCCAACAACAGCTCTGGGGTGGAATTCCAGGTCTCTGTGACCACAAATCTATGCTCCTCTCCTTACACACCATTTGAGAATTGAGACTCTCACTTGGACTGGTCACAGTGGCACGCACCTATAATCCCAGCTACTTGGGAGGCTGAGGTGGGAGGATCTCCTGAGCCCAGGGTTGGAGATTCCTCACTAGGTCTTGAGAATATGAAGATGAATAATGTTCATTCCCCATCCTGAGCTCCACCCTGAAACACCCACAACACTAAAGCTAATATATAGACTTGTCAGGTCAGAAATCCACAAACTGACTGAATCTTAGTATCCCCAGGATACCCCTAAAAGACCCCTCGTTGGTGTCAAAAAATACACTTCATTCTCCTGTCTCACATACACTGCAGTCATCATTAATCAACTATGACACTTTCTCCTGATGAGCCTGGATGGGGCAAGAATCAGGAGTCACAGCTCCCAACAGACATTAGCAATCAATCAGAGAAAGTGCATAATTTGAAAACTATTTGTCATTTGGAAACCCCTCATTTCATATATGGGAAAATGGAGGCCATAAACCACATGGTAAGTCAGTTTGGCCACGTAGCTGACACTGCAGCAAAGATATATGTGCAGGTAGGGCAAAAGGCAGTCTTCCTTAAACCCCCAGAGTGTTCACTCTTGGGAGGAGGAAAGCCAGCCTCAGCCCAGGAGCTCTCTCCCAAGTAATCCACCTTGATTAGGTGATAATAATATTCATAACAAAAAACAATATTTGCCACTTATAGGGCAACTTCCAGGTGTGAGGCCCAGTGTTAAGTGCCTTAAAGGCACTTGTCACTTCTCCTCCTTAAACCATCCCACTGGGAGGCTAAGGCAGGCAGATCACTTGAGCCCAGGAGTTTCAGACCACCCTGGGCAACATGGCAAAGCTCCATTTCTACAAAAAAATACAAAAATTAGCCAGGTGTCATGGTGCATGCCGGTAGTCCCAGCTACTTGAGAGGCAAAGGCAGGAGGATCCCTGGAGCTGGGGAAGCAGAGGTTGCAGTGAGCCACAGTCGTGCCATTGCACTCCAGCCTGGGCAACAGAATGAGACCCTGTATCAAAAAAAAAAAAAAAAAAAAAAAAAAGACCGGGCACAGTGGCTCACACCTGTAATCCCAGCACTTTGGGAGGCTGAGGTCGGTGGATCACGACGTCAAGAGATTGAGACCATCCTAGCTAACATGGTGAAACCCAGTCTGTACCAAAAATACAAAAAATTAGCCGGGCATGGTGGCAGGCACCTGTAGTCCCAGCTACTTGGGAGGCTGAGACAGGAGAATGGCGTGAACCCGGGAGGCGGAGCTTGCAGTAAGCCAAGATCGCACCACTGCACTCCAGCCTGGGTGACAGAGCTCTCAAAAAAAAAAAAAATTCCCAAGGTGGTTAGTGATAGGTGATATGATGTCTGTCCATTTGAAAGACAGAAAACCAAGACTCAGAGACATAAAATAATTTGCCCAATATCACACAGCCAGCAGTGATGATATTGGTTTCACTGAATAAATGTTTACTATGTGCCAAGTCCTCAACTAAGGGATGCTTTATCTCTTTTAATCCTCACAATAGTCCTATGAATGGGGTGGTATCATTCTCATGCTACAGATAAGAAACTTAAGCCCGGAGACAGTGGCTCATGCCTGTAATCCCAGCACTTTTAAAGGCTGAGACGGGAGGATAACTTGAGGCCAGGAGTTCCAGACCAGTGTGGGCAACATAGTGAGACACCTATCTCCACCAAAAATAAAAAATTAGCTGGGTGTGGTATCACATGCCTATAGTCTCAGTTACTCAAGAGGCTGAGGTGAGAGGATCGCTTGAGCACAGGAGTTCAAGGCTGCAGTAAGCTGTGATCACACCACTGCACTCCAGCTTCAGTGATGGAGTGAGACCCTGTCCCAATAAAAAGAAAAAAGAAACCTGAGACTCAGTGAGGATGTATCCATTGGCCTAAGCTCATTAAAGTGGGATTGGAATCCAGACAGCCTGACTCTACCATTGTCTTAGTTCAGGCTGCTATAACAAATACCATGGACTGGTGACTCAAACAACATTTAGTCCTCACACTTCTGAAACTGAGAAGTTTCAGATCAAGGTCAGTGTCAGCTGTGTGGCCAAATCCAAAACCATGTGCCTACAGATTTGGTGTCCGGTGAGGCTTCTCTTCCTGGTTTGCAGATAGCCACCTTCTTACTGAATTCTGACATGGCAGAGAGATACATCACCTTTCTTATGACTTTTTTTGGAGGCGGAGTCTTGCTCTGTCACCCAGGCTGGAGTGCAGTGGTACAGTCTCAGCTCACTGAACCTCCACCTCCTGGGTTCAAGCAATTCTCCTGCCTCAGCCTCCCAAGCAGCTGGGACTACAGGTGCGCGCCACCATGCCTGGCTAATTTTTGTGTTTTTAGTAGAGACGGGGTTTCACCATGCTGGCCAGGCTGGTCTCAAACTCCTGACCTCAGGATCTGCCTGCCTCGGCCTCCCAAAGTGCTGGGATTACAGGCATGAGCCACGGTGCCCAGCCTGGGCCACCACGCCCAGCCTTATGACTCTTCTTATAAGGTCACTAACCTCATTAATGAGGGCTCCATCTTCATGACCTAATTACCTCCCAAAGGCCCCACCTCCTAATCCCATCACTTTGCGGGTTAGGGCTTCAACATATGAATGGGGTAAGGAGGAACTAACACTCAATCTATAGCAACCATTCATGATCATGACAGTGTCAACCTGAAATAATCAAAAGGATCAAAAACCAGTTTAAAAGCGTTTATTCAAGCACAAAGCTGAGAATGGTCATTTGAGTAACATAGACTCCAAAGAACTGGGTTCAGTGATTCAGGATGAAAAGTTAAGATCTTGCTTATACAGGCAGAAAACAAAGAAATTTAGTAGGATTATAACATTTTCTATACAAGGCTGGTTCATGAGGTACAACAATTGTATTATTTATAGTTTGTTTTCTTTTCCATCCAGCTTGTTTTCTTTTCCTTTCCAATTTAAGAGGCTGTATTTGACAGTCCACTTTAGACAATGATAGCCAAGAGGTCTTTGTGTGATTCCAATCCCACTTTTGTGAGCTTAGGCCAATGGACGCATCCTCACTAAGTCACAAGTTTCTTTTTTCTTCTTACTGAGACAGGGTCCTACTCTGTCACCCAGGCTGGAGTGCAGTGGTGCAATCATAGCTCACTGCAGCCTCAAACTCCCATGCTCAAGCAATCCTCCCACCTCAGCCTTTTGTGTGGCTAGGACTACAGAAAGGGAAGTTTATCTAAAGTGAAGATCAACAGTTAAGAGGGAAAGGGTCTTCTCTGGAGCCCTTTAGTCCTTTACAACATTTACAATACAATATAGGCAGGAGAAAGGCTAATCTAACCAGAGAAACAAAGGTGACAGGTGCCCAAGTTACAGCTGCCTCTCATGTGGTTCAGGCCCTATAATCACATTCCCTTAAGGCTCAAAATGCTTTAAAGTTCCAACAGCTTAGATTTGAATTACTTATTTTCACAACAGTAAATGGTAATAAACAGAGAAGTCAGTATTTGAACTCTCTGTTAGCCTGAAGTCATCAATTACTAATCTCTACTAACCCTTCTGGCAAGGCCTTTGCCCACCTCAGGGTGATGATAAGGAGAGACTTGGAGCTGAACCTGGGAGCCAGAGATCATGCAGGTTTGCAGACCAGGGCAAGACAAGAGCACGGATTGCCCACCCCAAGCAAAAGGCAGACCAGCCAGCAGGAAGCTGTGATCAGGGGATGGAGTGCTCTCATTGACCAGCCTGGATTTCATGCCCATCACGGGGCTACACATCCCCAAGGCCAAGTTCAATGCTTGGCACAGATTAGGCACTCACTGAATACTTGCCTATTATTTCAGTTTACTCTTACTGCATAGTGAACCACCCAAAGCATAGTGGCTTAAAACAACTGTCACTTTATTTAGCTCATGATTCAATAGGTTTGCTGGGCTGGCTCACTGGAGCTGGATGGTCTAAGGTGGTTCACTCACAGGTTAGCAGGCTGGTTCCAGGGGACACACCAGTTGGGCCAGCTTAACTGTGCTCCACAAGGTCTCTTGTCATCCAGCAGGCTATCCCGGGTCTCTTCACATGGAGGTCAAAGGGCAGCAAGAGAGGACCAGCCTCAGTGTGCGAGTGCTTGCCCAGCCTCTGCTGGCAATGCATTTGCTAAGATCCCAGTGACTAAATGTCATCATGTAATCAAGCTGAAATTTCAGATTTGGAGAACTGGACTTCACTTCTCCATGGGAGAGGTGCATTGCACACAACAGGCATAGGAAGCATTTGTGCCATTTTCATTGCAGTCTACCAAAGTGATGGAGTAAATGAGTCAATGAATGAATACAAGGACAGAAAGTGACTCATGAAAAGGTTCTGTGCAAGTTGAGCCCCAGAATTCCATCCAATCTCAGAACCTCTTAGATTCCTCTATCCATGGCAGGAGGCAGAGAAAAGAGCAAAGCCTTCCAATGAGACTCAGTGGCTGGAAAGAGGACTGCAGGAGCTAGGAGCTCACCAATGGTTCCACGTGTTCAACTAAACCTGGGCCTCTTGCAAACTCTCTTCCCCAGGGCCTGGCCCCAACTAAGTGGGAGAGGAAACATGTCAGTGTGGTCAGCTGGTCCCTCTGCCCCGGATCCCTGCTGCCTGTCTCTTGCCCTAGCAACACCTGGCCCAACTGGGAGCATTACTCCAAATCCCCACTATGCCCCCATGTGACGCACAACGCTGGGAAGTGTAATTGCTGTAGTGATTACTTACAGCCATTACATTAAGTTTTAAAATGTTCCCTTCAAATTGAACAATGTTTTTTCAAAGTCAACAGCTGGTTCACAGCTTGAATGCAACCGTTAGGATAAATTAAATAAAAAGGGTAATAAAATCACAGCCTAAATTTAATTTCTGAAGAGTGCATAGGCTCCAAAAAAAATAAGCATTTAAAAATGCCTTTGAAATATAGCCAGAAAAGCAGAAGTTAATTCACTCCCTGATTATGTCAGCTAATGGACACACTGGCACAATTAACTACATAATTGCAGTAGTATAGACAAAGTCCTGAGCTCATGCCCGGGTTCTGCTGTACAGGCCTCGGACCATGGGAAGGACTTACCAGATAGGTGGCTCGTATATGCAGATGTCCCTACAAATAGGCTCAGAAAAGAGCTCCCATCTCTAGAAGCAAAATAACACCAAAGATGATATCCACAGCCTCCATCCCAGCACATCTTCTGGTTGCCTGGAGCTACCTGGAGCCATCTCCCGGACAGGAAGGCAGGGCGGCAAGGGCTTCGTGGCACTGTGTTTGCAAACTTCAGCTACTGAATCCTTTTCACTCAAAGGCAACTTACTTTAGTGATCATCAAAAAAGACCCATCCAGCATTTCTCCCAGGCAACCCTACCTTCCAAGCTTAGGAGTCTGGCAGGACTTGAATCCCACAGCTGTCATTTATTTGCCATGTCACTTTGGACAAGTGATCAGCTCATTTCTCTGCGCCTCAGTCCCCTCCTTTGTAGAAAGGAAACTCATTTGTTCTTTCATACATTCAAGATATATTCAATATATATGTACTGAGCATCTACTCTGAACTAGGCCCTGGCACAGGTAGCCAGGAGATAGCAGCGAAGGCAGAGATCCCTGCCAGAAGGGGAGAAGAGGTGTAGATCCAAGTAGCGGAGATCAACAATGAGCAAGACCAGGACGTACTGTGTATAGAATGGGAGAAGATAATGCTTGCTTGGGGAAAATAAAGTAGGGAAAGAGAATAAGGAGGGAGGGAAGGAGTGTTGTAATTTTAAATAAGGCGTTTGGGGAAAGCCTCACAGAGAAGGGGAGGTTGGAATAATGGCCTGATGAAGTAGGGAAGGAAGCCAGCCACGTGGATATCTGGGTGCAGAGTTCAGGCAAAGGAAAAGTGCAAAGGCCCTGAGGCAGGAGTGCACCAAGAGTAGTCCAGGAACAGCAAGGAAGCCGGGGCGCCAGAAGCACAGAGACTGGTAGAAAGTGAAGTCTGAGGCCAGATGTGGTAGCTCACACCTGTAATCCCAGCACTTTAGGAGGCTGAGGCAGGTGGATCACTTGAGGTCAGGAGTTCAAGACCCACCTAGCCAACATGGTGAAACCCTGTCTCTACTAAAAATACAAAAATTAGCCGGGTGTGGTGGCGCACACTTATAATCCCAACTTTTCAGGAGGTTGAGGCAGAAGAATCACTTGAACCCAGGAGGCGGAGGTTGCAGTGAACCAAGATTGTGCCACTGCACTCCAGCCTGGGAGACAAGAGTGAGACTCCATCTCAAAACAAAAACAAAAACAAAAAAGGAGGTCAGGGAGCTAACAGGAGAATAAGAATAAGATCTAATTCGAAGGGATAATCATGCATCCACTCAACTAGTATTCACTAAGTGCTTAATCCATGTCAGAGAGTTGCTGTGAGGATTAAATCAGATAAAGCGAAAGCACAGGCAGCTCCCAGCATACAGTAAGTGCTCAATACATGTCACCTATTAGAAGAGGACGCCCCTGCACTCTGGGCAGGTGGCAGCATAGACACTGCTCAGGAGAACCTGGGTCCTGGCCCTGCTTTCTTTCCCGGGGTAAGGGTGCAGCCTCACTGCTAGGGAACCTGGTTCCAAAGCCATTAGTGGTCAAAGTTAGTGCCCAGGTTGCTAGGGAAGTTCCTCCACTGTCAGGTTCAAGCATGTAAGGTTTAGGCCACAGCAAGAGCTCTGCTGCTCTCTCGGCTCTGGAAGGGCCATAGCTACAAGGAAAAGGATACAGAAAGCTGACAACCAGGGAGGGAGTCAGGGGAAGTTCATGGCAAATAAACGGACTTTGCTCCTGCTCTGGGGAACCACGCTTGTGCAGCCTTGGCTAAGGAATGGGTCACTTATCAGGGTGTGCATGCATGTGTGTATGTGTGCAGGCGTGTGTGTATGTGTGTAAGTGCGTGTGCACGCTCGTGCATGTAGGCACGTGGTCTCCTGTCTCTAAATCTGTAGCCCACCTGCAATGCTACAATTATCTACTCTTAACGCTCCTTGTTCCCACTCAGCCTGGGCACACGCAATACCCTGGTCGGCCACAAGGGGGCTCTCAGCGTTCCCCTTCCCCCTCCCTCCACCCATTAACGCACTGGGCCGCGGTTTGTGGTGGTGGTACACAAAGGGTTAAAAGCGCCACCTTAGAGGCAGGAGGGTCGCTTGAGGCCAGGACTTCCAGACCAGCCTGGCCAACACAGCAAGTCCCCCATCGCTCCAAAAAAAAATTAAAAATTAGCCGGGCAAACCATTCAAACCATCTCTGATGGGCCAAAACTCGGTGATTGGCACAAGAACCGGTTACAGTCTCTTTACACCTCCGTTTAGGTTACAGTTCACCATGTACGGAGAACCCTTTAGGCCAAACTTAAAATACGTAAGGAGGCAGCTTTAGGCTAAACTTGATTTAACACGTATGAAGGCATGCACAGGAAAAGACCTGGAAATGATGCTCAAAGGGGTTAATAGTGATAGACTCTGGACAGAAGGAAAGGAAGCTATTATTTTCTTAGTTATGTGTTATCCACATTTTCTAATTTTTCTAAACATGTAAAGATAAAATTATATTCTTAAAAATAAATAAGACCTCAGAACAACAAAAAGGAATTAAATAAAGTATAAAATAGAATATAATCAATACGCTGGGTGCGATGGCTCACGCCTGTAATCCCAGCACTTTGGGAGGCTGAGGCAGGTGGATCACTTGAGGCCAAGAGTTTGAGACTAGCCTGGGCAACATGGCAAAACCCCATCTCTACAAAGAAAAAGAATAGAATCAACCACACACACACACACACACACACACACACACACACGCAGATTGTCAGGGAAGTGCTTCTCAATCTTTGTAGCACACATTAATGTCCTGGTCGAATTCAGCAGTTCTGTCATGGGGCCTGGGAGTCTGCATTTCTGACAAGCTCCTGGATGTCAAGGCAGCTGCTCCAAGAATCCCACTCTTTATAGTGGTAAGGCTAGGGGCTTATTGTAATTTCTATCCTAGTGGCTGTCACAATCCCCTTTCTCTTCCTTCTCAGGTCAGATATCTGTCACGTATTGAAGCATCATTTATAAAAAAACAATACTTTGTTGTTGTTTTTTGTGTTTGTTTGTTTGTTTGTTTGTTTTTGAGACAGGGTCTCACTGTCGCCCAGGCTGGAGTGCAGTGGTGCAATCTTGGCTCACTGCAATCTCCACCTTCCAGGTTCAAGTGTTTCTCCTGCCTCAGCCTCCCGAGTAGCTGGGATTACAGGCGTCTGCCACCAGGCCTAGCTAGGTTTTTGTGTGTGTGTGTACTTTTAGTAGAGATGGGGTTTTGCCATGTTGGCCAGGCTGGTTTCAAACTCCTGACCTCAAGTGATCCGCCCACCTCAGCTTCCTAAAGTGCTGGGATTACAGGCAGGAGCCACCATGCCCGGCCATAAAAAACAATATTTAAAATAATTCAAGTATCCATGTATGGGAGACTGGCTACCTGAACCTTGGTATATCTATACAATGGGAGGTGTGCAATAAACGTTTAACAACCAGCTGTCTGAGTGGGAAGCCCTGAGGTAGACAGTTTGCCCATTTCTGTTGTGCAAATACTACCACTGTGGCCTATTTCAAGCCACCTATGTGAAATCAATTGGTTCACAAAATCGCTGAAGGTTTAGCAATCAGTTCTTCGGAGCCAGCACACCATCAGCCAGCTGGTGCCAGCACACCCCACTCTACAGCCATAAATAACATAAACAACAGTGAGGAAGCTGTCTCTGCACTGATATGGAAAGATCTTCACAATACAGTACACTGTAAAGTGGGGGGAAGAAAGCAGATGTAAACCAAAATTAAATTCTAAGGCCCCCTCCGAACCATCTGAATGGACCCCTTCTCTCGGCCAGAGCATTCCAAAACTAACCCAAAAAACTAGTTCAAGGCCGTGATGGAAAGAGGGAGCGAGACACTCCTCGTTATATCCTCCTCCCTTTTGGAATTATGGATAGACAGGCTCTTTAAGTCTGATAAGAAACATTTGTAATCTATTCTCTCTGAAGCCTGCTACCAGGAGGCTGCATCTGCATAACAAAACTTTGGTCTGGGCCAGGCTCGGTGGCTCACACCTGTAATCCCAGCACTTTGGGAGGCCAAGGCGGGTGCATCACAAGGTCAGGAGTTCAAGACCAGCCTGGCCAATATGGTGAAACCCTGTCTCTATTAAAAATACTAAAATTAGCTGGGCATGGTAGTGCGCGCCTGTAGTCCCAGCTACTGGGGAGGCTGAGGCAGAAGAACTGCTTGAACCTGGGAGGCGGAGGTTGTAGTGAGCTGAAATCATTCTGCTGCACTCCAGCCTGGCAACAGAGTGAGACTCCGTCTCAAAAACAAAAAACAAAACAAAAAAAAACTTTGTTCTCTACAACCCCTTATTGTAACCCAGACATTCCTTTCTATTGATAATAACTCTTCAACTAATTGCCAATCAGACTTTGAATCTGCCTATGACTTGGAAGCCCCCACCTCCAGTTGTCCTGTCTTTCCGGATCCAACCAATGTACATCTTATGTGTATTGATTGATGCCTTAAGTCTCCTTAAAATGTATAAAACCAAGTTGTAGTCTAACCACCTTAGGCACCCATTAGGCACATGTTCTCAGGATCTTCTGGGGACTGTGTCATGGGCCATTGGTCACTCATATTTGGCTCAGAATAAATCTCTTTAAATATTTTACAGTTTGACTCTTTTCGTCAACACAGCTTATAGAAGAGTATGTAGGGTTTGCTACCTGTTGTGTAATTAAGGAGGGGGAACATAAATACACACACACACACACACACACACACACACACACACACACACACACACACGGTTGCTTGTATTTGAATAAAAACAAAACAAAACAAAAACTGGAAGGCCAGGTGCAGTGGCTCATGCCTGTAATCCTAGGACTTTGGGAGGCTGAGGTGGGTGTATCACCTGAGGTCAAGAGTTCGAGACCAGCCTGGCCAACATGGTGAAACCTCGTCTCCACTAAAATTACAAAAATTAGCCGGCTGTGGTGGCGGGCGCCTGTAATCCCAGCTACTCAGAAAGCTAAGGCAGGGGAATCACCTGAACCCAGGAGGCAGAGGTTGCAGTGAGCCAAGATCACACCATTGCATTCAGGGCTGAACAACGAGCAAAAACTCTGTCAAAAAATAAAACAAAACAAAACAAAAAAAACACTGGAAGAAGATACAGCAAAGTACTAAATGTGACCATCTACGAGCAGAAGGAGAACACAATGGACAGAGAGATGACATAGATTAGTGCTTTTTGGAAATATCTTTTTATGTTATTTTGATTTTCGAGCGATGTAAATATAGCACAGCATCTATTCCAAAAATCAAATTAGGAAAGAAAACACATAAAATGCAATCCAGTGACCTTGACATTCTTATTGGAGCCACAGGCAGGAACTGCTCTAGAACTCCTGAGGTGCAAGCCGTCCCATTTCTTTACATTTCTGAATCAAGTCATTCCTCCATTAGTTAGTGTATTCGTCTGTTCTCATGCTGTTGATAAAGACATACCCAAGACTGAGTAATGTATAAAGAAAAAGAGATTTAATGGACTCACAGTTTCACATAGTTAGGGAGGCCTCACAATCATGGCAGAAGGCAAAAGGCACTTCTTCCACGGCAGCAGACAAGACAGAATGAGAGCCAAGCAAAAGAGCCAAGCAAAACCATCAGATCTCATGAGACTTATTCACCACTACGAGAGCGGTAGCGGGGGATCCACCCCCATAATTCAATTACCTCCCACCAGTCCGTCCCATGACACATGGGAATTATGGAAGCTACAATTCAAGATGAGATTTGGGTGGGGACACAGCCAAACCGTATCAGTTAGCCTAGACAATGAGTTCAACAATGGTCAATTTCCAGAGTCCTCCTCTCTCTGTGGATCTTACAAGCATCTCAGGATTTGGTTCAAATTAAAAAGGATTCAGTCTTCAGTTTGTGTGGTCACCATCCTCACAGTCTCTGTTGAGGCCAAAGGGCACAGGGCCAAGAATAGACATTATAGCTTACTGCCTAAATTCAAACGCTGGCTCTGCCGTTCACCGGCTGAGTGACCTTGGGCAAGTCGCTGAACTTCTCTGTGCTCCCAGTTTCCTCATTTGTAAAATGGGGGTAATAGCATAACAAGACCTATGAGTTAGTGTATTTAAGACAGTGAGACTAGGGCCTGGCGCTTAGTGAGTGATTATCATATTTGCTACAGATATTGTCACCCTGATTGATGCACAATACCTCTCTTAAAAATCACCCTTTGAGATGGATGATATACGCCCCTCAAAGGTCCTCTCCACTGGCACAACCCTGTTTCAGGCACCGTGAACAATATTCCCAAGGCTTCAGGACTGAAAGTTCAGCTTGCACAGCCCTCACAGAGCCACTCCCACCTGAGACCTGCCACCTTGAAGGGCCCTTTGCAACAAAGCCCATCCACATCCCCATTCCCTCTGCCTCTGCTTCCCAGACAAGCCAGCTAATTCTCCTGCACCTTGTAGCCGCAAACACCCAGTGTTCTTATCACCCACATCAGAGTCTCCTAAAGTGTCCATTAAAAATGCAGAGTCCTGGGTCCACCTCAACTTCTAGGGGGCAGGAGCCCAGCCAGTTCCTTGGGTTATTAATATGCATACTGGGATTTAAAAACCACTGAGTTTGGAGCAGGGTCCTAGGGAAATGGAAGGAAAGATTTCTCTCGCTTCTTTCTGATAAACCAAAAGCAGTGAGAAAAAAAGGGGGGGGAAGACCAATTAATTTTCAATAATTCAGTTTCCCGCAATAACTTTGAATCAGTTTAAATGTCATTAAAGTAAATTGTTCCTCAACATGTATTAAGCTACTTTTAATGTCAAATGATGATGACCACCCTCACCACTAATTGCAGCCCCCACCACAAATTTGGGAGGCCAGTACTACGGTGTGAGCTTTTTAACCTTCAGAAACTTTCTTGCCCACTCAACCTTGTCGAGAATCCTAAAACAGTGCATCTCATTTTATGCAAATTTGCATTGTGTGACTTAGATACGAGGCAATTTAAAAATATTAATAAAGACATGCCGTATGCTCCAATTTTGAAATAATGCACGTCTTGCTTTACATGCATCCCTCTGGGAAATTTAGTCTTAAATAATGCATAGCTTCAGGAATGAATCCCTTGCATAAATCTGATAAAAGCTGATCTATTCAATGGAGAGAGGTGGAAGGGGCACCAGCTAACCATGTCTTCCCCCTCCCTCTGCTGCCCTGGAATCTTCTGCAGGAATCTATGGCCTCAGTAAGAATTGGGTGTTTTGTTTGTTTCTTTGTTTTAGAGACAGGGTCTCACTCTGTTGCCCAGGCTCTGGAGTACAGTGGTGGGATCATAGCTCACTGCTTCCCTGAACTCCTGGATTCAAGTGATCCTCCTGCCTCAGCTTCCTGAGTAGATGGGACTACAGGCACACGCCACCATGCCCAGCTAATTTTTTATAGAGACGGGGTCTCACTATGTTGCCCAGGCTGGTCTTGAACTCCTGACCTCAAGCAATCCTCCTACCTCAGCCTCCCAAAGTGCTGGGATTACAGATGTGAGCCACCATGCCTGGCATTCATTTAGGGTTTTTTTGTTTGTTTGTTTTGTCTTTTTGAGACGGATTCTCACTCTGTCGCCCAGGCTAGAGTGCAATGGCATGATCTCAGCTCACTGCAACCTCTGCCTCCCAGGTTCGAGCGATTCTCCAGCTTCAGCCTCCCAAGTAGCTGGGAGTACAGGTGCGTGCCACTGTGTCTGGCTAATTTTTTTGTATTTTTAGTAGACACGGGTTTTCACCATGTTGGCCAGGCTGCACTCAAACTCCTGACCTCAGGTGATCCACCCCCCTCGGCCTCCCAAAGCGCTGGGATTACAGGCATGAACCACTATGCCCAGTCAATTTAGTTTTTTAGGTAAGATTTCTTGAACTGGTCACTCTGCTAAGACCTGTACATCTATTTTCTCTATACAAATCTGTTAGGTGCCTACTGTTAGGTACTCACACTGGAATGTGAATATGTCATGGTAAGATGAACAGGATCCTCCCCTCATGGGGCTTACACACTGATCTAGTTGCCCCAACAACCTGAGAATATAGTATGATTACTGTTCCTATTTCAACATGAGGAAACTGAGGCTCAGGCTGAGATTACACAACCAGTAAGTTGTGCAGAAGCCAGATACGAACCTAGGAAGTCTGATTCCAAAGCTTAACAACGGCTCCATATACTGGCTGACCAGAAGGATGTTTGGGAATCCCAGATCCTGGACGAGTATCGTCCCCTCTCCTTGAAGCATCCCTCTGTGCAGCTCTGCAAATGTGATCCCATTTCTGGTAATGCACTGGGAGAGGAGAGCAATGCTCACATCTCATTGGTCAGATCTGTGTCACATGACCACCATCCCTGCAAGGGAGCTTGGGAAGGTACTTGCTGAGTACCCATTTGACTGTCTTCCATGACTCTGCAAAAACAAACAAACAAACAAACAAAAACATATACAGGTTGAACAGCCTTTATCTGACATGCTTAGAACCAGAAGTATTTCAGATTTTTTCAGATTTTGGAATATTTACAAATATATAATGAGATATCTTGGGGCTGGGACCCAAGCCTAAACAGGAAATTCATGTATGTTTCATACACACCTTGTACACATAGCCTGAAGGTAATTTTATATAGTATTTTAAATAATTTTATGCAGGAAACAAAGCTCAGACTGTGTTTTGACTGTGACCAGTCGCATGAGGTCAGGTCTGGAATTTTCCACATGTGCCATCATGTCAGCGCTCAAAAAGTTTTAGGTTTTGGAGTATTTTGGATCTTGACTTTTTGGATTAGGGGTGTTCACCCTGTGAACTGGGTATATCATAAGGGGCTGGGCACAGTGGCTCACACCTCTAATCCCAGCACTTTGGGAGGCCAAGGCAGGAGGATCTCTTGAGCCCAGGAATTCAAGACCAGTGTGGGCAACATAGAGAGACCTTATCTCTACAAAAAATAAAAAAATTAGTCAAGTGCTGTGGCTCATGCCCATCATCACAGTATTTGGGGAGACTAAAGCTAGAGACTCACTGAAACCCAGGAGATCAAGGCTGCAGTGACCCGTGATCATGCCAGCGCACTCCAGCCTGGGCAACAGAGCAAGACACTGTCTCAAAAAAATTAATTTAAAATAAAATAAAAATTAAATTTAAATTTAAAAATCAAAAATTACAAAATTAATATTGGAAGGAAGAAATGAATATTGGGTAGGTAATTTCAAGTGTCTGCCACAGAAAGAATGCTGGAGGAGGAGTCTTGAAGAATGAGTGGGAAGAAGTTGAACAAGAGTGTGGGAAAAGCCAAAGGGTCAGCACAGTTAAAATTCCAGGAATAGAAGGTGTGTGTTGACTTTGGAGACTCAGAGAAGAAAGTGGAGTGACTGAGAGCTGCAGGCAGACATCAGGATGGAAGCCAAGGCTCCTGGGCACCTGCCAGGAGGAAACATCACCAGACCCTCCCATTCCCAGCAGGCAGGTCCCCAGATAGGTAAGAGGGAAGGGTCAGTGCTTCTCACTGCACATGCATGGACTTTGCATATGCAAAACTGGCCCCATTTTCCAACAATCTGGATGCCCATAGAACTGAAGCTTAATAAACTGACATTTGTATAATAAGATGTGTCTGGGCCGGGCATGGTGGCTCATGCCTGTAATCTCAGCACTTTGGGAGGCCAAGGCAGGTGGATCACCTGAGGTCAGGAGTTTGAGACCAGCCTGGCCAACATGATGAAACCCCATCTCTACAAAAAATACAAAAAATTAGCCAAACATGGTGGCAGGTGCCTGTAATCCCAGCTACTTGGGAGGCTGAGGCAGGAGATTCTTTTGAACCCAGGAAGCGAAGGTGGTGGTGAGCCGAGATCGTGCCATTGCACTCCAGCCTGGGCAACAGATGGAAACACTGTCTCAAAAAAAAAAAAAAAAATGCCTGCTGCCTGTTGACCAGCTTCTCTTCCTTATCCCACTTGTTTTTCTTCCCCACTATATAAACCCCTAACTTTAGTTGGAGGGGAGAGATGGACTTGAGGTTTGTCTCCCTCTCTCCAGCTGACATCGCCTGTAATATGTAATATAAATAATATATGATAAATATAATAGTATAAACATTGAATATAATAAAGCCTTCTTCCATGGCAATACTTGTTGTCTCAGTGATTGGCTTTCTGTGCAGCAGACAATGAGACCTAGAACAAAACCGTAGTATTGAGTAACATATGGATGAGCCACCCCCACACTGATGTGTTGAGCTCCCCATGGGTTAAGCCTCTTATTCAAAAGGGCATGGCATTTCTTCCTCAGAGTAGCCTGTATTCTATGAAACATTATGTTTCACTTTGTTTCTACAAAACTGACCCAAAGATTTTCTTGTTCTTCTTGCTTTGAATTCTGCAGCTATTTACAGCTCTGTACGCTACTGTGGATAAAGCAAAATGGCAAGTTGCACTGGGATCCTGGTGTTTGAGGAGAGTGGAGCATCCCTGCTGCATGCCTGGGAAACAGCAGATGTTGAGTAAATGATCATCACACCTGGGGTGGGCTCCCGGGCCTACTTGCCTTGTTCTCAGTAGTGACTTGGATTTCCCTGCTTTTAAAAGAATCTTTGGCCTCAAGAGTCCTATTTTTCCACCATCAGTATTTAGGAGATTACCCAAAGGGTACCTGCATGTACTCACAAAGTGAAAAGTGAGCCCCCTGGGATCAGCTGCTACCTCACCAGGTACCCCCCATCACCCCATACCTCCCGACATCACTGCTGTGTGGTGCTCTGCAGCAGGGAAGGGAAGTAGGGGAGGAAAACCATTTGTTTGTTTGTTTGTTTTTCTTTTTTAGAGATAGAGTCTTCCCACTGCAATCATAGCCCACTGCAGCCTTGAACTCCTGGGCTCACTTGATCCTCCTGCCTCAGCCTCCCTGAGTAGCAAGGACTACAGGCGTGTGACACCACACCTAACTAATTTTTTTATGTTTTTAGAGACAGGGTCTCTCTGTGTTGCCCAGGCTGATCCTGAACTCCTGGCCTCACATGATCCTCCCACCTCAGCCTCCTGCATAACTGGGATTTGAGGTATGAGCCACTGCACCCAGCCAGATTTTTTAAAATGTACTATGTCACAGTGGCCTCATATCAGAGCCACTTGGGCCCCATGTGTTCCAGTGTTTGCTGAAACTGCTCTTTCTGTCTTTAATTTCAGCTCTCTCCAACCCTGGAATGAGACAGCCTCCCACAGGGTGGAGCTGCCAGAAAGAGCTGAGTAGCCTCTTTGGCTTTAACTATAGAAATTTTCTTGATTATGGTAGACCCTTGGGGATATCTGTTCCAGCTCAGGATCAATTCTCCTTCCCTGGAAACTGCCAATGGGAGGGACCTTATCAGAAATATTTGCACTGTGTAATTCTACTCCCTGGACACAGTGATTAGACCAGGCATGGCCAACTGACCCAAATTGAGCCAACCAGATTTATTTCTCATAAGAATTTAGTGCTGAGGCCAAGATAAACGGGGCTAATTTCTGTAATGGTTGAAGCTTGTAGCCTTGGGGGCTGTGAAATATGGCCTCCATATGAACAGAAAATCTGAGAAAGTGTATCTGTGTGGATGGACAGAGAGAAACAGAGATGAGATGTAGAAAGCCAGACACAGTGGCATGCACCTGTAGTCACAGCTACTCAGGAGGCTGAAGCAAAAAGATTCCTTGAGCCCAAGAATTCAAGACCAGACTGGGCAACATAGCAAAAGCTGTCCCTCAAAAAAGAAAAAGAAATCTTGTGCTTCTTTTTTAAATTTATTTTCAACCTAAGAAAGATGAATGAAGAAACAGCAACAACCACAACCCCAAAAAAAGAGAGAGAAATGGCATGCTGATACCTTTCCACTTCCCAGCTCCAGGCCTTTCTTAAGACTTAGGGATATTCCTGCCTTAACTTTCGTGAGACACCTCCATATCCTAGTCAGAGTCGTTGGTTGCCAGCAACAGACTCCACTATGGCGGCTTTAGGTCACAAAGGCATTCATCAAAGGACATTCATCAAGTCTCCAGAAGAACCAGAGAATCAAGCTTGGACCCCACAAAGCCAGAAGTCCCCAAATTACACTGCAAGAATACTGCAACCAGGCCCCTACAGCTATCCTGCCCACTGCTAGTGCCAGGCCCCTCCTCACGCTGTTCCTGAGAACTGGGTCCTGTACTCCTGCTGCAAGGAAAGCTACAAAGCAGCACTCCTGACTTCTGACATGGAGAGGCAGAGCTCCTAAATAAAGAGACTTCTCATAGCTATTCAAAAGAAACCACACTGGCCAGAAGCAGCAATGCATGCCTATAGTCCCAGCTACTCGGGCAGCTGAGGCAGGAGGATCGCTAGAGCCCAGGAGTTCAAGTCTAGCCTGGGCAACATAGCAAGATCCCATTTCAAAAAAAAAAAGGAAGAAAGAAAAAAAGAAACAACATAACCACATTGCATTACAAATGTCTGCAACATCATTGTGGTAACTTCTGGCTGCAACAGAGTCTTATGATAAAACTCTGTGCCCCAGCTCTGATCACTGGAACAAGCTGGATAGGTCCATTTTCTTGCCAGGGTGAGACCAAGGAGGTGCCCAGAATGGAAAATTTAAGGAGGCCCTCACTCTCAGGCTCGTGAAAGTGCAGGGTCAGCTCCTGAGAGTGGGGTCTCCTTAAATGTTGTGCCCTGAATGCCTCACTTGCCTTATCCTCCTCCAGGCCCTGCTTCTTGCTGCTCCTAAAGGCCTTTGCTTTCTGGATATTTCTCAGTCCTCCTGCAAACGCAGATGGTAGGCCCACACCTACTAGTGTTCTGGGGATATCCCAACATGCCCATGTCCACTTAGAATCCACTGGAATTTCTGACACATTTGTTTGATGCACTAATTAGTTAATAATGGGCCAGACACAGTGGCTCACACCTGTAATCCCAGCACTTTGGGAGGCTGAGGCGGGAAGATCACTTAAGCCCAGGAGTTGGAGACAAACCTGGACAACATAGTGAGACCCGCATTGCTACCAAAAAGAATTTTTTAATTACCTGGGCATAGTAACTTGTAACCTTGGGAGCTCTGAAACATGGTCCCCACATGAACAGAAAATCTGAGAAAGCATATCTGTGTGGGTGGACAGAGAGAAACAGAGATAAGAGGTAGTAATGTGGGCAAGATGGCACATGCCTGTAGTCCCAGCTATTCAGGAGGCTGAGGTGGGAGGATCACTTGAGCCCAGGAGGTTGAGGCTACAGTGAGCTAAGATTGCACCACTGCACTCCAGCCTGGGTAACAGAGCAAGACCGTGTCTCTAAAAAAGATAAAAACAAAATAAAATAAAAAATTAACAATGTTAACAGAAAACACTTCTTGCACACTTACCTTGTGCCAAGCACGCAGGTGTTTCATCAACACCACAGCTCTAGGCAGTATTCACTACCATTATCTCTGTTTTCCACCTTCTGAGGCACAGACAGGTGAAGGGGCTTGCCAAGATCACACAGCAAGGAACAGAACCAGGATTTGGACCCAAATCTCCCCACTGCCCCTATGAAGCCCCTTCAAGGAAAGCAGCTGCCTGTCTTTGAAAGCCAAGGAAACAGTGGAAATGACAAGTGTTAACCCACTCGTGGCATGTTAGAATGACTGTGGAGCTATTGAATCCTCGGCCCTTAAATCCGCTAATTACAGTTACAATCAATGGCATTAGTGTAAGGGCTCATTCTATTACCAAGACGGTGACGCCGGAGCCCACCAAGCCCACCCACTCCACCAACCACAGGCTCTTGAAATGAGCTGAAATCTGCCTGCTTCTGACCGGTCATCTGGGGCCAGATTCAAGCCTCCAGGCTCAGCCTCTCTTTCCTCTCTGTGGCCTGGCCGGGAGGACAGGTTGTTTTCTTCAGAATCGCCACCCAGACCCAAAAGACAACGGGTTTCCAGAGGCCCCGCACAGCCTTGGCGATGGGAAGCAGATTTTTGCCATTTTCTTCTTTTAGCCAAGGGACATTTAATTAAGGCTCACAAAACCCGCCTAACATATGATCATAATTATATCAGCATATTGGGGCTGGGAAGCTTTAAAGCCCAGTTACAAGTTGGTCAAAGACAGGCATGCAGAGGCCTGGAGAGGGATGGGAGAGAGGGGAAAATGTACTCTCTGGTGACACCAAACCAAAACCAGTAAGGGAACGGTGAGTGGGATTTGCCTGTGGGATAAGGGAAGGGGAAAGGCAAAAGCTGGGCTCTGGGGCGTGTTTTGATATTGGAGAAACTCACACGTTTTACAGGATGCACTTCTGCTCAAAGCAACTGTTTAGGCAGGGAATGGTGGTGAATAAGGCATGAATGAGAGAGCCCAGTAATCGCTGATGATAGCAATGACGGAAAACACAAATCACAGTCCCTTTCATCAGCATGTTTTCATCTTTGGCATTTAACACTAGCCTAAAGCCCAGGAGAGACTCAGAAAGTGTTCGTGACTTGTGCAGGGTTGTATTGGTGCTGGTGAAAATATTGGTGATGGCGGCCAGGAACCATGGCACACACCTGTAATCCCAGCACTTTGGGAGGCCGAGGCGGGGAGCATCGCTTGAGGCCAGGAATTCGAGACCAGCCTGGGCAACATAGAGAGACCCCATCTCTACAAAAAAAAGTTTTTTAATTAGCTGGGGGAGTGTATATTCGGGGCAACTTGAATGTATGCTCCCAGGTTACAAAAATTAAAAAAAAATAAAAATTAGCCATGCATGGTCATCACACATGCCTGTTGCCTGGGTGTTTGAGGTTCTAGTAAGCTATGATCGTGCCACTGCACTCCAGCCTGGGCGACAGAGCAAGAACCTCTACCTTAAAAAAAGATAAAAAAGATAGTTGGGGGGACAACAGTGATGGCAAGCACAGTGGAATGATCGTGACAGGGCTGGGGGTGGTGAATGAAGTCGATCACTGAATGGTGATGTGAATGGTGATGTGAACAGGCTCATAGAGTCGGGTGGTGATGCTGACAGTGCAGGTGGAGATAGTGGCAGCAGAGAGGCAGTCATGGCAGGGGGATGGAAGGGTTGATGATGCTGATAGCGGTGGTGATGAGGGTGTCAGGAAGACGGTAGACATGGTGACATTGACAGTTTGGTGATGGCTCGGTGGTGGTGGTAGTGCCCAGGGTGATGGTTATTGTCATGGTCATAATAAAGGACGGTGGGCTGGTGATGGGCTGGTGGTGACATAATATGAAGAGGACAGTGGTGCATAGCGGCCCATGCTGAATGAGGATGGTGATAATAGGGTGGTGGTGATAGGGATGGTGACAATGGTAGGGGAAGAAAGATGAAGGAGGATGGAGAAGGGAGGGAGGGAAGAAGGATCCTGGAGCATCGGCGTCATCAGGCTATGGACAAGAGCTTAGTTCCATTTCTTACCCTTTGGTCACTAGAAGTCAAAAAGCTCATTGTCTGCCAGGACAGGGACCCTTCCCCTGCCACCACTTCGGCTGAAATGCACAATCCTGCCCTGCAACAACACCCTTCCTGGTGGGAAGATTGGCACAGACCGGGTTTCATGAATGCATACACACCCTCCCTCTCGCTATTGTCTAAACCATCAATTAAGTTCCCCGGGGAGTAAAGACAGCAGTACCGTGTGGTAGTTAAGAATCTGGGCTCTGGAGTCCTCTTCGATTTAAATTCTCAATTGTGCTGTGTGACCTTGGATGAGTTGCTTAACCTCTCTGAGCCTCAGTTCATATGTATAATGAAGCTCATAACAGCACCTGCCACCCAGGATTGTAGTGAGAAGGATGGGAGACGATGCTGCAAAACACGTGGCCCATCAGGAGTCATGGCTCAGTGCCCCATGGGGAGTCAATGATGTTGGTTACCATTGTTATCATCTACCACTGCTTTTGGAAAAGCAGGAGGGAGGCTGGGTGCGGTGGCTCATGCCTGTACTCCCAGCACTTTGGGACACTGAGATGGGTGGATCACCTGAGGTCAGGAGTTCGAGACCAGCCTGACCAATATGGTGAAACCCCATCTCTACTACAAATACAAAAATTAGCCGGGCATGGTGGCATGTGCCTGTAATCCCAGCTACTCTCTACTCAGGAAGCTGAGGTAGGAGAATCACTTGAACTCGGGAGGCAGAAGTTTCAGTGAGCTGAGATCATGCCACTGCACTCCAGCCTGGGCAACAGAGCGAGACTGTCTCAAAAAGAAAGGGAAGGGGAGGGGAGGGGAGGGGAGGGGAGGGAAGGGAAGGGAAGGGACGGGATGGGAAGGGAAGGGAAGGGGATACAATAGAATCTGATCTCCAGGATTCTGGGAGATGAGGGAGTTGGCATCAAAAGTCCCCTTTTCCCAGACTCTGCAAGCTCTTCAGTGCCATCTGTCTGTGCAAACACACTCAGCAGGTCACAAGAGGCAGGCTGCTTGCACAGCAGCCGCTGCAGAAGTTAGGCCGGAACCCCATCACAACGGGCATCAATGAGTCAAGCTGGTTTGCCTCTGGCTGGAAACAGTAGGGACAGGCTCTCCACTAGAGCAGTCTGGTGGTGTAATTTAAGTGCCCCGCTTGCATACATAGTCTCCAAATCTGATCATAGCCCTCTGGAAGTTCTGTGATCTATTGAATCATGTCGTATTCTTCCTGTACTTAAGCTTGCTGGTGTGGTTTCTGTGGTTTGCAACAAAGAATCTTGAGTGATAAAGCTGAGTTCTAGCCTGACTGATAAAGCTGAGTTCTGGCCAGGCATGGTGGCTCATGCCTGTAATCTCAGCATTTGGGAAGTCTAAGGCAGGAGGTATTGCTTGAGGCCAGTAGTTCAAGACCAGGCTGGGCAACATAGCAAGATTCTGTCTCCACAAATAAAAAAAACACAAAAATTGGCCAGGCACGGTGGTGCATGCCAGTAGTCCCAGCGACTTGGGAAGCAGAGGTGGGAAGATCACTTGAGCCTAGGAGAGCAAGGCTGTGGTGAGCTATGATCACACCACTGCGCTCCAGCCTGGGCAACAGAGTGAGATTTTGTCCACCCCAACCAAAAAAAAAAAAAAAGGCTGAGTTCTAGGGCTTCTAGTCTGTCTCCCTTGATCAGAAACTGTCCTTGTTCAAGCTGCAGTTTCATTTAGCCCTAAACCCTCTGCAAGGGGGTGGCACTGTCTGGAGAGCCTTGGTAGGCCAAGCCCCAGAGGACTGGGCAGTAGTTACTGCTTCATTCATTTTCAATCAACCAAAATGTATGGAAAGCCTGTTACGCTTCAAGTACCCCACAGTCCACTGGAAAAGTGTCACTATGGCATTCGTGTATGGTGCATGCTGTGACAGGAGCCACAGAAAGAATAGTGATAATGTGATAATGTCACCTGACACTTATTTAGTTCCTCCCATGTAATTCTAAGTACATTTGACTCTTAAACAATGCAGGTGTTGGGACACAAAATCCCCACACAGTTGAAGTCTTAGTATAACTTTTTTTCCCCAGAAATGGTGTCTCACTCTATCACCGAGGCTGGAGTGCAGTGGCACAATCCCAGCTTACTACAGCCTCCAATTCCTGGGCTCAAGGAATCCTCTAGTCTCAGCCTCCCAAGTAGCTGGAATTACAGGCTGATACCACCAACCCCGGCTAATTCTTTTTACTTTTTGTAGAGACAGGGTCTCACTTAGTTGTCCAGGTCAGTCTCAAACTCCTAGGCTCACGCACTCCTCCTACCTCAGCCTCCCAAAGTGCTGGGATTACAGCTATGAGCCACCACACCCAGCCTCAACTGTACTTTAATTCACTTAATTTCCACTATACTTAATTCCCACTTCATTATGAGATAAACAATATTATTATTCTCATTTTACAGATGAGGAAATTGAGGCAGAGGGAGGTTAAGCTACTTTCCCAAAGTCTCATGGCTTATTTGTGATAGGCCAAGATTGAGGCCAAGCAGTCTAACTGGGTTCAGCTCTTAACCACTCAAGTATACTGTTTCTCTAAGGCTATTTAGTGGCACGTAATAGAGGCACCTAACCTGGTCTTGGGGGACAGAGGAGCAAGGGAAGTTTGCCTGGAAGCACTGTTGTCTACCTTAAGGCCTAAAAGATCAGTAAGAGACAATGAGGTGAAGAGATGGGAAAAGAATGATCTTGGCAGAGGGAACAGGATGTACAAAGGCCTGGAGGTGAGAGAAAGCTACAGCTAGCACCACTCATTTTTCTGAGCTGTTTCAAATATGAAAGTTTATGGAGAGTATAAAAATATAAGCTGGGTATGGTGACATGCACCTGTAGTTCCAACTACTCAGAAGGCTAAGGCTGGGAGATCGCCTGAGCCCAGGAGTTCAAGGTCAGCCTGGGCAACGTAGTGAGACCTCATCTCAAAAAAAAAAAAAAAAGAAAGAAAGAAAGAAAGAAAAAAGAAAAAGAAAAATATAGATCACAAGGGAAGCTGTCTTTTCTTTTTTGCTTACTATGTGTGTATTAGTCAGGATAAGTAATACTAGCTGCTGTAACAAACAAACTTACTATGTGCATATTAGTGAGGATAAGTAATACTAGCTGCTGTAACAAACAAATCACAAAATGTCAAAGATTTACGTGCTAACTGTTGATTTCTCCCTTATGAAGAGTCCCACGTGGAGATTCCCAGCAGCCATCCATGTTGAGCTTCCGATGCTGCTACTCACAAACCAGGCTCCTTCTATCTGTGGATCTGCCATCTTTGAGGGCAAGCATCAGCAAACTGTTCTATAAAGAGCCAGATAATAGAAGTTTTTGCCTTTGTAGGTCACAGGGTCTCTGACACAGTGAGTGTACTCTGCCCTTACGGCACAAATGCACCAACAGGGAATACACAAATGAATGGATGTGGCTGTGTTCCAGTAGAACTTTACTTATGAAATCAGACCACAGGCAGAATCTAGCTCATGCACCATAGTGTGCCAACCCTGTCTTGGGTATTAGAGTCTTCTGCCGAATCCTCACATCCAGCCAGCAGTCAGGGGAAGAGTAGAAGGGGACTCGTGGGGAAGGTTTCAGTAGATCAAGTCTGGAAGTAATGACATTACTCACGCCTGCATTCTGCTGGCCAGAACTTGGTCACATAGCCACATATGACAGCAACGTGGGCTGGAAAATATAGATTATGTACCCAGGAGGAAAAGGAAAGGGACTTTGGTGAATGCACAGGAGTCCCTGCCATGCACACTTTATGTATTAATACATCCTCTCACTCACTAAGAGATAGGAAGGAAGAAGTTATAAGTGGCCCCATTATACAGGTGAGCATATTGAGGCTTGAGGAGGCCTAGAGACTAGCTGGGGTCACAGAGTCAGTGGAAATGTCTGTCTATAATTAACCTCCACAAGCAGAGTCTTGAGGGTGAAGATAAAAAGGCACGTAACTCGGGCTGGGCACAGTGGCTCACCCCTGTAATCCCAGCACTTTGAGAGGCCGAGGCAGGTGGATCACGAGGTCAGGAGTTCAAGACCAGCCTGGCCAATATGGTGAAACCCTGTCTCTACTAAAAATACAAAAATTAGCTGGGCATGGTGGTGCGTGCCTGCAGTCCCAGGTACTTGGGAGGCTGGGGCAGAAGAATCACTTGAACCTGGGAGTCAGAGGCTGCAGTGAGCCGAGATCACACCACTGTACCCCAGCCTGGCTGACAGTGACAAAGCAAGGCTCTGTCTCAAAAAAAAAAAAAAAAATGGCAAGTAACTCAATCTTAGGGGAGGGGAACTCCACAAAGGACCATGAGTTTGGGCTAAAACCTGCCTAAGCCACAAACCTAGGTGCTGTGCTGATTTTTCCCTGTCCCTCACCTAATACAGCTTGTAAATCCAGGCAAGAGGGTCCCCACACCTTGGAGGACACTGGGCGGCTCCCCCCAGACCCCCACATCCTAGCACAGAACCCAGGGAAGTCAGAAAAGACCTGATGCAAACCTGGCCTTTCAGGTCACTATGAAGAGAGATTTCTCAGGGCAGGAGGACAGAACGGATTTCATGTCATAGTGTTGTTAGCTTGATATATAACTTGTAAATATTGCACACAGGGTATGTGAACCTCCATTTACACACAAGCCTCAACCTGCCAAGAGTGGGGTTGAGGGTTGCTCTTGGTGCCCCCAGGCACAAGGCAGTGACCCTGAAGCCAGACCACCTGGATCTGAACCTCAGCTCTGCCACTGCCCAGCTGTGGGCTCTCGAGTAATTTACTTAGCCCTTTTGTCTCAGTTTCCCCATGTTAAAATGGAGATAATAACAGTTCTAACCTCATAGGGTTGTGGTGGGGATTTAACTGAGTTAAAATTTGAAAAGCGACCCGGCATGGTGGCTCATGCCTGTAATCGCAGCACTTTGGGAGGCCAAGGTGAGAGAATCACTTGAGCTTAGGAGTTCAAGACCAGCCTGGGCAACACGGCAAGACCCCTGTCTCTATAAAATATTAAAAAATTAGCCAGGTGGTGGCGCACCCTGTAGTCCCAGCTACTAGGAGGCTGAGGATGGAGGATTGCTTGAGCCCAGGAGTTTCTTCAATCTGGCAGACAGAGCAAGACCTTGTCCTAACAAAATAATAATAATTTGAAAAGCACTTAGAATTGTGCCTGGCATGAGTAAAGGTTCTGTTAAATAAATAAATTGCCCCCTGCCCAGCCCGCTGCTGCAGATCCCAGCCTCTCCGTTCATCTGGAGGGCAACATCAAGTGAGTAACCAATGTCATCAGCTTGTGGCATTTCTTCTCTCTCTGAAAGTCATAGCCCTGAGGTGGCAGTTACTGTCTCTTGCTGGTCCTGCAAAGCAACCTGTTCAAATGCCAACTGCCACATGTCACCTTAGCTGGCAGAAGTTGTTCCACCTGGTAATAGCCCAGAAATTATGATGCTTTGCTGTTCTACACGAAAGTACAGGCTGGGGCTATTTGTAAGCTTTGGCACCTGCCACTCTAGGCAAAGCAGATGGCAGAGATAAAAATCCAGGGCCAGGCAGGCTGATAAAGAGCTGGCCTTCATTACACAGGATGCGGTTGAAATGCATCAGCTCTTTCCTGCCTGCAGACGGATCCACCTGCCCTCCCGCGCCTGGCTGAGGAGGGGCGCAACGGATGGAGTATATTATCTCTTCTGTCTCATTCAGCTTCTGGTGAATGGAAAGAGATGGGCAGGAGGCGACCCAGGAAGGGGCTCAAGGTCAACCTCAGCCTCAGTCCAACCCTAAAATCCTCCCCCAGATTCCAGACCCTGGACCCCATCACTCCTCAAGTAAGGAGGAGATATTAATTGGTCCATTCTGGTTGAAGGTCAATGTCATAGATCAGGTGGTTCTCAGGCAGGGCTGCATATTAAAATGACCTGGGAGATTTTTATAAAGTGCTTGTGTTCTGACCTTACTCCATGAAAGTGAATCAGACCCTCTTAGGGTGGGGACCTGACATTGGTCATTTTTAAAATCTCACCAGGTGATTCAAATGCGCAGTCACGGGTGAAAGCCTTGGACCTAGATTTTAATTCTGATTAAACCTTCACTATCATATACCTGCTCTGGCCAGGCTGTGGTATTTTATTTCATCCTCACAGATAATCTGACAAGATGGGTCTTATCATCTTGGTATTACAATAAACCAAGGCTCAGAAGAGAAGCGATTCAGCAGATGCACCTGAGAGCAAGCGCTTAACTGGAGCAATACCCTGAGAATGACGCTATGGTCTAAGAAGAATGTGTGTTCAGAGTTCCACGCTAAGGAATCTGGGAGTGGCCAACGTGCAGATTCATTCCTTATCTACGAGGAACATCTGAAACCCAGCCCATCCCATGAAACATAGGCCATACAGGGGATGGAGGCTCTTTGTTTTGGGTTAAATGAAGGTTGTCAGGAGGAGGCTGTTAGGGGTGCTAGTGCACTAAGTGAAATTGCTAGAGTGCTAAGTGGAAATACTATATAATCTGCAAGCTTTTTACAAATGGTAGTGGTTCTCCTGTCTAGCCCGCCACTACTGGACTGCCCAGTATGTAAGTCCCCTTAATAAACCCTATATCTTGTTTGCTGGTTCCAGTTCTCTTCTTCAGCCTCTTTTTATTTTATTTTATTTTTTTGAGACGGAATCTCACTCTGTCGCCCAGGCTGGAGTGCAGTGGCAAGATCTCGGCTCACTGCAACTTCGCCTCCCAGGTTCAAGCCATTCTCCTGCCTCAGCCTTCTGAGTAGCGGGGATGAGAGGTGCCCGCCAACACACCCAGCTAATTTTTGTATTTTTAATAGAGACCGGGTTTCACCATGTTGGCCAGGCTGGTCTTGAACTCCTGACCTCAAGTGATCCGCCCACCTTGGCCTCCCAACATGCTAGGATTAGCATGCAAGCCACCGCACCCAGCCCTTGGGCCTCTTGAACACGGTGCCATCCTTACTGAAATCAATTGAAGTCTGGCACAACACCAAGGTCACACAGCCAAAAGCAGCAGCAATAGTCTTAAAACTCCACCTTCAGGGTCCCCTGTCACCTCTAACTTAGCTTCCCACGCCTAGAGTATGGGAGCCTGATTGACAATGTTCACCTTACTGTCCTCAGGTTTTTCCATTCTGCTTCTCCCCTCTTCTTCTGTGGAAGCCCAGGAAACACTGTGCTGAGGAATTAGGAGGCCTGGGATTGAATGCCAGTTCCACAGCTTTGCAACTATGTTAATAACATCTCCTTCTGGGGTTTAAAGGGCATCAGTGCATGCAAAGAGCCTAGGTGGAGGCCACCATGTGGTCAGCGAATCTCATTTCCAGTTTCCTCCAGGGACCCAGATAGACTACACATCTCCCAGCCTTCCTTGCAGTCAGGCGTGATCATGTGACCAAGTTACGGCCAGTGGAAGTGAGCAGAAGTGACATCATCGCTTCCAGACCCCGCCCATTAGAGCCTCCCACATGAGCTCCCTCTCTTCCAGACTCTGCTGGTTGGATGAAGTGGATTCACTTTCCTCATCTGTAAAATGGGATGATGAGGATCACACACACGGTGAGGCAGGAACGAGTGGATCATGTGAAGCACTTGTTCGCAGTGCCCTGCACAGTCAACAAGGTAAAAGCATGAGCTATTATTCTCTCCACCTGACAGAGGAAGCAAGGATGGACACTCTCTCCTCCCATGCCCCCACTATCCCTCCTCCTCAGATACAGCAACTCTGTAGGGCCAGGGATGTGCTTGTGAATGGGACTGGCTTCCCGGGAAAGGCAAACAGAGCAGGCAGTGGTGACTGTGGGCAAATTAACCTGTTTGGCCTTTCCTTCTTCTTCTTGAAAAGAGAGAGAGAGAAATGATAGACCAGGTGTGGTGGCTCATACCTGTAATCCCAGTGCTTCGGGAGGCCAAGGTGGGAGGATCACTTGAGGCCAGGAGTTTGAGACCAGCCATAGCAAGACTCCATCTGTACAAAAAAAATTAAAACTTATCTGGGCATGGTGGCACATGTAATCCCAGCTACCCAGGAGGCTGAGGCAAGAGGACTGCTTGAGCCCTGGAGGTTGAGGCTGCAGGGAGGCAGCAGTGGACTTGCTGCCCAGGCACGGTGGCTCACGCCTGTAATCCCAGCACTTTGGAAGGCCGAGGCAGGCAGATCACCTGAGGCCAGGAGTTCGAGACCAGCCTGGCCAACATGGTGAAACCCTGTCTCTACTAAAAATACAAAAATTAGCAGGGCGTGGTGGCACACGCCTGTAGTCCAAGCTACTCAGGAGGCTGAGGCAGGAGAATGAACCCAGGAGGCGGAGGCTGCAGTGAGCTGAGATCATGCCACTGCACCCTAGCCTGGGCAACAACGTGAGATCCTCTCTTTAAAAAAGAGAGAGAGAGAGAGATGCTAGACTCTACATAAGATTGTGACAACTGATCAGGGTAATTCTCTAAATCAGTGTTTCTCAAAGCATGGTCTCCAGACATGCAGCATCAGCCTCACTTGGTAACTTGCTAGAAATGCAGACTCTTGGGCCCCACTCCAGACCTGCTGAATCAGAAACTCTGGGGCTGGGCCCAGCAATCTGTGTGTTAACAGGCCTTCAGATAACGCTGATGCACACTCGAGTTTGAGAATATAAAGGGCTGACATGAAGGGCTTACCACTGTGCTTGTCCTGTGCACGTGAGAAGCCCTCCTAAAAATTGTCTTTCGTCTTTGGAGGGGATAAGCTGGACCCTGAAGAGTAAGTAAAATATGGCAGCATCTTTGCATCTCATCCACAAATTTGAGTTGCTCAGAAATACATCACTTCTTAAAAATGTTCGGTGACTCACTGAATCTCCGACTCATATCCTCCACGTTGCTGCGCTGGCATAAAAGTAAACTTCAGTCCTTCTTGACTTTTCCATGCCTTTCTGGGGTTGGGTGTTGGTTCTTGGGTTTCACACAGTGCTGAGAGGCGTCTAGGTCCTCCATCCACTTGGGTGACCATTCAGCTCTTCATCCTTCCGGTCCACATGACCCCTTCCAAATTAGAAGCCTCGGCTGCTCTCAGAGCTCGCTTGGGGCCCCAGGCTCTTCACTGAAGCTGCCTTGAGCACCATCATCCAGAGCCACAGACTCATATGCCCAAAGGGACCAGGTTCATCAAGGAGACAAAGTGGACTGGCTGGCCAGGTGCGGTGGCTGACGCCTGTAATCTCAGCACTTTGGAAGGCCGAGGCGGGCGGATCACCTGAGGCCAGGAGTTCAAGACTCGCATGGCTAACATGGTGAAACCCCGTCTCTACTACAAAAATTAGCCAGGCACGGTGGCGCGCGGCTGTAGTCCCAGCTACTCAGGAGGCCGAGGCAGGAGAATGAACCCGGGAGGTGGAGACTGCAGTGAGCTGAGATCGCGCCACTGCACTCCAGCCTGGGTGACAGAGCGAGACTCCATCTCAAAAACAAACAAAGTGGACTGGCTGTGACCCAGCAGCAAGAGGTGGGGACTGTGGGGACGTATCATGTTTGTGCCAGGCTCACAGGCGTGCCTCTGGAAACACAGGCCTAGCGCTACCAGATCTCTTTATCCAGACAAGCTGCAAATCTAAATCTGAACTTTCAAGAGAAATTTGAAATAATCTATCTTTTATTTTCGATGTTGTTGTTGTTGTTGTTTTGGTTTTCTGAGACAGGGTCTTTCTCTGTTGCCCAGGCTGGAGTGCAGTGGCATGATCATAGCTCACTGGGCTCAAGTGATTCTCCCGCCTCAGCCTCCTAAGTAGCTGGGACTACAGATGAGTGCCACCACGCCTGGCTAATTTTTTATTTTCGTAGAGATGGGGGTCTTGCTATGCTGTCCAGGCTAGCCTCAAACACCTGGCCTCAAGCAATCCTCCCACCTCAGCCTCCCAAAGTGCTGGGATTACAGGTGTGAGCCACCACACCCAGCCTCAGTCTTTTAAATTTTGGAAATCCATCAGAAAAAATTAAAACACTACATGGGCCAAACCAAACGGCTGTGAGCAGGATTCAGCTCAAGTGGGGATGAGTTAGGGTTTCCGGGCTTGGAGGCAGCCTCTTCTCCAGGGTCCTGCTTCCTCCCCAGGGAGGTGCCAGGAAGCACAACCCCAAGACCCACAGCCCAGGATCCCACTACTCCCTCTCTCTCTTCTCTCTCCCCCAGCCACAGGAAGTCTCTCTGCAACTGGGAGAGGAGTTCTGTTCTCCCCACTGTGGCTCCAAAACCCTTGGTGGTACCTCAAATCCCCTCCAACCCCTTAGTTCTTCTGAGGACTCTCTAAATTCTCCTAAAAGAGAAGAAAAGCCAGAAAGATGTATGAGCTATTTCTTGTTCCCCTTCTGCTATATCCCTCCCCTGAGGCAACAGCTGCCTGTTTTGATGAGAAGGAAAAGGAAGAACAAGAGGAAAGAAAAACAACCGAAAAAGATAAAATAATATATCAAAGCATTATGATGCTTTGTGCACAAAAGCAGATAGGAGGAGGGGAGGGAGGGGGACAGAGCACAGGGAAGTTAGGTCACGGGACCACAGATAGGATTGAGGCCATTCCTCCGAGTCCTGGGGCTCTCTGTGGAGATGGGAAGATGGAGGGAGAACTGGGTTAGATGGGATGGTTGGGAAGTGACATTTGAGCCGAAACCTGAAGGATAAAGGAGCCAGCCATGCAACCAACCCGGGAGAAGGCCCGTTCCTCTGCTTCCTTCCCAAGCAGACGCTCTCTGCTGCTCTGAGAGCTCACCTGGGACCCCAGACTCTCTTCCAGGAACAGAAAGTGCAAAGATCCCAAGGCATTTTCAAAGGGAGCAAGGAGGCCCAGCACGAGACGGGAGAGGGACGGCAGGTGAGGCAGGGAGCAGCCAGTCATGGTAGGGGGTTTGGGTTTTGATGTAATGCCATTTGGAGGGTGGTGAGCCTGCAAAGGGCATGAACTGATTATTTCATAGTTTTATGAGATCATGCTGGCTGCAGTGTGGAGAGTATACTGTAGGGGGCGCGAGAGCGGCAGCTGGGACCCAGTTAGGAGCTGTGGGAGTTGTCTGGGCGGGAGGTGGCGTTGGTTCAGACCCTGACACTAAAGCAGGAACTGGAGCCTAGTGCTCAGTTGTAAGGCGTATTTTGGAAATGCTGCTGGTTGGACCCGCTGATGGAGGGCATGGAAAAAAAGGATTCAGCGACGAGTCCTTGTTTCTTGCCTTGAATATTGTAGAGTGTCAACTTGTGTCATTCACTCATCTCTTTATTCAGCAAATATTTATTGAATGCCTACTACGTATGAGGCATTGGGCTGGATCCTGGGGAGCTACAGAGATCAGGAATACAGGGTTGATGGCCCCAGAGAGCAACCCTTCAGTGACCTGGGCTTTCTGTGACCCCCGAGCTGCATATAGGGAGAGTCAAAAGGGACAACTTGTTCCCTCAAATGAAAAATTCTGCATTGATTCAGCAAACATTTACTGAGCATCTACTATGCAGCAAGTACAGTTCAGGGGCAAACGAGACAGACAAGGCCCCTGCCATCATGAAGCTCCTATGGAACAGACAGAAAACAAACATTTAAAATATCTATGTGTTTTGTTAGAAGGGTTCTGTTAGGGAGAAAAAGAAAACAAGAGAGGAGGTGCTAGGGTTTGAATGTATGTGTTCCCCCAAACTTCCTATGTTGACACCTAACCCCCAAGGTAATGGCATTAGAAGGTAGGGTCTGGAGGAGGGGATTACATCAGGAGGGTCCCACCCTCTTGCACGGGATTACAGTAGTGAATGCCCCCATCCACGGTTTCAGCTCCCTGTGGTCAACCACCATCCCAAAATATTAAATGGAAAATTCCAGAAATAAATATTCATCGGATTTTTATTACACTATAGTGTTATAATTGTTCTATCTTATTATTAGTTATTGTTGTTAATCTTTTACTGTGCCTAATTTATAAATTAAACTTCATCACAAGTATGTATGTATAGGAAAAAATGTAGTATATATAGGCTTCAGTGCTATCCGTGGTTTTAGGTATCCACTGGGGGTCTTGGAAAGTATCCCCCTAGGATAAGGCGGGGGCTACCGTAATACCCTCATAAAAGAGGCTTCAGACAGCTGCCTGGCTCTCCCACCTCTCTTGCTATGTGAGGACAGAGCATTCGTCCCCTTTTGTCCCCTTCCACCATGTAAGAACATAGTAAGAAGGCACCGTCTAGAATCAGAGTGAGCCTTCACCAGGCACTGAATCTGCCAGCGCCTTGATCTTGGACTTCCCAGCCTCCAGAACCATGAAAAATAAACTTCTATTCTTTATAAATTGCCCAGCCAGGGGTATTTTGTTACAGCAGCACAAACAGATTGAGACCAGAGGGCAGTGGGTTGGAGAGGGAGGTTATAAGAAATAGTTCTAAGAAGTGACATTTGAGCATGGATTTGAAGAGTGAGCCCCATGGAAATGGAAGATGGATGAGGAGAGAAGAGCCTGAGGGACCCCAAGGAGGGGGAGCACCTGGCATGTTCCAGAAGCAGCTGGAGGTGGAGCTGCTGGTGCACACCTGGAGAGGCAGCAGAGAGCAGGGATAGAGGGTGGAGGAATAACAGAGGCCACATTGGTATTGCCTTGTAGACCATGGTGAGCTCTCTGGATTTCATCCTGAGCGACATGGGGACTCATCAGAGGGTCCAGCTCACCAAGGTCCACTACTCTCCGCTACTCCACTGCCCTCCATCCCATCTACCAAGCCCCTCAAGTCCCAGGGAGGGCCAGACACAGCCCCTGACTCTCAGGAGCTTCTCCAGCTCACCCAGCTCATCTGGTGTCTCTGTGGGGCTGCAGCTGGCAGCGCATGTGATTTACTCGTCCCTCCCCGAGCTAGTGTATTTGGGGGCATCTGCTCCATTTTTACTGCTTTTGGCCGGGGCTTTGGTACTCCTTCACAGATCAAATCACCGCCTCCCTTCCCCACTAATCCCAACAGCTGGTTACTGCTCACCGATTCCCCTGCTCTGATTGTCAGGGGAAGAATTATAAATAAATGTGTATAAGCAAACAGATGCTGTCATTTAAAAAAATCAATCCATCTAGCAAAAATGCCCCACTTAAGACTGAAGTGGCATACTGCAGAGCATGTGTCTTGGTGGCATTTTAATGAAATCAGAAAAAACAATGGCAGAGCTCACTAACAATAGATTCCAAAAGAGAAAATGGACAAGGACAGAGAGAGAGAAGAAGTACAGACACACTGTGTGGCTCCGATGGCCAGGACCCCAGGCCATAGAAGACAGGCAAGTTTCCCTCTCTGTCCCCTACCTGCTTCTCACTTTCTCCCTTGTTCAGCCTTCCTTTGCCTCTTCAACCTGTTTATGACATCAAATCAGACTCATTTGTTATCTTTTTTGTGAGTCTCAGAAGCAGGTGGCAAAGTTTTTGCCCACCTTATGGTTTCTAGAAACCTAAATCCAGAATGAAGTCCTGCTTGTCCTCCTTGCTGTCCTAGGCACACAGCTCCCAGCCTTGCTTGTGGTCAGCAATGTACTGAGAGACAAATGGAATGGGAACAGAAGTCACCATTGCCTGGTCTGTCGCATAATAACCTCCCACATGAGATCTGCCATTGTCTTACCTCAATCATGGGCTGAAGGAAGAGGACTTGGAGACTTCTGCAGGGGTTAAACCCTCAGATGGAAAAAGTGCAGATCCCTGAATGACTGCATGGAGCAGAGCCTCCTTTCCATCCACATCAGGATGTGATGGGAGGGAGAAATAAATGTAATATGTCAGGCCACTGAAATTTTGGAATAATCTGTTACTGTGGGGTTTCTACTCTAATACACAATTAGTTCCAAAATTCATTCATTTGTTCTTTATTCACTCTGAGCATCTGATAAAAATAGCAGACATCACAACAATCTGGGGAAACGAATAGCATGAGCCTATTTTTCAGATGGAGAAACTGAGGTTCAGAAAGGTTAGGTAACCTGCTGAGATTTATGCTGCTGATAACTAATCACAACACCTGCCACTTACTGAGCATTTACTATGTGCCAAATACTGTGCTAAATGCTTCATATACAGTATCTTCTTTACTCCTCATAAAAAGGTATTGTCATCCCCATTTTACAGGTAGGGAAACTGAGGCTTAGAGAGATTAATCCAGTTGCTCAAGAGATGGGGGTAGGGAGGGAGAAAGGGAGGGAAGGCAAGAGAAGGAGGGCAGAAAGGGGGCAGAAAGAAAAGGGGGACACAGGAGAGAAGGAAGGAATAAATAAATGCAGAAGTCAAAACAGAAAGCTAATACTGCTTGTTCTTCCAATCCCAAGAAGGAGTCTCTAATAATAATCTAATCAAATTGCATCTCAAAAATACCAGCGTGTTTCAAATCAGGCCAGCCTTAGAGAACTGGAGAACTACATACACACACACACACACGCACGTGCTCCATAAAGGTTAAAACCATTACATCAAAATAAAACATATGGCCACCAAATCTGCATTTATTATATCTAATTGGAAGAGACACAGTCAAGTACATGAATATTTCAGCAGTTTCCAGCATGCAAATCACCATGCCAGGACCCAATTACTCGTTAATCGGCACGTGCCCGGCTTTTGGTGCCCTGGACTGGAACAACACTCCATCCTTTCCCCACTGGCTGCAGTGTCTGGGTGGCTTCTAATCCTGAGTCACTTATCATTTGCTTCTGCCTTTAAATAGCACCCTAAGAACAGAAAGACTTGAAAACCCTCCTTCTCACCAGGTTATACCCTGGATTAGTGTTTGGGGAATACTATGAGCAAAGGCAAGCTATTTGGTTCTAAAATCAAATGTAAAATTCAGATCTTTTAATGTAATCTCTGACCTAATCAACGTTAATGTAAAGATTTTGGTGATGTTGTTTAAGCCACAGGACATAGAGTGAACAAATGGGAATTAATAGAGATTGATTTTCTGGCCAATTTCCATAAAGGCCCGTGTTCCCCTGCAGAGCGCAAGATGAGAATACAAGAGCAGTATTTTCCAAAAACACTGGTCATTTGGCTCTTGGTTGATCATTTGGATTTTTGCCCCCAGGATTCTTACCATGTCTAAGTATCACCGAGCAAATTATGCACCTGATATTTCTCTTTGAACCAACTCCCTTTATGTTTATTTTTGGTAAATTTTGCGTTATTATGTAAATATGAATTCAGTATCACTTGCCCTGTTTAGAAGGTATATTAGTGGCCAGGCACGGTGGCTCATGCCTGTAATCCCAGCACTTTGGGAGGCTGAGGCGGGCGGATCACTTCAGGTCAGAAGTTCGAAACCAGCCTGGCCAACATGGCGAAACCCCAACTCTACAAAAAGTACAAAAATTAGCCACGTGTGGTGGCTCATGCATGTAGTCCCACATACATAGGAGGCTGAGGTACGAGGATCACTTAAGCCCAGGAGGTGGAGGTTGCAGTGAGCTGAAATCTCACCACTGCACTCCAGCCTGGGCGACAGAGTGAGATCCTGTCAAAAAAATGTATATATATATTAGGAAAGTTTAGTCAATGCAACAAAGACCACTGACCCCAGCCAGGTGTGGTGGCTCATAAATATAATCCCAACATTTGGGGAGGCCATGGCGAGAGGGCTGCTTGAGACCAGGAGTTTGAGGGTGCAGTGAGCTGTGGATCACACCACTTCACTCCAGCCTAGGCAAAACAGCAAGAGCCTGACTCTACAAAACAATTTAAAAATTAGCAGGGCATGGTGGTGCATGCCTGTAGTCTCACCTAATTGGGAAGCTGAGGCGGGAGGATTGCTTGAGTCCAGGAGTTCAAGGCCGCAGCAAGCTATAATCAAGCCATGCACTCCAGCCTGGACAGCAGAGTGAGACCCCCAACTCTAAAAAATGAAATAAAAAATGATCCCAAGAGTTCAAAGGTTTAACATAGCAAATGTTGTGCATCCAGCATGGGCTGACGGAAGGCTCTGCTTCACTCAGAGACTCGGGCAGAGGGAGATGTCCTGAGACTGGGTAATTTATAAGGAAAAGAGGTTTAATTGGCTCATGGTTCCACAGGACATACAGGAAGCATGACAGCTTCTGGAGAGGCCTCAGGAAACTTTCAATCATGGCAGAAAGTGAAGGGAAAACAGGCATGCCATTTTTTTCTTTTTCTTTTTTTTATTTTGAGACAGAGTCTCACTTTGTCCCAGGCTGGAGTGCAATGGCGTGATCTCGGCTCACTGTAACTGCTGCCTCCTGAGTTCAAGCTATTCTCTCACCTCAGCCTCCTGAGCAACTGGGATTACAGGCGCATGCCACCGTGCCTGGCTAATTTTTGTATTTTTTTAGTAGAGACGGGGTTTCACCATGTTGGCCAGGCTGGTCTCGAACTCCTGACATCAAGTGATCCACCTGCCTCAGCCTCCCAAAGTGCTGGGATTACAGGCATGAGCCACCGCGCCCGGCCTGGAAACAAGCAGGTCTTACGTAGCCAGAGCAGGAGGAAGCGGCAGGGGGAGGTGCCACACCCTTTAAACAACCAGCTCTCGTGAGAACTCTATCACGAGAACAGTAGAGAAGGGGGAAATCCGCCCCCATGAGCCAATCATCTTCCACCAGGCCTCACTTCCAGCACTGGGGATTACAACTTGACATGAGATCTGGGCGGGGACACAGACCCAAGCCATCAGGAAGCAATGCCCTCTCAGAACGCCTGGACTCCTTGGTCACTGAACAGGAGATGACAGAGCTGGAGGGCCACTCGCTGACGTTTAAATCTTCCACCCAGAGTCCACGGGCCAAGAATAGTCGTCACGTGGCCCTGCCTAACTCCCAGGTGACTGGGAGATGTGGGGGTGCACATGCATCCTGGGAAGTGGCAAACGTCTCTGCTGCAGAGTGTAACTGCAAAAGCACATAAAGCCATATAATTAAATTCCACCTAGGATGCTGTGCTGTAAGACTGCTCTGAGCCAGAACATTAAAAAAGAAATTAGCAAGAGTTATAAACATGGTAAAGACATTTGTAGCACCAAGCTGAGACCTTCTCCTTGACTCCAGCGAAGGGATTAGGAGAGAATTGAAAAGGAAATTACTTTCACAATATGACTCAATGTTATTTAATGTATGTCCCTGTATCAACTAAAATTACCTGCAGGAAAAACTAAACCATGGAAAGAAAGTCTCTGAGGCAAAACAGAAACCAGACAGGGAGGAAAGATGTGTTACGTAAAGTAAGAATTCTTGGGTGGACAACAACATCACTGGTGTGACAGATGGTATTATCCAAAGATGACAACACCAACCTATCCCATCTCACAAGCTCTTGCAATGTGACAATGACAGGCCTCCTTCAAAAGGGAAGGAGCAGTCTGCATCCTCTCCCCTTGATTCTGAGTGGGCCTGAGATTATGGCAGAAGAGAACCCCATAACTTTCAAGGCAATGTTTTAAAAGGTCATATACCCCAAGAGTATACCCCAAGAGTAATGAACACACCTAAAGCCTAGATCTTGATTTCTGATACCATTCTCCAATAAAAGAAACCAGACTTCTTGAAAAAAATGGCTGATTCCAGGACTGGGGCAGGAAATATACATGATGAGCCTGGAGCATATTGTAGCATCAAAAAGTAAGGAAGTACACACATACATGCACACACACACCACAGGTGCCAGTGTGAAGAAGCTTCCAATGGCCAAAGCTAGAACAATTCAAACAACAAAATTATAAGTCTTGGCTGGGCGTGGTGGCTCATGCCTGTAATCCCAGCACTTTGGAAGGCCAAGGCAGGGAGATCACTTGAGGTCAGGAGTTCAAGACCAGCCTGGCCAACAAGGTGAAACCCCATCTCTACCAAAAATATAAAAATTAGCCAGGCATGATGGTGCATGCCTGTAATCCCAGCTACTAGGGGGGCTGAGGCACAAGAATCACTTGAACCCGGGAGGCAGAGGTTTCAGTGAGCTGAGATCACACCACTGCACACCAGCCTGGGCAACAGCGCGAGACTGTCTCAAAGAAAAAAAAAAAAAAGAAGTAGTCTTGGATTATAACCCAGAGTGTAAAATAAATAACCATGAGTCAATACAGGCATTAATAAATGATTACGTAAATAAATAAATGGGAAAGAGAATGGAGAAATCTTCCATGCTGAATAATTCCAAGTAATTTTTTAGATACCCCACCCTCCACCCCTGAGGAGACTGAAAATAACATCAGTCAGGTGCAGTGGCTCACACCTATAACCTCAGCGCTTTAGGAGGCTGAGGCAGGAGGAACACTTGAGCCAAGGAGTTGGAAGACCAGCCTGGGCAACATAGTAAGACCCTGTCTCTACTAAAAAAAAATTTTATGTCAGCTAAATAATGAGAACACATGGATACATAGAGGGAAACAACACACACTGGAGCCTATTGGAGGGAGGAAAGGGGGAAGAGAGAGAAGATCAGAGAAAATAACTAGTGAGTACCAAGCTTAATACCTGGGTGATGAAATAATCTGCACAACAAATCCCCGTCACACGTTTACCTATATAACAAACCTGCATATGTACACCTAAACTTAAAAGTTAAAAAGAATTTAATTAAAAATAAAATAATTTTAAAAAGGCTAACATCAACAGTGGTAAGTCATGTTGATAGTATGTACCCTTTTTTTTTTTTTTGAGACGGAGTCTCGCTCTGTTGCCCAGGATGGAGTGCAGTGGTATGATCTCGGCTCACTGCAACCTCTGTCTCCTGGCTTCGAGTGATTCCCCTGCCTCAGCCTCCTGAGTAGCTGGGATTACAGGTGTGCATCATCACATCTGGCTGATTTTTGTATTTTTAGTAGAGATGGGGTTTCACCATGTTGGCCGGGCGAGTCTTGAACTCCTGGCCTCAAGTAATCTGCCCACCTCGGCCTCCCAAAGTGCTGGGATTACAGGCGTGAGCCACTGCACCCAGCCAGATAGTATGTACCCTTGATATGATGTGATGAGAAGGGTACTTCACCCCAAAATGCATAACCCCAGCCTAACCATTAGAACATCAGAAAAACCCAGCCAAGGGACTCGCTACAAAATACCTGCCTAGTACTCAAGACCATCAAGGTATGAAAACCAAGGAAAGTCTGAGAAACTCTCACTGCCAAGAGAAGTCTAAGGAGACATGGCCACCAAGGTAATGTGGTGTTCTGGATGGGATCCCAGAAGACAGAAAGGACATGAGATAACAACTCAGGAAATTTGAATAAAGTATGAGCTTTAGTTATTTTAAAAAAGTATCAATATTGGTTCATTAATGGTGGGAGATGCACTATACCATCTAAGATAGTAATCATAGGGAAAACTGGATGCAGGATATATGGGAAATTTCTGTACTAGCTTTCTGATTTTTCTGTCAATCTAAATGTATTCTGAAATTAATTTTTTAATTTAAAAAAGTCATACAGTCTGAAGCCATCCTGTTGAACAGACCACACAGAGAGAACACAGTGGAAACAGAGATGCCCCGCTGGGTGTGATGGCTCACACCTGTAATCCCAACACTTTGGGAGGCTGGGGTGGGAGGATCGCCTGAGCCCAGGAGTTCGAGACCAGCCTGGGCAACACAGCAAGACCTTTTCTTTACAAAAAAAAAAAAAATTAATTAGCTGGGCATGGTGGCTCATGCCTGTAATCCCAGCTACTTGGGAGACTGAGGCAGGAGGATCGCTTGAGTCCAGGAGTTTGAGACCAGCCTGGGCAACATAGAGAGACACCGTTTCTACAAAATAGAAAAAAAATTAGCTGGGTGTGGTGGCGTGGCCCTGTGGTCCCAGTTACTCAGGAGGCTAAGGTGAGAGGATGGCTTGAGCCCAGGAGGTCAAGGCTGTAGTGAGCCTTGTTCACGCCAGTGCACTCCAGCCTGGGCAACAGAGTGAGACCCTGTTTTCAAAAAGAAAAGAAAGGAAAGGGGAGGGAAGGGGAGGGGAGGGGAGTGGAGGGGAGTGGAGGGGAAGGGAGGGGAAGGGAAGGGAAGGGAAGGGGAGGGGAGTGGAGGGGAGTGGAGGGGAAGGGAGGGGAAGGGAAGGGAAGGGAAGGGAAGGGAAGGGAAGGGGAAGGGAAGCGGGAGGGGAGGGGAGGGGAGGGAAGGGGAGGGAAGGAAGGGAAGGGAAGGAGAAGGGACGGGGGAGGGGAGGGAAGGGGAGGGAAACAAATGCACAAGGACCCCCAGCTGTTCCAGCCCCCAGATATTTGAGTCTTCCCAGCCCAGGTGCCAGACATGCATGTGATGGGGGCCTTTCAGATAACTTCAGCCCCTGGACTTCTAGCTCCCCAGTTGATACCAAGTGGAACACAGACAAGCTGTCTCCACCAATCCCTGTTCACATTATAGATTATTGCTCAAAATAAATGGTGTTTTAAGCCACCAAATTTTATGGTTGTTACTCAGCATTAGATACATGGGACAACTGGTCTGCAAACCGACTTCAGTGGTTGATGTGTCTTCTGTACTGACTTCTGCTACGTGCTGGGCACTGGCGACACAAGATTCACAGGATATGGTCCCTGCCCTTGAAGAACTCACATTCAAGTAGAAGAAATCGAGTGCCATGACAGTGACGGCAAACAATGACAATACTGGATTACAGGGATCAATACAGCACTTCAGAGACGGAGAAATGAGTGGATGGCTCTAGGGGATCCTGGGGATACTGATGCCAGTGGCGCCCGTTTGGAGCAGCCGCTGTGAAGACGCTGGCTGCAGTGGGGGAGAAGCAGCCAGGGCTGTGCACTCCACGGAGCTGGTGGGAGCCAGGAACAGGCAGGGCTCCTGCCTGCCCTGTTGTGAGTTGGTGGAGTGGGAGCCCCGTGCTCTTCCGGTACAGCTGCAGCTGCCCAGCCATGGCTCCAGACCAGGGCATCCCTAAGTTCTCAGGGGTCGGGGAAGCCCCCGCCACGACAGGCTCAGAAGTTCCTGCTCCAACTGTCTGGCCTCTCCCTGCTCCCAGCACTCACTTCGATTTCAGAGCAAAGCTGTGGCCAAGCCTGGGGACTGTCTCAACCCGGCCAGGTGTTGCACACGCAGAGCAGTGCTGACATACCAGCCTCCTGCCATCTCAGCCCCTCCAGACTTTGGTCACTGACAAACATGGGAGGGAGGCCAAGGGGGAGCTGAGGGCAGCTTGGCACAGGCCTGCAGGAGCCCCTTTGCATAAACAGCCTGGGCACCGTGGATGACATGTATTAAACAGGTGGCAGCAGGAGGCAGACAGGCTCCCGGGCAGAAAGGGGTGGGTCTCCAGTGAAGCCCCACCTTCAAGCCAGGGACAGGCTGGCCTGAAACCTGGGGGCTGGGCTGTCAGTTCCAGGTGGAGTCTGCAGCCCAGAGTGAGAACTTATGGGCTTTTTCTGGGCCCATCCATGGGAGGAACACACTTCCTCCCTTCTGAAGCCCGTTAAAAACCCCGGACTCGCAGAGATGTCAGGACAACCTGCCTGTGGATAGGCGCTACCCACTTCTGGTCTCCTGAGAGCTGTACTGTCGCTCAATAAAGCACCTCTTCACCTTGCTCACCCTCCAGTTGTCCTCGTACCTCATTCTTCCTGGACGCAGGACAAGAACTCAGGACCCAGCAAATGGCAGGACTGAAAGAGCTGTAACACAAACAGGGTTGAAACATGCCCCCGTGCTTGCCATATTGCGGGAGACGAGAAGGAGAGAAGAGCTGCAGCCCTTCGGGGAGCCCAGACCTAGGGGCTCCCTCAGCCAGAGCTGCGACACCCTCTTTGGGGCTCTACGGCGTCTCCAACCTCCCGGGCACCACTGCGTTCCCCTTGTCTAGATGTGGGTGCCCACAGTGGAAGCCACTTGCAGTGCATCAGACACAGCTGTAGGCTTGCACAGAGCCAGCATCTGTGCCAGCGCCTGGAGCTGCCCACCCTGCCACGGCAGCCGGTGTGCCTAGCTGTGCACAGTGGCCGGACCCCATGCTCGCTCACTCACACACCCCTGGCTGCTCCATGCCTGGCTCACCCTTGGCAGGTGTGGGGTCTAGTCCAGTAGCATAAGCCAAGTGCAGCCTGCCAGGCTGAGTCAGCAGAACAAGCCCACCCAGCAGACCCGAGCAAAGCTCAGGCAAAGGTGCTACCAGCCACAGAGGCTTCTGGCTAGAAATCTTACAATAATATGAGGAGAGAGGAGTGAGAATAAGCACTTATTGAGCACCTCCTATGTTACACTGTTCTTTTTTTTTTTCCAGACAGGTTGTCACTTTGTCACCCAAGCCGGAGTGCGGTGGCATCATCATAGCTCACTGCAGTCTCACACTCCTGGGCTCAAGCGATCACTCCCACCTCAGCCTCCTGAGTGGCTGGAACTACAGGTGCAAACCACTGTGCCTGGCCAATTTTTAAAATTTTTGTAGAGATGTTGTCCAGGCTGGTCTCAAATTCCTGAGCTCAGGCGATCCTCCTGCCTTGGCCTCCCAAAGAGCTGGAGCTATAGGCACAACCCACTATGCCCGGCCTACCCTGTTCTAAATATGTTACAACATTTATGTGAATTAATCCTTCCAATTAACCCTATGATGTCATTATTATAAATATTTCAGAGATGAGGAAACTGAGGCACAGAGAAGTAAAGAGATTGCTCCGGGCCTCCCAAGTGTCAGAGATGGGATTTGAAAGGTGTGCTCTAAACAGAACACATATTTCCCATCTATAAAATGAGTGTATCAGACAAGATGAACTCCATGGCCCTTCCTGCCATCAAGGCTGGTGTTCGGGACATGTGTGGGTTTTGCCTGACTCACATCTGTTCTCCTGCCCCTAGTAACACCACCTCAATTTTGGGGAGCAGTACTGCTCAACTTCCACTCTCAGTTAAGGATGGACACGTACTTGGCCTTGGCCAGTCACAGCATCACAACCATCATGCACAGTGATTGGCTCAGGCATCTGCATGTGACATGCCAAGCATTGGCAGTCTTCTCGGGGACTTTTGCTAGAACTCTCGGGAAAGAGGCACTCTGTTTCCTCTGGGGTTGCTAAGCAAACATGGGGCTGTCAGGGGCCACCATAAGAAAAGACCCTACCTGGGAATAAGGTCGGCTCAGAAGAAAGGAGAGGCCAGGAGATGACGCAAGAGTGGCCAAGATGTGACAACATCCTCAGCACCTAGATTCTGCCGTGCTTGAAACCAGACCAGTCCTGAGATTTTCTGTCATATGAGCCAATAAATGTCTACTTTCTTGCTTAGAATAACTTGAGTTGGATTTCTGTAATTTAAAACCCAATGATGTCTAACACAATTCAGTGATGATGACATGTACTAGGGTTTATGTTTTTGTATGTGTTTTCCCTAGTAATGGTAATCTCCCAGAAGGCCTAAAGAGTACATTTTAATCTTTGTAGCTTCACTCCACCCCTAGCAGTGTCTAACAGTGCCTAGCACATAGGAGGGCTTGCGAAAATATTTGTGGAATTGCACTGATAGGCATCACTGATCACTTTAACCCCAGCTTCTCGGGTTCCAACGCTAGACATAAGTCCTCTGAAGACCTGAGGGCACTTAGCATTGATCTGATTCCTACAGAACATGAGGCTCTAAGTAATCAACAGTCTAAGAAATCTACAGTTTTTTCAACCAGCCAGGCCTAGTCATAGGGAATGGACATGACATGATGGCAATGCAGTGGTTCTTAAGAGCACCCAGGCTGGAGTGCAGTGGCACAATCTTGGCTCACACAACCTCCGTCTCCTGAGCTTAAGTGATTCTTGTGCCTCAGCCTCCCGAGTAGCTGGGATTGCAGGTGCGTGCCACCACACCCAGCTAATTTTTGTATTTTTAGTAGAGACGGGGTCTCTCCATGTTTGCCAGGCTGGTCTCCAACTCCCGACCTCAGGTGATCCACCCATCTTGGTCTCCCAAAGTGTGCACACAGGCTTTTAAATCAGACGTATTGGCCGGATGTGATGGCTCACACCTGTAATTCCAATAGTTCAGGAGGCCAAGGCAGGAGGATCACTTGAGCCCAGGAATTCAAGACAAGTCTGGGCAATATAGTGAGACCCTCGTCTCTACTAACAGGCATGGTGGTATGTGCATGTGGTCCCGGCTACTCTGGAGGCTATGGCAGGAGGATTACTTGAGCCCGGGAGTTCAAGGCTGCAATGAGCCTTGATCATGCCACTGCATTCCAGCCCCAAGTGAAAAAGTGAGACCCTGTCTCAAAAAAAAAAAAGAAAGAAAGAAAAGGGAGGGGGCCGGGTGCAGTGGTTCACGTCTATAATTCCAGCTCTCTGGGAGGCCAAGGTGGGTGGATCACTTGAGGCCAGGAGTTCAAGACCAGCCTGGCCAACATGGTGAAACCCCATCTCTACTAAAAATACAAAAATTAGCAGGGCGTGGTGGCAGGCACCTGTAATCCCCTACACGGGAGGCTGAGGCATGAGAATCGCTTGAACCCACTAGGTGGAGGCTGAAGTGAGCCAAGATGATGCCACTGCACTTCAGCCTGGGCAATAGCACAAGACTCCATCTCAAAAAAAAAAGAGAGAGAAGAAAAGAAATCTGACATATCTGGGGCCATATCTTTTCCCACCATCTTATCAGCTGTGTGACCTCGGGCAGGTTACTTACTGCCTGGGCTTCAGTGTCCTCCTCTTTAAAATGGAGCTGTTACTACCAGTGTCTCCAGTACCCTGCAAAGATAAAATGAGACGTTGTATTAATACATAAAGCACCCAAATCATGGTAAACATCAAGAAATGGTGACTCTTTCTAGTGTTAAAAACAATCAATCAGAATGATGATGATAATTATCAAGGTCCCTTCAGTCCCCATGGAAAACCAGCCAAGCTGTTTGTCTCTATGCACTCCTCCCACTATGAGGGCCTCTCCTGGTGGATGCAGGATAGGACAGGACATATGCTCCACCCTTACTTCTGCTGCAGCCTCCACAGGATGAACACACCAGGTTGGATGGAGCTCCCAGAAACCTCCTGCAGTGGGGTCAGCAGGACAAAGAGGTAGCTAGGTAGCGCCCAATGTCTTTCCAATAGTGTCCAACGTGGAGGGGACTAGAATGCTCTAGAATGCTAAGGACCAGTCACGGTGGCTCATACCTATAATCCCAGCACTTTGGGAAGCTGAGGTAGGAGGATCACTTGAACCCAGGAGTTGGAGGCTGCAGTGAGCTATGATTGCGCCACTGCACTCCAGCCTGGGTGACAGATCTTATCTCTAAAATAAATAAATAAATACAATATTGAGGAGCAGAGACCAGGTTGTTCCCTCTTGCTTTATGTTGCTATAAAAGAATACTAAACAACTCCATCCCGGATGCTAATCTGCAGTGTTGACTTCTGATTAATTCCAGTTCCAGGAAGGTCTCTAAGATTTCCAGTTTATCTATTGTTCCTCGGGTAAGAACAGATACTTACTGTAAATCCTGCCCTTGGGTCATACAACCTTGATGTTAATCCTACTTCAGTTTTCCTGCACATCCCTTCCAAACCACCCCTCCCCTACGGTAATAAGCCCTGGGTCTAGGGGGTAACTGTGCAGGGATCCACCATCTTGACCCACTGCTGCCCAAGATACAGACATGGCTTCTGTTTGTAAGTCCCTATTAAATGTTCCTTTCTAAGAAACTGGATTTGTCGGCGTCTTTCTTTGGCTTCTCAGCTTCCTCAGATGTTGGGGTAGGTTTGCATAGACCTGTCTACCATGAACACTAGGTAATTTATAAGGAAAAGAGGTTTCATTAGCTCATGGTCCTACAGGCTGAGAAGTTCAAGGGCATGACCCTGGATTCTGGAGGGGGCTTTCAGGCTTCATCAAAACACAGAGGAGAAGGCCAAAGGGGAAGGAGATACATGGGAAGGGGGGAAAATATGAAGGGTATCTTGGCTTTGAAACAACCCACTCTTGCGAGAACTAATCCATTCCCAAAAGAACTAATCCAGTCTTGCCAGAGCAAAAACTCACTACCATGAGAACAGCGCCAAGCCATTCATGAGGGATCCACCCCCATAACCCAAACACCTCTCACTAGGCCCCCTCCCAACACGGCCACACTGGGCATCAAATTTCAACATGAGCTCTGGGAACAAACCATATCCAAACCACAGCACCCCTCAAGACAGCCCAGAGCTTTAAGCTTCCTCCGTGTATTCGTCTGTTCTCATGCTGCTAATAAAAACATACCTGAGACTCAGTAATTTATAAAAGAAAGAGGTTTAATTGTCTCACAGTTCCACATGGCTGAGGAGGCCTCACAATCATGGCGGAGGGCAAATGAGGAGCAAAGGCACATCTTACATGGTGGCAGGCAAAACAGCTTGTGCAGGGGAACTCCCATTTATAAAACCATCAGATCTCATGAGACTTATTCACTACCATCAGAACAGTATGGAGTAAACCACTACCATGATTCAGTTATCTCCCCCTGGCCCCATCCCTGACATGTGGGAATTATTATAATTCAAGATGAGATTTGGTGGCGAAGACCCAGCCAAACCATATCACTCCCCTAACCTCACCCTGCCCTGCTCCAGTCCTGTCCAGGTTTTCAAAAGAATCCTGGTGAGCATTGGAGATACAAAAAGCACTGGGACAAGCCTGGAGGCTGCCAGACCTGGGTCTGGTGCTTGCTGCCTATGGGGCAGTGTGCAGGGGTGTCGAGCAAGCCTATCTGCATCCAGCCATCTCCCTGGCTTCCTGCCACGTGCCCGCTCCCAAGCCATCTTCCCCTTTGCAATACTTGCCATATTCTGCCAGCCCCTAATATTATGTATTACTCCTCCTTATCTATTTTCAGGGGCATTTTTTTCACATTTTAACATATGAAATTGGAATGCACCTTGCAAACAATGATTTCATGTCATCACTATAGACTAGGTGGCCATTGTAACATAGTTGTCATTGCCTGAACATGTGCAAACTTGGTTGAAATTCCTCACGTAATGACTGGACAACAGCAATCCATCAACGCCTACTTGGCATGGAAGAAAATGCTTCCCAGTCACCCCTTGTACCACCAGCAGGAGCATCCAGACTTTGGGGAATTTTGCTCTAAATCACCACCACAGTCTCTCCTGCCTCCACCCCAGCAGACCAGCTGTTTTTTTCTTCCTGGAACAATCTCCCCTCCATGGCGAGGTATCTGAATTACCCCCTTTCCAGTTATTTGTTGCTGTGCTGTCTTAAAACTTAGCAGGATACAATAACCATTAAACTATGCTTGCAGACTCTAAGGGTTGGGAAATGGCACAGAGGAGATAGCTTGTCTCTGCTCTATGATGTCTAGGGCTCAGCTGGGAAGAGGCATATGGCTTGGGGCTAGAACCTTCCAAAGGTTCATTCATGTGAGTGCCCAGCTCCTGGGCTGGGAAGACTCCTTATGAGGGAGTGCCAGGCTCCTGAGTGCTCCAGCAAACGAACAGAAGCTGCATCGCTGTCTATGACCCAGCCTCAGAAAACCCATAGTGTCACCTCTGCCATACCCTACTCAAGCCTGCCACTCAAAGGGAGGAGCATCAAAGCATTTGCAATCATTTTTTAAAACTGCCACACCCTTCTTTACCTTTGATCTGAACCTGTGACATGTGCCTGTGGTTCTCCACATGTCACCTAACATGACACACTCCTCACAGTTATTGCTATTTATTATTTCTTTTTTTTTAGAGTCAGGGTCTTGCTCTGTTGCCCTGGCTGGAGTGCAGTGGCATGATCATAGCCCACTGCTCACTGCAGCCTCCCTTGAAGTTCAGGGCTCAAGCAATCCTCCCACCTCAGCCACTCGAGTAGCTAGAACTACAGGCATGCGCCACCACGCCCAGCTAATTTTTTTTTTTTTTTAGACGGAGTTTCGCTCTTGTTGCCCAGGCTGGAGTGCAATGGTGCCATCTCCGCTCACTGCAGACTCTGCCTCCTGGGTTCAGCAATTCTCTTGCCTCAGCCTCCCGAGTAGCTGGGATTACAGGCATACGCCATCACGCCTGGCTAATTTTGTATTTTTAGTAGACACGGGGTTTCTCCTTGTTGGTCAGGCTGGTCTCGAACTCCCAACCTCAGTTGATCTGCCTGCCTCGGCTTCCCAAAGTGCTGAGATTACAGGTGTGAGCCACTGTGCCTGGCCGAATTTTTGTTAGAGACAGGGTTTCACCATGTTAGCCAGGCTGGTCTCAAACTCCCGACCTCAAGTGATCCACCTGCCTCGGCCTCCCAAAGTGCTGGGATTACAGGCATGTGCTATCATGTCTGGCTTTTTAAAATTTCTTTGTAGAGATAGGGTCTTGCTATGTTGCCCAGGCTGTTCTCGAAATCCCAGCCTCAAGCAATCCTCCTACTTCAGCCTCCCACAGTGCTGAAATAACAGGTGTGAGCTGCTGCACCCAGTGTATTTATTAATATTACATCTTTAATTGTCTAGGACTGTGAGTTCCTAAAATCTAACTCAGATCATGTCACTCTTCTGTTCAAAACCCTCCAAGGGCTTCCCATTTCACCCATAACAAAAGCCTAAATCCTAACGACATCCGGTAAAGCCCTACAAGAGTTACCCCCAAGTTATCTCTCTGACGTCATCAGCTTCTACTCCCCAGCTTTTGCTCCCCACCACCAACCACGATGACCTCTGTGCTCCTTCTTTAGATGCCCAGCACACCTGCTGTTCCCTGTGCCTGGAACTGTCTTCCCACACATGGCCCCATATGACTTACTCTCTCACCTCCTTCAGGTTGCAGCTCAGGTGTCACCTTATCAGAGAGGATTTGAGCACTCCATGCAAACCAGCAGCCCTCACCACACACACATATAGCACCATTGTCCCCCTTCCCCTGCTTGAGTCATAATATATATAACAATGCACATAATTTTCTAATTTCCTGTTTCCCGCCACTAGAACATGGGCAGGGATTTGTGTGTTTGTCCACTGCAAAAATCGCACCAAAATTTGACATCATCCTTCATCCATACCCAAGCCTTCTGACATGTGACTTAAAGCCTCTCCCATCAAGTAATAGATTCTCTGTCAGCTGCCGTAACTCATTCCTGTAATCCCGGCACTTTGGGAGACTGAGGCAGGGGGACCACTTGAAGCCAGGAGTTTGAGACCAGCCTGGGTAACATAGTCTGGGTAACACTTCTCCAGGCATCGGCTACATTTCCAAAAATGTGGGTGCCATCTCCCTCTGTGTTTTCTGGAAAGCTAGTGAAAATGCAAAACCCTGGCCAGGCTGCTGGCTGGTAGCTGGACCTGACTCCAGAACTACTGAATCGAAATATCCAGAAGCAGTACCCAAGAACCTATATTTTAAGAATTTCCACACTGCCCACAGGGGTCCTTGGACACAGAACCGGAAGGGCAGCCTGTGCCATTACCAGCAGGTGAGTGGAGGGTTGGAATAAATAGATTCTGGGACAGAGGGAAGAACAGAGAGTGTAGCTTGAGACATTTAACTGCCTTATCTAACCATCACTACCTCCTGGGGAGGTCGGTTATCATACTGTGAAAGGAAAATAAATCTCAGGATCCCAAAATCACTAAGCCAAAGGGAAAAGTCAAGCTGGGAACGGCTTAGGGCAAACCTGCCTCCTATTCCATTCCTAAAGAAGATGGCTAGTAAGATAAAAAAGCTACATACCTCCTCACAATTTGTCCACAAGGGATTTTCTTATGGACTCAGGACAGACAGAACTCACAGTCACCCCTCCGCTCACTGAGAGAAATGCATATCTGATGGATTCCTTTGGAAAGGCTAATCAGAAACTCAAAAGAATGCAACAATTTGTCACTTATCCACCTATGACCTGGAAGCCCCTTCCCTCCTTCGAGTTGTCCTGCCTTTCCAGACCAAACCAATGTACATCTCACACATATTGATTGATGTCTCATGTCTCCCTAGAATGGATAAAACTAAGCTGTGCCCCAACCACCTTCGGCACATGTCATCAGGACCTCCTGAGGCTGTGTCACAGGCCCGTCCTTAACTTTGGCAAAATAAACTTCCTAAATCGACTGAGACCTGTCTCGGCTATTTAGGGTTCACAATACCTATTTCATGAAGACGACATAGAAGTTAAGAAGAAATCACTTATGCAGATAGCCTTTTACCCTTGTAAAAGGCCTTTCTTTTTCATGAAAAGCAGCCCCAAATCATTTTCTAACAAAGAGCAGCCTGTAAAGTTGAGCTGCAGATATAGACAAGCAAGCTGGGAGCTTGCATGGGTGAATGAGGGCAGGAACTAACAACTAGACATTTTCAAGATGGTGGCTCCATCTTCCCTTCTCTGCCAGCCACATGTACTGTAAGAAGCAGACAAGATGGCGCTGATCAACTGGAAAGCCCATTTGCATAATAAGATTAGGGTGAGGTGACTAGCCTTCTGCACGCACTATGTAAACGTCACACTTGATCTAACCAATCTATGAGCCCCATGTAAATCAGACACCGCCTCCTCAAACTGGACTATAAAATTTGCGCATTTGCTGCCAACCAGTCTTTCCCACTGAGACACCCCTTCCTCGATAGAGGAAGCTGTTTCTCTTTCTCTCCTCTTCTACCTATTAAACCTCCGCTCCTAACCTCCTCATGTGTGTCCATGTCCTAAATTTTCCTGGCTGCAACAATGAACCCCAGGGTATATATCCCAGACAACATAGCCACTTCAGAGGTGGACACTGAGGCTCAGACAGAAAGTATCCCGGTCTGCCTTACTTTATGTTGGGGGCTATTTGCTTGTACCCCAGGGGAACCCACTCAACAAAACACCTGGTATTTTGCTCTGAGTCTTCACGCAAGGTCATTTTAGGCTTGCTAGCTCCCGGCTGAAGGTCACATGCTGAAATGAAATTGAAAGCACAGAATAACTAAGTGAGCAGACCCTCCACCTGGAAAATCCAGGTGGCATCAGTGGAAGAGCCAAGACATGGGAGGTTTTCATGTCTATTTTTAAGCAATTGAAGTAAATTAAATGTCTCTTTCATGGCCAAGCTACACGTTGTTTGCAAGTTTGGAGCTTTGTTTGTATGTATATATTTTAAATAAATTTGATAATTAAGTCACGAATGCTCCCAGCACACTTGGATATATTTAAATTACAGGCTTCTGATCAAATGGAGAAAAATCACAAATATGGGCCTAAATGATGCCTTTTTCTGTTCAGTGGCTTTTGCAGCATTCAAATGGGTCTGTCAGCTTAATGGCCAATTCTAAGGCTGCTGGGAATGACAGGAGGTGGAGGGACTGGCAAAGAGACTACAGGAAGTGAAACCCTGTGGTGAAAAATTGTGGTTCTTTTAAGAAAACATTTCATCTGCGCCTGTAATTCATTTCAACAAGCCAGTTTTGAAAACACAAACAAGCTGGTAAAAGGGGTGTTTGTCTCTGCCTGACTGGCAGCACTCCATACCCACCATTAACAGCCAGTTCCTGAACACTGTGGCTTCTGGAATCAGGGGGTCCCAGGTCAAATCTCCTTTGGTCCTTGCTGTGGTGCCTGTCTGGGCAAGTTGGAGATTCTAGTGCCCGCCCTACTGTAGTCTCTGTAGAGTAACTGCCCATCCACTGTCAAAACAAATTCAGATCTAGTAAAGAGTGGCTTTTCCCATCCCTATGTCCTGAATGGTATTGCCTAGGTTTTCTTCTACAGCTTCTATGGTTTTAGGTCTTATGTTTAAGTCTTTAATCCATCTTGAATTAATTTTTGTATAAGGTGTAAGGTAGAGATCCAGTTTCAGCTTTCTGCATATGGCTAGCCAGTTTTCGCAGCACGATTTATTAAATAGGGAATCCTTTCCCCATTGCTTGTTTTTGTCAGGTGTGTCAAAGATCAGATAGTTGTAGATGTGTGGTGTTATTTCTGAGGCCTCTGTTCTGTTCCATTGGTCTATATATCTGTTTTGGTACCAGTACCATGCTGTTTTGGTTACTATAGCCTTGTAGTACAGTTTGAAGTCAGGTAGCATGATGCCTCCAGCTTTGTTCTTTTTGCTTAGGATTGTCTTGGCTATGCAGGCTCTTTTTTGGTTCCACATGAAGTTTAAAGTAGTTTTTTCCAATTCTGTGAAGAAAGTCAGTGGTGGCTTGATGGGGATAGCATTGAATCTATAAATTACTTTGGGCAGTATGGCCATTTTCATGATATTGATTCTTCCTATCCATGAGCATGGAATGTTCTTGCATTTGTTTGTGTCCTCTTTTATTTCCTTGAGCAGTGGTTTGTAGTTCTCCTTGAAGAGGTCCTTCACATCCCTTGTAAGTTGGATTCCTAGGTATTTTATTGAATGGGAGTTCACTCATGATTTGACTCTCGGTTTGTCTGGTATTGGTGTATAGGAATGCTTGTGATTTTTGTACATTCTACTATAAAGACACATGCACACGTATGTTTTTTGCAGCACTGTTCACAATAGCAACCAACCCAAATGCCCATCAATGATAGACTGGATAAAGAAAATGTGGCACATATGCACCATGGAATACTATGCAGCCATAAAAAAGGATGAGTTCATGTCCTTTGCAAGGACATGGATGAAAATGGAAACCATCATTCTCAGCAAAGTAACACAAGAAGAGAAAACCAAACACCACATGTCCTCAATCATAAGTGAGAGTTGAACAATGAGAACACGTAGACACAGGGAGGGGAACATCACACACTAGGGCCTGGCAGGGGGTGGGGTCCTGGGGGAGGGATGGCATTAGGAGAAATACCTAAGGCAAATGACAAGTTGATGGGTGTAGCAAACCAACATGGCACATGTATACGTATGTAACAAACCTGCACGCTGTGCACATGTAAACCAAAACTTAAAGTATAATTTTAAAAAAATAAAAAAGAAAAATCCTATTTGAAGGAAACAAAAAAGAGTGGCTTTATTTGAAAGGATTATTGCAAGGTGCAGGAGGGACTTTTTTTTCTTTTTTTTTTGAGACGGAGTCTCGCTCTGTCATCCAGGCTGGAGTGCGGTGTCTCGGCCCACTGCAAGCTCCGCCTCCCAGGTTCACACCATTCTCCTGCCTCAGCCTCCCGAGTAGCTGGGACTACAGGTGCCCGTGACCACACCCGGGTAATTTTTTGTATTTTTAGTAGAGACGGGGTTTCACTGTGTTAGCCAGGATGGTCTCAATCTCCTGACCTCGTGATCCGCCCGCCTCGGCCTCCCAAAGTGCTGGGATTACAGGTGTGAGCCACCACGCCTGGCCAGGAGGGACTATTATAACAGGGGAAGGGAGACTTGCAAAAGAGAGTACACTGTGGCCACAAGGGTTAGGCCAAAAAGAGCTTTTCTTTCATAGGAAGAAGAAAACAAGGCTAGAAAGAACCTGGAAGTGGGGTGAAAGGGTGACATGATGGGTTAGTAGATCAGAGAATATATCAACCTGAGGCCAGCCTATTCTGAGGAGGGGCTGTCTGCTGGCCCAGGCCCAGGGTGAGCCAAAGTTCAGGGGCCTGGAGGAAGGAAAGAATCTTAACCAAAGTGGTTGACCAGCGTTTTATAAGGATTGATTAGTGGGACAAGCAGTTCAGGTAATCACTTATAAGACAATGAATGAGAATTGGAGGGTCTGTGTCCTGTTTACCTGCTCTCACAGGTAAACAATGGGGGTGGTGTCTTGGAGTCTTATCTAAATTCTCTTGTGGGGGTGGGGGGTGATTCTTTGCAGTAAACTTTTTTCCACAACACAAAAGGGTGAGAGCAATTCCTTTTTACTTTTTTCCGGGGACACAAGACTCAGGGAAAATTCAACATTGTCACTACTCAAGGGTGGAAACTTAGTGTAGCACATAACCATGAGGATTCTAAACCTGTGGCTGCTGAGTTCAAACACCAGCATCCCAGTGAGCCTGGTGGGTTAGGAGATCTTTCTGTGCTTTACTTGCTCCCTCCCTGATATGGTTTGGCTGTGTCCCCACCCAAATCTCATCTTGAATTGTAGCTCCCATAATTCCGTGTTGCGGAAGGGCCCAGTAGGAGATAACTGAATGATAGGGGAGGTTCCCCTCATACTGTTCTCCTGGTAGTGAATATGACTCATGAGATCTGATGGTTTTATAAGCGGTTTCCCTTTTCACTTGGTTCTCATTATCTCGTCTTCCACCATGTAAAACGTGCCTTTCACCTTCCACCATGATTTTGAGGCCTCCCCAGCCATGTGGAACTGTGAATCCATTAAACCTTTTTGTTTGTAAATTGCCCAGTCTCGGGTATGTCTTTATCAGCAGCATGAAAGCGGACTAATACACTCCCTAAAATGGGGATGAGCATGATCATTACAATAGCTACGATCCTCATATTTTTAAAGTATTTTAGCACCGTACCTAGAATCCACTAATCTATGAACTGATCCTGAGCAAGCCTGTTTCCTACTCAGACCCCAAGCTCAGTACGAACATAACTTTCCATGCCTCTGTGCAATGCTGCAAAAGGCGTGCATACTTGGAGTCCACAGGAGTGTGTGCTCAAAACACAAAAGTCCCAGTGACCACGCACCACTCGGCATCAAAGCAAAGGTGGCAGGAGTGTGTCCCCTGGCCACTTGCCTTCTCACTCGAACAGACTGTGGATGCAGCACTTGCTCGTGGGTAATTGTGGATCTGACTTTCCAAAAGTACAAGTATGTGGCCACTTTAATCACTGAGCCTCAGTTTCGCTCTCTGTAAAATAGGGAGAACTAATAATCCTAGCTGCAGAGATTAAATGGTGGATGCAAACAGCCTTGTACGAAGTTGTTATCTGTGCAGAGGAAAAAGCGGTATCACTAGCGTGGAAGGACCCAGAGGATACAGCCAAGCCTTTCTGTCTTCTCCATCCCCCGGCCTTTTAAACAGCAGTGGGGCGGGGCCACGGCATCGATCACTCGGCGCTCCTCCAGGCACTGCGTCGTGATCAGACGAGCGGTGAGCGATCGATACTCCTATGCTAGCCTCTGGCTCCTCAGGGGACACAGCCGAGTGGTCGGACCAAACGCAACGAGTCTTCGCCAGCCCAAAGGCGACTCGACACCGTCCCAGCTGAAGAGAGGTTAGTCTGAGCAACTCGAGAGCGGAGTCAGCTCCAGTTCCTCAGAAGTGGAGAGGCCGGGTTCAGAGGCATAGACCGCGCAGGCGTCATGTGAAGCAGCCAAGCCCGGCCTCGCGCGTGCGCCTTGGAAAACCCCGAGGGTGGCTCGAGTTGCCGCATGCGCTCTGAGAATGCAATTTAGCTCGTCGCCGGCCTGCCCTGCGGGAGGATAAAGGGAAAGGTTCCGCGCGTGCGTATGCTCGTCTCTTGGCAGTGGTTTTGCGCATGCGTGAGGGCAGGCCCTTACGGCGGGCTGCTGTGCGCTTTAGCGGTTCTTGGCGTCGCGTTGGTGTAGGCCTAGTGCGCCTGCGCGGGTTTTATACTCTGCTATATGTGTGTCCGCTGCTTTTAGGCAACCAGCCGCTGCCCCTGGGCCGCAAGGCAGGCTGGAAACGATTCCGCCGTCAGGTCCCAAATATGAGCCGCGAGAAATGCAGCCCCGGGGAAGGCGCTGAGGAGGGAAGGGGGTCTGAGGCCTCGGGGCTCAAGGCCAGTGCGGGGTACGGGGGACCCTCTGGGGCCTGGGTGTGTGACTGCCCTAAGGAAAGGTGCTTGTAGCTCGGTAGGACTTAACGATGGGCATCGGTGCGTTTCCCGGCAACGGTAGGAATCGCCGTGCTCAGGAGGACTCGGGAGCAAGCCCGGGGACAGGAGGTGCGCAGGCGTTGGGGCCACACGGACGACCCAAACACAAGACTGTGTGCCCCTTAGAGAGCCAAAGGGATCCCTGTGCCATGAATTAAAGCTTTCTGGAAAATGTTCCAAACTTTCCTGGGAAGTTTTACGAAGCTCTTGTTTTTGCACAATTTTTGTGGAATACTGCCATAATAACATTGAGGAGATTAGAGAACTGGACCGCCTGTTCCCAGAAAGCTAGGTGTAGGCTGATCTGTCCTGGAAGCCCCTTTTGGGAGGCTTTCTCATGACCAGCATGGTGCTTGCAGAGTGCCCACCCTGAGACCCTCTGCAAATCACAGTGAGGCTCTCGGAGAGGCCATTCCACCCAGCCACCTTAAAGAATACTCAGGGAGGTGCTTTAGAGGAGTTGATGTTTAAAAATAATTTAAGGCTGGGCGCGGTGCCTCACACCTGTAATCCCAGCCCTTTGGGAGGCCGAGACAGGCCGATCACTTCAGGTCAGGAGTTCACAAGACCAGCCTGACCAACATGGCGCAACCCCGTCTCTACTAAAAATAAAAAATTAGCTGAGTGTGGTGGTGCACATCTGTAATCACAGCTGCTTGGGCGGCTGAGGCAGGAGAATTGCTTGAACCTGGGAAGCGGAGGTTGCAGTGAGCCAAGATTGGGCCAGTGCACTCCAGCCTGGGTGACAGAGCGAGACTCCGTCTCAAAAAAAATAATAAAAATAATTTGAGAGAATCCTAGGATGACAGGGCAGTGGCTTCCAAGAGGGATATATCCCATAACCTACCAGGGACCTACTTTGCCAGTTTGCATAGTGAATTCTGCCTGGATGGTGAATTTATAAAGTCCAGGCCTGAGTCTATTCCGGCTGTTTTATACAGGTTATACTTGGCTCCTTTTTGTTTAGTACGACCAACAAGAAGGCTTTTATAAGATTCATTTTAGTCTTATTTATAAATCCAGGAGAAAAACCACTCAGAGGTTAGCACATAACAGCCTATATTCTGACCTTCTTTGCAAGATCATTTCATACACCAGCAGACAAGACTTTATGTAAGGAGCATTTAGGGGCTGAATCAAGTCCACTCAAAAGCTGTTTTATGCAACCCACACTTGATCTCCCCCTGAAAGCTGTTCCAGGTTATGAGGCCAGTTCACAAAGCCAGGACATAAGCCCACTCAAGCTGTTTCTATACCTGACCGCCCCCCTCCCCACAAAAATAAATAAAGCCTTCTCTGGGCCGGGCGTGGCGGCTCACACCTGTAATCTGAGCACTTTGGGAAGCCAAGCAGATCACCCTGAGGTCAGGAGTTCAAAACCAGCCTGGGCAACAGAGTGAAACCCCGTCTCTACTAAAAATAGAAAAACTAGCCAGGCACAGTGGCGGGCACCTGTAATCCCAGCTACTCAGAAGGCAGAGGCAGGAGAATTGCTTGAACTTGAGAGGCAGAGGTTGCAGTGAGGCGGGATCGCACCATTGCACTCCAGCCTGAGTGACAGAAAGACTCTGTCTCAAAAAAAATAAAAATAAAAAAACCTTCTGTGATCAACAAGAGGTCTTTGAAGGCCAATACCTGTTGAGCTCTGGGAGACTGATTTGTAAAGTGAAGATACGAGGCCACTCAGGCTTTTTGATATGGCCCACATTTGGGTTACGGTAGGTGTCAGTTTGCCTAGAATAACACCAGTTTTTTACTGATGCAGACATAAATATTAATAGCATCTTGGTTTGGATGACCCACCTATACCTGGCCACTAGAAGGCTATCTGTACAACTCCCAATAAACCCTTTTATGTAGAGCTCTCGAAGGCCAGTCTGTGGCACCACTCTCAAAGACTGCTTCACACATCTTTTTTCTTCTTGCAGGGAACTGGCAAGTCACACATCTTATTCTTGACTCCCTCCTTTGGAAGCCTGTTTGTTTAATGTAAGCCTTTTGTGTGCGTGTGCTTTTTTTTTTTTTCGGGAGGGACAGACTCTTGCTCTGTCACCCAAGCTGGAGTGCAGTGGCTAGATCTCAGCTCACCCCAACCTCTGCCTCCCAGGTTCAAGCAATTCTCCTACCTCAGCCTCCCGAGTAGCTGGGATTATAGGCGTGGACCACCACGCTGGCTAATTTTTGTATTTTTATTAGAGATGGGTTTTCACCATGTTGGCCAGGCTGGTCTCGAGCTCCTGACCTCAGGTCATCCACCCTCCTCAGCCTCCCAAAGTGCTAGGATGACAGGCGTGAGCGATGCACGTGGCCTTAATATAAGACTTTATAAACAGCAATTCAGTGAGGAGTTCTGGGAAGCCAATCAATAAAGCCAGGCCATAAGGCTACTCTGGCTAGTCCTTTCCTCTAGAAAACCTCTTGATACAACAAGAAGCCTTTTTATCAGACCAGTATATGGGAAATGCCAGAAGGCTGATGAGCCTGGACCTGAGGCCATTCAGAAAGGCAGTGACCTGTGGCTCGCACCTGACCTTCCCAGGAGGGCCATCTCAAGTGGTTGGTGGTGTGAAGGCTGCTTCTCATAGCCCATGAGGCCAGTGACCCTGGAAGATTGTTTCATACAGCCAGCAAGAGAGTGTTTCCCCAGCCAGACCAAGACTCCTTCTGTAAGGCCATTTTGCATGGCTAACAGGAGCCAATGTGAGGCTGCTCCCAGCGGGGTAGATGGACACAACAAACAATTCTTTCCTGGCACAATGAAGAAACCACAGATCGATTTGTAAAACTAAGACAAAATCTGACTTCACCTGGTCCTCAGACAAGCCCCCATCTATAGGAAGGCCAGTTTTTAAAACAAGTTACAAGGGCCGGGCGTGGTGGCTCACACCTGTAATCCCGGCACTTTAGGAGGCTGAGGTGGGTGGATCACTTGTGGTCAGGAGTTGGAGACCAGCCTGGCCAACATGGCGAAACCCCGTCTCTACTAAAAATACAAAAATTAGTCGGGCGTGATGGCATGCGTGCCTGTGGTCCCAGCTACTCAGAGGCTGAGGCAGGAGAATCACTTGAACCTGGGAGGTGGAGTTTGCAGTGAGCCGAGATCGCATCACTGCACTCCAGACTGGGTGACAGAGCAAGACTCCATCTCACAAAACTGCTTTGGAAGACTGCTTCCTATACCAGGATGTGGCTGTTTGATATGGTAACTACATAAAAGGCCAAATCATGAGAGGTTTGGGGAAGCCTATGCAACAAGGCAGAAGACTGATGCGGCCAGAATGCCACTTCACCATGCTGCCAACATAAGGCCTTGTAGGAGGCTATAGTTTTATTTTTTGAAACAGGGTCTCACTCTGTCACCCAGATGGGAGTGCAGAGGCACAAACACAGTTCACTTGCAGCCTTAAACTCCTGAGCTCAAGCAATCTTCCTGCTTCAGCTCCCGGAGTAGCTGGGGCTACAGGTGTGTGCCACCATGACCAGCTAACTAATTTTTTAATTGTTTTTAGAGACAGGGTCTTTACATGTTGCCCAGGCTGGTCTCGAATTCTTGGGCTCAAGCAGTCCTCCTGTTTCAGACTCCCGAGTAGCTGGGATTATAGGTGCCCTGCTGGGGGATAGTGTATAATAATCTTGAGGCCTTTGGGGAGGCCATTTCAAGTGGCTTATACAGAGGCAATCTGAAAAGCCATTTTGAAAACAAACTTATACAGCCATCCTGAAGCCTCTGTCTCTGGAAAACCATCATATATTGTCAACGTAAGTATCTCTGAAGGCCTTTTGATAAGGCCGTTCATTGAAGAACTCTGCATTAAAGAATAATCATAAGGCTATTTCATGTGGCCAAGAGCAGATAGTTTTGTACAGCCAACTCACAGTATTAGGAGGCCATCTTTCCCAGAAGGCTGTGTCCATTGGCCTTCAACATGAGGTCTCCAAGGCCGATTTGCAAAGTAGCAGATAGGCCGCCTATGAAGACCAAACATGAGGCCACCCTGGGAGGCCAGGTGACAAAGCAGACACGGGGCCACTGGGGGAACCTGGCTACAAAGCCGCACACGTGAGGCCACCTTGAGAAGCTGGCTTGGTAAGGCTGATAGGCGCCCTGTGAGGGGCCGTTTTATAAGGTCACCCTGAAACACCAATTTACAAAGCCCGTAATCTGCATTGCAGAGAACAGGTTTATAGCCCATTTGAAACCCTCTGGGAGGCTGTTTTCTAAGGCCATCAAGAGACAGGTTTACAAAGCTGGTACATAGAGCCCCAGTGGAAGCCAGTTTTATAGTAGGGCAATAAATGGTCTCCTGGGAGGCCTTTCCACTGGCCTTTATGAGAAGCCAGGATATGAGGCCCCTGAGGTCTTTTGGATGCTCAAGATGAGACTTCTCCATGTTGCTCTATAAGATTCATGTAAGCCACACACGGGATGAGCCAGGAGGCCACCCAGGGAGGCCAGGGATGGGCCCATGTGGTGTCTTGTGCTGGCCTAGTGGATAAGTCCATGCTGGAAATTGGACTGTGAAACGCTCCAAGAAGGCTGTGAATGAGGCCAACACAAGCCTTCTAGGAGGCTAGAGATAGAACCCACCCTGGCAGGCTGGGGCTCTCTGAGCCCTACCATACCCTGAGCTTGCTAGAAAGAAAGTTCATTGTGAACCAAGAATGGAAATGAACTCATTATAAGCTCAGCCCTGTGGATACAAAGTCCAAAGAGCTCACCCTTGAAGGCAATGAGTGTTCTGGGCAGACACTGCCACTTACTGTGTAGTTTGGCACAAATTGCTTAACCTCGAAATCTCAGTTTATTCATCTGTAAAACTCCCATCATAGGATTGCAAGGGACGTGTTAATCTATGTCAAGCATGCAGCATTGACATGGCGCACAGGAGAGGGTGCTGAGATCAGCCAGAATTTAAGCCCTGCTTCTGCACAAATGATTGACCGTAGGCCTTGGGGCAAGTCACTTCATTTTTGTTTTTTTGTTTTAATTTGAGTCAGGATCTTGCTCTGTCACCCAGGCTGGTGGCATGATCTCGGCTTACTGCAACCTTTGCCCCCAGGCTTAAGTGATCCCACCACCTTTAATCTCCTGAGTAGCTGGGACCACAGGCATGTACCGCCGTGCCCAACTAATTTTTGTATTTTTTGTAGAGACGGCGTCTTGCCATGTTGGCCAGGCTGGTCTTGAATTCCTGAGCTCAAGTGATCCAATTGCCTCGGCCTCCCAAAGTGCTGGGATTACAGGCGTGAGCCACCATGCCGGCCTTCTCGAATACTTTTCAAAGCCTGGCACTCCTGAGTGACTGCCATGAGGCAGACTCTGCTTTTAGGCTCTGGGAAACGTAGGGGAATGAGCTACGTTCTTGCCCTGGTGGAGCTGGCAGTGCAGTGTTGGATAGACACACGTGTAAGCAGGTGTTTTCATACATCCTGACGAGTACTGTAAGAGAAGCTCAAGGGCTGCAGGAACACAGAACACTGTTGGAGAGTCTTGGCAGGCCTCACATAGGGATATTTAAGATGGGCTTTAAAGGTTGGGTAGGAGTTTGCCAGGCAGCGGAGGGGTATGGGAGGCACTGCAGATGAGGACAATACACGTTCCTTTCTGAACAGACGTTTATCCAGTGCTTGCTGAGTACCAGGTGTTGCGCCAGGCCCTGAAGATACAGTGGTGACCCCAGACAGATGAGGGCCCTCCCCTCCAGAGCTTCTGCCCAACAGAGAAGACTGCTGTTGAAAAATCCTCGCAGATGAGATGCAGGAAGCTGCGGGAATGCACAGGGGATCAGGTCTGTCCTGGTGTCTAACTCTTGTTTCTCTCCACCTCCCCAGGCACGGGACTGAACCAGCTGGTGGTGGCCCGATGGCTGGAGACACCCACTGCCCCGCAGAGCCCCTGGCCAGAGAAGGCACTTTATGGGAGGCCCTCAGGGCGCTCCTGCCGCACAGTAAAGAAGACCTGAAGTTGGACCTCGGGGAGAAAGTGGAGAGGAGCGTGGTGACATTGTTGCAGCGAGCCACTGAGCTCTTCTACGAGGGCAGGAGGGACGAGTGTCTGCAGAGCAGCGAGGTGATCCTGGACTACTCCTGGGAGAAGCTCAACACGGGCACATGGCAGGACGTAGACAAAGACTGGCGCCGGGTCTACGCCATCGGCTGCCTCCTGAAAGCCCTGTGTCTGTGCCAGGCACCTGAGGATGCCAACACTGTGGCCGCAGCCCTGCGGGTCTGTGACATGGGCCTGCTGATGGGGGCAGCCATCCTGGGGGACATCCTTCTTAAAGTCGCTGCCATCCTCCAGACACACCTCCCTGGAAAGAGGCCTGCCCGTGGCTCCCTCCCAGAGCAACCCTGCACAAAGGTATGTGGGGGAGATTCTCCCCAAGCACACTAGCCATCCAGCAACCCTGTTGTTCTAGAAATTCCGAGTCATCTCTCCCCTGGGGTGAGGCCTCGTGGCCTGCAACCCCTCTGGTGGAAAACAGCATTGCCATTGATTTTGGATTTCTGTTTGTTTTTGGAAGCAGGGTCCCGTTCTGTCGCCCAGGCTGGAGTGCAGTAGTGTGATCTCGGCTCCTTGCAGCCTCCACTTCCTGGACTCAAGCAATCCTTCTGCCTCAGCCTCCTTAGTAGCTGGAACTATGGGTGCATGGCACCACACCCAGCTAATTTTTTTAGTTTCTTATTTATTTTTTATTTTTTGTAGAGATAGGGTCTCATGTTTCTCAGGCTAATCTGGAACTCCTGGCCTAAAGCAGTCCTCCTGTCGTGGCCTCCCGAAGCACTGAGATTACAGGTGTGAGCCACCGTGCTCAGCCCCCATTGACTTTGGAAATGGAACAGCTCCATTCATTTTCTCTCTTTTTTTTTTTTTTTTTTGCAAAGGCAGCGCCCTTTCAGCAGAGAGGCAGCAGAGAAACTTCGTGGTTCCTGAGGGAAACAGCTTAAAGCGATTGTGTGGGTGAGAGCTGCAGCCAGCGGCAGCCCGTTTCTTTCAGCTTCTTGGTGGGCTTGCTGAAGTCTCACCCAGGCGAGGCGATACCTCCAGCTGCTCCTGTCTCTCTGCTCCTGGGTTTGGATGAGATACTACAACTAGCTGATGTCTGTTTTGGGGTCAATCTCTCCCACCCCTTGGGTCTATGTGCCTGTTCCAAAGAGCACCCCCAGGAACAGAGCATGGTTTACTCTGAAGGCTTCAGGTCCTGGTGCCAACACACAGGCCTCACTTGCAACACACCCAAGCAAGTCACTTAACCTCCTTTGAGCCTCGGTTTCCTTGTCTGTAGAGTGGCAGAGTACTGACCCACAGAAAGAAATGACTAAGACTGTACTAGACACTTGGTAGTGGAATTATGGGATGTTTCTGACATTTTTCTAAATGCTTTGCTATGTTTTCCGAATTTCCTACAATGCATATTATTATTATTATTATTTTTGAGACGGAGTCTCACTCTGTCACCCCGGCTGGAGTGCAGTGGCGCAATCTCAGCTCCCTGCAACCTCTGCCTCCCAGGTTCAAATGATTCTCCTGCCTCAGTCTCCCAAGTAGCTGGGATTATAGGCACCCACCACCACGCCCGGCAATTTTTGTATTTTTAATAGAGACAGGGTTTCACCATGTTGGCCAGGCTTGTCTGGACCTCAGGTGATCCACCCACCTCAGCCTCCTAAGTGCTGGGATTACAGGCGTGAGCCACAAATTATTTTTATATAAGAAAAATGCAAGTGGTTGACACTAAACACACAGGCATGTAACCAAAATAAAAGAAAATCAAATAAAGGGAGAAGAAAATTTTTCCACAAATATGTCAGACAATGAATATCTCTATTACGTAAGGAATGGTACAAATCAATAGGGAAAAAATCTTGAGCCCCAGGAGGTAGAAATCCAGGAACCTGAACAGACTGTTCACAAGAAGGAAATAGATCTGTTAAACAAATGTGCAGGAGAATGTTCAGCCTCACCTCTGGTTAAAAAAATAAAAGAGAGAGATGCAAATAGCAAAACAGCATTTCATCTTTGGCTGTTAAGTTAGCAAACAAGGCTTCATATGATACCCGGTGTTGCCAAGGGCACCATGTGGCCAAGGGCATGGGGTGTGGGTTGCTCTTTTGTTTCATTTTTTTTACAGACAGGGTCTTGCCCAGTCACCCACGCTGGAGTGCAGTGGCACAATCATAGCTCTCTGCAGGCCGGGCATGGTGGCTCACGCCTATAATCCCAGCACTTTGGGAGGCTGAGGCCGGCAGATCACCTGAGGTCAAGAGTTCGAGACCAGCCTGGCCCACATGGTGAAACCTCATATCTACTAAAAATACAAAAATTTGCTGGGCGTCCTGGCACATGCCTGTAATCCCAGCTACTCTGCAGGCTGAGGCAGGAGAATTGTTTGAACCCGTGAGGCAGAGGTTGTAGTGAGCCGAGATTGTGCCACCGCACTCCAGCCTGGGCAACAGAGCAAGACTCGGTCTCAATAAATAAATAAATAAATAAAACATAGCTCACTGCAGCCTCGACCTCCTAGGCTTAGGTGATTTCTCCTACCTCAGCTTCCCGAGTGGCTGGGACTACAGGCATGTACCACCACGCCGAGCTTTTTAAATTTTTTCTAGAGCCAGAGGTTTCTCTATGTTGCCCAGGCTCGTTTCAAACTCCTGGGCTCAAGCAGTCCTTCCACCTTGGTCTCCCAAAGTGCTGGGATTACAGGTATGAGCCAGTGTGGCTGGCCATTTCCCAGCAGGTTCACACCTGTGGACACTGAGGTTCTCAAGCAGCAAGTAACTTACTCAGGTCACCCAGCTGGGAGATGGTTAAGGAAATGATGGTGCAGCCACTCCTAAGAAACTGTAAGGACCGGGTGGCCATGTGGAAACTGCTTTTGATAAATGATTGGAGGGGAGAGGCAGGGCTGCTGCTTCATCATTGCTGTTACTCCCAGTGGGTCAGAGATATTTTGCGTGTGTGTGTGTGTGTGTGTGTGTGTGTGTGTGTGTGTGTGTGTAAGATGGGAAAAGAATAGGAATGAGAAGACCTTAAGATGGTGAAGTTGGAGATAGTAAGTTTTCCTTTATTGCAGAATGTCTGTGAAAGCAGTTTATAATGAAACAAACATTTTTGATGAAATGGTTAAGAAAAAAACCACCTTGATCTCATGAGGAGCAAATAGTAATAGTAGCAGTAATAATAACAAACGTTGTCTATTGTTGTTACTGGTACTCTTGACAGCTAAGCTCTCCTACCCCTGACACAGGTTCCTGGTGGAATACCTCAAATGTCGACTTCCTGAGGTGGTTGCTATTTTGTTCTGTTTTGATTTTAAACAGAAAGCAAGGGCGGACCATGGTTTGATTCCAGATGTGAAGTTAGAAAAAACAGTCCCCCGGCTGCACCGTCCGTCCCTCCAGCATTTCAGGGAGCAGTTTTTGGTTCCAGGGAGGCCCGTGATCCTGAAAGGCGTGGCTGACCACTGGCCGTGCATGCAGAAGTGGAGGTGGGTGGTCGCTGAGGGAGGTGAGGTCCCTTTTCCCATTTTAGCGTTCCCCAGGGCTCCCTGAATTCCTCCCGACCATCCCCAGGGAAATGCAACCTTGTAGATGCTTCACTAGCAGCCCTTGACTGATTGCCAAGGGGTTAAAAAAGAGTGAAAAGTAAGGTGCTCTGAATTTATGCCGCAGGTTATGGGATTCTTACCTTCTACCTTGCTCGCCTTAAGCGGTTTTTTAATGAGTCCCTAAGTGGCAGTCCTAGAATGTTTCTGTTATGCAATTTTACAGGATCCTAGCAATTTCAGACCATCTCAGGGCCCTGAAGCTAAGAGCAGAAATAACCCAAGAGACAGCCCCTCTCTCTCTGAGGGATTCTGTGGTCTCTTGTGTTTGTTTCTAGTCCTTTCTCAGAATCATGATGGGGAGATCAGATCAGGCAGCTGGAGCGTGGCTGTCATGCCGCGGCTCTGCATGAGTTTGGAAATAAGGAGGCATCTCTCCAGGAAGGTAGATGGAGTCCGCCTGTTTTGTGGTTTCGCGGAGGGAATGGTACCCGCTGACACATGTGGAGGAATTCTCATTGCAGGAGCTCTCCTCACAGCAAGGCTTCATTAAGCATTTTACTACGTACCTGGCACTAGGACAGGTGTTGTCATCACCCCCATTCTGTAAATGGGGATCAAGGACTCGGGTTCAGTAACCTGCCTCAGATCCCCTGGCCTGTAACTGATGAGGCCTGGAATCAGTCCCAGGCTAGAGGGCAGAGTCCAGGAGACTGCCACCTGCCACGCTGTCCGCTATTTGTTCAAAGGTTTCTCAGCTTAGTGACAAAATGAGCAAAGAAAGAAGTGAGGAGGCTGTTGGCAAGCAGGGAACTAGAGCAGCCCAGCCAACCAGACTTACCGGCCCTGTCTGCAAAGCTGCACAGCACTGTGTATGAGCCACACAGCCTTGAGCAGGGAGCCCCACCTCTCCATGCCGGTTCCTCATCAGTGAAGCTGGGGATGACAGTCCTTGTCTCTGCACGTGAGGTTTTCCGAGGATGAAAGGGGACCACATGCAAAGCACACTTAGTACTATGCCCAACAGATATTAGCAGTGACGATGCCAATGTGTGTCTTTCTGCTAGTTTGGAGTATATCCAGGAGATCGCTGGCTGCCGAACTGTCCCAGTGGAAGTTGGTTCGAGGTACACAGATGAGGAATGGTCCCAGACCCTCATGACGGTCAACGAGTTCATCAGCAAATACATCGTGAATGAGGTACATCATGGGGACTGCTTTCCCCTAGTACTTGCAAGGCAGAGAGCATAGTACATTTAGGCAAATAACCCCCCATGTGTTGTAATGGGAGGTTTTGGAGGAGCCAGGCTGTAAGTCTGTGGTCGGAGGGACGACCGCAGCGAGGAAGGCAGGCTGCTTAGCCAGCAGACATGAGGGATTCATGTCAGGTCCTTTTTAATGGGCAGGGGAGTATAATTCAGTGGGTTTTAGCCTGTTCCAAAAGTTGGACAGCTAAGTCTAGAGTATGTGTATTTAAATTTTTAATAGCAGCCAGGCATGGTGGCTCACACCTGTAATCCCAGCACTTTGGGAGGCTGAGGCAGGCGGATCACTTGAAACCAGGAGTTCAAGACCAGCCTGGGAAACATAGTGAAACCCTGTCTCTATAAAAAATATAAAAATTAGCTGGGTATAGTGGTACGTGCCTGTAATCCCAGCTACTCAAGAGGCTGAGGTGGGGCAAATTGCTTGAGCCCAGGAGGCAGAGGTTGCAGTGAGCCAAGATCAGGCCACTGCATTCCAGCTTGGACAATAGAACCAGGCCCTGTCAAAATTACGACAGGACAGGATAGGACAATTTATTTTTCCCAAAAGTTAGATCACTTATACTTTCACCAGCAATTAACACAAGTGTCCATTTTCTTACATCTTTGCCTGCACTGTTTGTTGCCATTTTATGAAAATGTTTGCCAATCAGATGGATGAGATCAGTGCTTTACAAACTGGGTACCCCGGTGCTGGAGAGGTTCTTTGAAGCTGCCCCAGGGCCTCTAAGGGTTGGAGAGGACCACTCAGGATGGAGTGGAAGGGTGACGGGTGCTGCAGCTGGGGCCAGCTGGACAGCAGCAGCAGGAGGGCATCTGTCATGACTAACTGGGCTTTCTGTGTTGCCTCTGGTTTTCCCCGGTGGATTAGCCAAGGGACGTCGGGTACCTTGCTCAGCACCAGCTCTTTGACCAGGTAAGTCTGAGGCCACGCACCTCTGCCCCTCACCGTCTCACCTTCCCCTCTCCTCCCCTCCTGGGCTCAGTGCGGCTGGAGCAGTGAGCGTGAGTAGGAGGGAGGCAGCAGGTGAGGCTAGGAAGGTGACAGGACGTGGGTGATGAGGAGCCATTTTCCTAAAGTGACAGGAAACACTGGGGGGTCGCCAGTGCCCCGAGGATTGTAGGGGCTGCTATTCAGAGATGAAGGGAGCAGCTGTCGGAGCGGGTGGCTGGCTGGGCTATTGCTGTGGTGCAAGGAGAGGTGATGCTGGCAGGTGGAGCAGTTCAAGACCGGTGTGAACCACCGAGCCCTGGACGTGGGTGGATGTGTGGGGGAGGGAGGGAAGATCGGGGAAGATGCCCAGATTCAGGACCCCAAAACACTAAATAGATGGAGCTGGGGCGCCCAGGAGGGACCTGGCTGGTGTGGTGTCTGCCAGGAGTGCCCAGGAAGGCAGCCCTTGGCAGGATTCAAGGATAGGGCCAGGTGCGTGTCCCGAACGTGGAAGACTCGAGTCAGTCAGGGTCAGGGCTACAGCCAGGGGTGGGCTGGGGCCGCACCTCTGTAGCCTTTGCAGTGGGGCCCTGGGATGCTGATCAGCTGCTGTATCTACTGCTGAAGCCAGGACTGCTTCTCTGTCTCGATGGGGGACCCAGGGCCAGTAGGGGCTGTGCCAGGAGCCTTCATGCCGACATTAAAGGACGCTGGCGGTTTCTCTTCCCCAGGCCTCCCTATTAGGACCTGTGCATCCTGCGTCCTGTCCATGTCACTTGCTAAGTGAAGGAAAGGGGGATTCTAATTGATCAGGTCCCTACTGTGTGATCCCGAGACCCACCTTTCTCCTGACCCTGGTCATCCTGGGGGCATGGCCTCAGTGTGGGCTGGGGACCCTGGAAGCCATGGTTAACCTTGGCTCCCTGTCCTGGAGCAGCTGTTTCATACTTTGTAGGACAGGAGGAGTTATATTTAGGAGTAGAAGGCCAAGTTCACAGTGACTTTCAAGATGAGCCAGGACTTGAAAGATGTTTCGGGTAATGGAGGGCCGCCTGGGTGTTTACCTTGGGTCCCAGAGCTGAGTGTCTACCATGCTGTGGAGAGGACCCTGGAGAAGTCCCAGCAGCCCATGCCCAGGTGTTATCATGCCGTGTGGCAAGGACAGTGTTCTAGAACCTTCTCTACCTACAGGACGCTCAGGGACTCCTACCAAATTCTTGTCCCAGAACCTCTTATTGACTTTTCTCCCAGGGACCCCGTGTTCTAGAAGATTTTGGCCATCAGTTTAAGCCTGCCTCAGTTATTAGTCACATCTCGGGAGCACTGATTCCCTTCGGGTCTCTGCATCCTCGGCCAGTGATTCTGATGACATGATCTGGTCAGCCAATCACCTTTCAGAAATCCTGATGATGTCATCAGGGACCAATCATAGTTTCTGCTCAGATTCCACAGGGCCAGTTCTGGTCAAAAGCAGCAGCGTCGGGTTACCTTTGGGAGGAACCCCTCACAGCCCTGGGAGGGACCTCAGCTTGCGAACTTGTACTTCAGTCCTAAGCAGCAGGCGCGGCTGCGTTTCTGCACAGCTGATTTGAGACAGGTTCTTAAAGGTCTGAATAGCAGTGTCTGGGACCAAGCTCCCTGCAGGGAGAACATTCCAGCTTTTCCTGGTACACACTGGTTTCTGAGCCAGCAGCCTGAAGTTACCGTCACTGCTCCCGAAGGAATGGTAGTGTCCACCTGCAGGTGCCTTCAGGCTGCGGAGCAGTGACTCTTAAAAAGCCCTGTGTCCCTCTGGCAACCCTGTTTTCATGCCTCTCAAGCTTGAAAAATGCCGCCAGGTCCATCCAGGGTCCCGTGAAGAACCCTGGGGTTCTCGGTGGCCTGGGGGGTGTGGGCTGGTGGCCTGCTCTGGTGGGTTCAACCCCGGAGGTAACTGAGGTGCCTGCTAAGGGTCTGGACAGGAAGTGGACTTAGAGTGAGTGTGTTTTCACTCTGAGACCCTGGCTTTGTGTAAAGGAGGCCAGGGCCATGTGCAGTGGCTCATACCTGTAGTCCCAGCACTTTGGGAGACCAAGCAGGACCAGCCTGGACAACATAGCAAGACCCCATCTCTACAAAAATAAAATTAGCCAGGCACGGTGGCATGCTCCTGTGGTCCCAGCAATTTGGGAGGCTGAGGCAGGAGGATCGCTTAAGCTCTGCAGGTTGAGGCTACAGTGAGCCATGATGGTACCACTGCACTCCGGACTGGGTGACAGAACAAGACTGTCTTTGAAAAAAAAAATTACAATAAATAAATAAAGGAGGCCAGGCCACTGCGGCCCTGCCCCACCGTGAACATCCAAGATCGCTTGATGTGTGGCATATAACTCTGTCAGAGGCCATGGGGAGCCGCGCCACCCTTACTGCATCATATAAAGCTCAGAGCACAGACCCAGGCCCACACCTGCCTTTCTCGTCAGGCAGTTTCTCTTCTCTGCCCAGCCTGTTTCTGCCAGGTATGGCAACAAATCCTCTGTGCCTACCCTGGCTTTTAAAACTAGGACGGCAAGGGCCGGGTGCGGTGGCTCACGCCTGTAATCCCAGTACTTTGGGAGGCCGAGGCGGGTGGATCAATTAAGTCTAGGATTTTGAGAGCAGCCTATGCAACATGGCGAAACCCTGTCTCTACAAAAACAAAAATTAAAAAAAAATTAGCCGGGTGTGGTGCATGCTTGTAGTCCCAGCTAGTAAGGAGGCTGAGGTGGGGGGATCACTTGAGCCCAGGAGGCAGAGGCTGCAGTGAGCTGAGATCACGCCACTGCACTCCAGCCTGAGAAACAGAGCCAGACCCTGTCTCAAACACACACACACATAATGGATATAGGTATGTGTTTCTGACTCTTCGTTGGCCTCCGGGCTGCGGTGTCCCCAGCCGGATCCCCACATCTCATGTCTGCTCTGCCGCCCACAGATCCCGGAGTTGAAGCAGGACATCAGCATCCCCGACTACTGCAGCCTGGGCGATGGGGAGGAGGAGGAAATCACCATCAATGCCTGGTTTGGTCCCCAGGGAACCATCTCCCCACTACATCAGGATCCCCAGCAAAACTTCCTAGTGCAGGTTGGAGCTGCAGCTGGAATAGTGGCCTTCTAACTCCTCCTGGCCCAGACACCTGGCCGGCCACATTCTCTGCCTTTAAACACCGGGCTCTTAAAAAGAAACAAGAAGCACTGAAGGGGATGAGGACAAAAATATAAAGCAAACCCACAAACGGCCCCAGGCCCAGGAAGGCCTCTGCAGTCGGTGCTTCCAGAAGCGGCTCCTCCTGCATGTGCTCCTCCCAAGATCCCTCACAGGGGAGCCCTCGGGAGAGGGAGCGAGTGCTGGTGTGGGTGCCCGGTGCCTCTGCCCCTCCCCGCCTGCTACCCATGCGATCCAGACCAGCTTCCAAATAGGAGGTGGCAGGTTGGGGGAGGAGTTTTCTCAGTCACTGGGAGGTTTTTTTCCTGAGGCCCAGTCAGAGGAGCAGATGGATTTGCTGCAAGGGGAGGCACCTCTGTCTACTGCTGTAAGACCACCCTGGTTTTCGCAGGCAAAGAGAGGTTTAGTAAAGGAGAACGTTCTCCTACCCCAGCAGACCAGTCCAGAGAGGCAGCCCAGGAGTGGGCTAAGAGCTGGGCTTCGGGAGCCAGCGTGCCTGGCGCAGACAGCAGCCCTGCCACACCTCAGCTGTGTGAGCTTGGGCAGCTCATTTAATCTCTCTGTGCTTCAGTTTCCTCACCTGCAAAATGAGAGTGAAGATAAACCACCTCAGAGAGGATTAAACCAGTTAACACACATAAAGCACTTAAGCAGTGCCTGGCACAGACAAGCGCCTAATAATTGTGGGCTCCAAAAATGAAGTTATTTTTCAAAATGTATTTGGAAGAAAAACATACCTTAGGCCAAGTTTGGTAGTTCACACCTATAATCCCAGCACTTTGGGAGACCGAGTCAGGAGGATCACTTGAGGCCAGGAGTTCAAGACCAGCCTGGGCAACATATTAAAACCTAATCTCTACCAAAAATAAAAATACAAAAATCAGCTGGGTGTGGTGGGGCATACCTGTAGTCCCAACTACTGGGGAGGCTGGGGCAGGAGGATCTCTGGAGGCCAGGAGGTCGAGACTGCAGTGAGCCATGATCGTACCACTGCACTCCAGCCTGGATGACCGAGTGAGACCCTGTCTCTAAAAAATAAAAAAGAAAGAAAAACATACACGTGGAACCATAAGCATGTGTGTGGTGGGGAAGGGCAGGCTGGGCCCAGGGAGCAGCATGTGGAAGGGCACAGAGGCCAGAGTGGGCTTGGGGCAGCAGTGGAGTGAGGCCACCAGCTGACTGTCAGGGTCTCTCTCCCCAGGTGATGGGGAGGAAGTACATCCGGCTGTATTCCCCGCAGGAGTCAGGGGCTCTGTACCCTCATGACACGCACCTTCTCCATAACACGAGCCAGGTGGGCACTGGGGGTCTGGGGTGACGTTGCAGGTTCTCCCCACTGCCCCTGGAGATGATGACGTCCTTTGCTTTCTTCAGGTTGACGTGGAGAATCCCGACCTGGAAAAGTTCCCCAAGTTTGCCAAGGCCCCATTCCTGTCCTGCATCCTGTCTCCTGGAGAGATCCTGTTCATCCCGGTGAAATACTGGCATTACGTGCGGGCTCTGGATTTGAGCTTCTCGGTCAGCTTCTGGTGGTCGTAGCCAGGATAGGAGCTGAAAGGGCCTGACATGCAGACAGCATTCATCTGTTCACTAATTTCCTGGGTCCTGGAATCTATAGAGACAAGCAGGACTGAACCTGTGTCCTGAAGAGCCTTCACTGCCCAGTGGCAGCCCTGGGGGGCTGAGCTCCAGCACTGGACAGGCACAGAGCAGGGGCTGCCCAGGAAGGAGCACACTCCAGGCCAGGGGTGCATGGCAGAGGAAGGTGGGGAGAGCCCAGAAGGACATTGCAGACAGACAGCCTGCATGGGGACTCTGGCATCAGAAAGCCGAATGTTTTTGGGAAACGGGTGGGTCACACAGGCAGGGGTGAAACATGGGCTCTGAGGTTGGCTACCTGATTCAAACCCGGCCGCGCTGTGCACCTGCTGGGTGACTTGGCCAGGATCCCCCACTTCGCTGTGCCCATATGGAAAAGAGGGCAAGGCCAGTCCTCACTGCCGAGGGCCGAGAAGGCGGTGCCGAGCCCCTGCTGCTGCATGAACCTTAGCCGCTGTCACTGATCCCAATTACTCTGATCCTTTTGCCCTTCCTTCCCATAACGGCCTGCTGGACGCCACAGCCTGAATACTGGAGAGAGCTGGGCATTGCCCAGGTCACAGGAGAGAGTCCGTAGAGACCTGCGCAGGAGCCGGGACCCCTGCTGAGCAGTGGGAGCTTTCTGTCATCCCCATGGCTCAAGGATAACCTACCTGCCTGCAGAGAAGTGCGAAGGTCTTGCTGGATGACTTTTCACCCGCACTCACCCAGGAGCAGGCTCCCAAGTGAAGAAACCACCGAACCATCACCAGCTCCTAGAAGCCTCCCTCCTACCACCTTCTAGTCACCATCCCCCAGAAGTAATGACTCTCAAACCTGGGGGATTTGAGGCCAGGGGGAGAGCCAGGCTCTATGCTTTCTGTAATTGTGTCTCGTTTGTGTGCACGCAGGTTTGTTTTATGTTTTGGCCATTAAGATTTTCCCCAGCCCTCTGTTTTTTGTTTTTTAAACTAAATAGAGATGGGATCTTGCTATGTTGCCCAGGCTGGTCTTGAACTTCTGGGCTTAAGCAATCCTCCCACCTTGGCCTCCCAAAGTGCTGGGGTTACAGGTGTGAGCCACATGCCAGCCTTGGCTTCTTTCTTCCCCGCTTCTAAGATAGGCCTGGGGAAAAGAGCCCTGAGGGTTGAGCTGCCATCCTGCCAGCATCCTGCCACTGGCTCAGCTGCTTGTCTTTTAGCCAAAAATCAAGCAGCCCCAGGAAAGATTCTGGTTGGCCAGGAGGTAGCTACCCTGGGGTAACTAGAAGGGGGATGGGAAAGTGGCTGTGGGCAGCTGAACTCCAGCTCCTGATGCCCTCTACCCAGGCCAAGGAATTTGACTTTATCGTGTAGGTCCTGGGGTTCTCAGCCTTTGAGCAGACACAGCAGAATCTGCATTCTCGAAAGCTGGCTGTTGGCAGGGAGAGGCCGTGATACTCATCCTGGGAGTGGGCTGCCGAGGGGCCATGGGCGTGCTGGGGAGTGACAAACACAAGAGCTATCTGGAAGCTGAGTCCACTTGGCTCCGTGGGCAGCTGTTTGCAAGGACATTGTTTATTCCCTGCCATGGTTAATAGTGAATTACCTAATCTTTCACAGGAAGAATTTACACCAGATGTCAACACCCCTGAAAGTAGCGAGGCATAAAACAGGGACGCCCTCATGACTAGGTTCGCCATTAGTGAGGAGGGGTGGCGGCCCGGCCACAGTGGGCTGTGACTCCTGGCCCGCCTGTGTAACTCAAACCCCTTCCCCAGCTGAAGGACAGGTGGACTGTGGCCCCAGCTCCCAGTGCCTAGCCGCTCCAGCTGGCAAGCCCCACGGCCCATCTGTAGTGTAGCGTGACAGAAAGCTGGGCACGGGAGGCCACGTTCATTAACGTGTGGTATCCTGGCCAGGTGGCTTCAAGCAGATGTCCCTTGTCAGATGAGGAATGGGAAAAGGGGAAATGTCCTGCCCTGTGGGTGAGGACACGCAGCATCTGGAACTCCTCATGAGGGTTTTGAGTGAGTGCTAGTGTGCGTTGTGGGACGTTCATGTCGGTGTTATCATGCAGGGGTTGGAGGCAAGAGAGACAAGCAGCAGGAGGGCTGGTGTCCCCAGTGGCCAAGTGCCCAGAGGCTTCCTGAGTCCCCAGCCAGGACTGACTCGAGCTCAAAGAATGAACAGCCAGAACCACAGGACAACTGGGACAGTCCGGAGCTGCCCCGGCCCCTCCTGCAGGCATTATTTGCTAGTTGGCTTTTTGCCTTCTGGCGTCCATCTTCCCGTCTTCCAGAACGGCAAGCTGACTGCATTCTGGAGAATGACCTCTGCCCCAGGGATGCGGTCCTGGAAGGTCTGTACATCAGCTCCTCCCTGGACCGGCATCTTGAGGGCGTGTCGGGAGGAGCTCAGACAGGCTGGAGCCGACCCCCTGTGGCAGCAGCGCCCGCAGTGACAGAATTGTCTTGACATCCATGACCCTTATTCCAAGGTCTCCCATTCTAGACTGGTCCTGCCTTCCTGTCATTTCTGCAAGCCACCTCATACGTTTCCAAAAAACCCCTCTTTAGGTGAGGCCGGCCGGGGCTGGCAGTGGCTGAACGTACTGGGCTTACCAATGGGCGTGTCTCTGCCCACTGACGAAGGGCTGGGCTGGGTCCCCGGCTGCCTCACTATGGGAAGGTGGGCTTGAGGGCTGAGGAGCCCAGACCTGGTTCTGGGAGGGTGAGCCTCCCACCAGCAGGGGTCATTGGTTCACTGAGCCTTGGATGCCTGCTCCACCCTGGGTTTATGGAGGTGAACAAAGTGGGGTGGTCCTGCCTGCAGCGGGGGAGGCCAGCCACCAATTCAGTGTCCAAGTTCACTCCCTGCTGCCCCTGAGGCTACTGAAGATGTGATCGCACCTTCGATATGCTTAGGGAAAGGCCCCTGCTCCCTCAGCCACGTGGCCTGAGAGGGACAGTCCCACCCCTCTCTCCGAGGTGGGTCTAATTTTCCAATGCCAGCTGGATAATCCCATCCCCACCTCACAGGTGTCCACGTGGGAGCTGTGGGCCATGAGGATGCTTGCAAGGATGTGGGAGCCACTAAGTGAGAGCCACCCTCTTCCTCCTGATCCCAGGCATGATGCGCGAGGCCCAGAGGCATGGCAGCTATTTTGCTACCATGAAGAAGGCAGCTGGATTTCTAGGAAACCACCTCGTAGGCCCCAAGCATGCAGCCAGCCCAGTGAAAGCACAGTAGACACAGAAATATGGCTGTGTGGTGACCTTGCTGGAGCCTCTAGACCAGGCATCTCCTCAAGACCCCTGTGGCCAAGTCCGTCCTTGTTTCAGCCAGTCTGAGTTGGCTTTTCTGTCATGACTGAAGCATCCTGACTGATGCTGGGGTTCAAGAGAGGGATGAAGATGGGGACTTAACAAGTGTGAGGATGGAGGAAGTGCAGGGAGCGAGGGGCTGACCAGTGCCAAAGGGCGAGCGGGTGCTAGCCAGGAAACAAAGCCAGACACCAGAGGGGAGGGCGCGCAGGCCCAGGGCGCTCTGTGTAGAGGCTCCGGAGCTGACGAAGGAAGCGCTGCACCCTGAGCAGTGGGTGGGGGGAGGCGGTGGCAGATGAGCAGGAGCCTCACCAGGGGTCACAGCCCTGCTGCAGCAGTGGGGGCATCCAGGGGTCTTCTGCAGGGAGCACAGAGGCAGAGTGTGGGCCGGGGCTGGAGCTCAGCCTGAGGCAGCAGTGGCAGGGCTAGAGGGCTATTGGCAGCTGGGCTGGACAGGATCTGGTGACAATGGGATGCAGGAGGGTCAGGGAGAGGAAGCACTGAGGCTGACTCCCAGTCCCGGCTGGGACAGCTGGATGGCAGGGCTGCCGGGCACCCACAGGGAGCAGAGCGTCCAGGGAGGGAGAGCACGCATCCCGCCCAAACGCCCAGCCTCAGCCCATTCAGGCCAGTGGCACCTTGGGCCAGGGGAGAGTCCAGACTGGGGAGCTGGGGAGGCCAAGGCTCACACATCCAGGTTCGGGCCAGCCCAGTCCTGCTGGGACAGCTGGCCACCGCTGGGACTGGAGGCAAGGCTGCCCTGGGCAAGGACAGTGAGCTGTTCTGAGTCATTGCTGGGGGCTCTTGCTGGCTTCACCTGCTGGAGCCCAAACCCAGGGGGTCTGAGTGACGACCGAACTCCAGGAAAGGCAAGGCCCCAACACGGAGCCTCACACACGGGCTCGAGAACACAGACGGGCTGCAGCAACTTCCCAGGATGGTTTATTCCAAAGCTGTGGACGGTGAACATTAAGACGAAAGAGGTGACTCGCGTGGAACCTGAAACACGGACGCCTTTCTTCCAAGAAGGGCTGTGGCGATCAGGCCACTCAAGGCAGCCAGCCCCTCAGCAGGGCACGATGGCTAATGCTGCCTGGACCGCAGGGACTTTTTGTTCGATTTCAAGACACCAGACTCCCTCTCCTTCTCAGGGTCGAAGACTTCTGTAGACAGAAAAGGCAGGAAAGACACAGTGAATGGAGGGGCTGGCAGCACAGGGGCACCAGCTGGAGCCAGCAGCTACGTCTCCTGTGCCAAGGACTGTCCTAGGTCTACACCATCCTTCACTGCTAACCCTCCCCAGCCCGTGAGGAAGGCAGAGTTAGCCCCAGTTCAGAGAGGAACAAACTGAGGGAGCTGTGGACATAGCTTTCACGTCCCCCTCCTGAGAGGGCTGCCAGAGAGAGAGCCTTGTCTAGACAAAATGCTCATACACGTTGGAATTTCAGCTGGGTTCTAGAAAGTCCTCTGGAGCGGTGCACGTAGCTCAGCCTTTACTTCCTGCAGTGGCTTCTTCTAGGATTCAAGCTGCTAACACGGACCCCCACACACCCTGGAGCCCTTCAGGGCCCTGTCTCCAAGGGCTTCCCTGGCACCAGGCCCCACGTCCTGCTGGCCCAGCCCCTCCCATGAGCTCCTCAGGGCCCACGCACTTGGGATCTCGTGGGGCCAGTAGTCGTTGCAGTGGGGGCAGCGCGGTTCAGCATTCGACTGGAAGTACTTGGCCACGCAGGGTAAGTGCATCCTGATCCCACAGGTTTCGCAGCTTTGACCCTGAAACAGGAAAGGCCAATGACGGCGGAGCTGGTGCACACCTCCATGTTCTGCAAACCTCCGGGGAAGCCACAAGGGAAATGGGCAGCAGGTGGCATCGTGTTATCTTCTGGGCCCCAGATTAATATTGAAAATAATCCCAAACGCCTTAGTGCAGTGGAGTCTTTTGTTTGCTTGCTGCTTGTTGCGGTGGGTTTTACTAAACAATTCTGAACACATGAACGCAGTGACAGAAGCCGAGGGCTCCCAAACTCCTGCACTCAGATCCTGCAGGTGGCGTGTGGACAGCCACAGCTTTTCAGAAGCTTATTTGCTAATGTGAATCAAAAGCTTTCAAAAAAAAAGTGCACTTTGTCCCAGAAACTCCGCCCAAGGAAATAATCACCAGGTGCCCAAGGATACAGGTGTACGAGGCCCGTAAGAGCAATTGCAATTACAAACAGCTACAGCTGCAAAACGATAGAAACTGAAAGACACATCAATGTCCACGCTGGTTCAGCGGTTGCAAAGCCCTGCAAACCAGTGTTAAGACCACTCCAGAAAGCAGCAATCGACAAGAGACACTCACTACAAAACTACCAAGATGATGCAGGTTGCACAGAACACTCAGCCTTCCTGAGAAAAATAAAGTAAGCGAGGGCCCTTGGACCCCAACAGCAGAACCAGGGAGGAGGGCGGCAGTGCGTCCCTGCGGGGCACAGCAGGGAGGCGTCCTGACACGTCCTGGGAGATGGCCTCCGCCAGCTCTTGTGGGAGGATGCGCCAGCAGTGCAGGAGGGCTGGGCCCAGAGCCAGGATTCCGGGAAGTACCTGTACAGAGCCCCGGGAGCCGAGGGCCCAGTGATGAGCTCCCGTGCCCTGCCCTGCGGGTACCTGGATGAGGAGGCTGTGACAGATATTGCAGATCTTCACCGCGTCGGGGTACGTCTCCCGGATGTATTGCTCCATCTCCAGGATGGCCCGGCCGTGCAGGGTGAACTCCCCTTCCTTCTGCAGGGACACACAGGAGGTGGCCACCCTCAGCCAGGCCCTCTCCCCATTCACCACCTCTCTTCCCTCTGTGATCCCACAGCCCAGTGCTCAGGAAGACACAAGGGTCTACGCAGCTTTTCACCAACCCCAGCCAACGGGCATCAGCCACATCCCCCTGGCAGAGCCTCGGCAAGGGAAACTGAGGCAAAGACCCTAAAGACATGGAGGCGTGGCTCCCTGACACCCGCCTTTTCTCAGCATCTGCTGTGCCTTCAGACGTGACTTCTCTGTCTGCACGGCAGCCTCGAGGGAGGCAGTCACAGCCCTCCTGCAGATGAGGACGCTGAGGCCCACAAGGGGGTCAGTCTCCCCAGGGTGCAAACCCAAACACCCACTGCTGCCATCCGCCACCCATCCCACTCCCAAAAAGCAGCATCCCTGGTGCCTCCCAGCACTTCTGCCTCCCAGCACTTCTGCCTCCAACTGCAGTAGGGACCCTCAGAGATCACTTCCAGCCACATCACTTTACAGATGGAGCTGGAAGGAGTCTGGAGAGGGCAGACAGGCCCCATCACACTGTGGGCAGTGGAGCCTCCAGTGGAAGCCAGGCCTCCTGGTTCCCATGCCAGGGTGCGGTCCACCCATCATGCATCCTGAAATCCCTGGGAGAGCCCGGAAGCACAAGAACAATGCAGCTCCCCAGGCCGACCCTACTGCCAGGTCACAGGAGAAAGGCAGCACTGAGGGAGACCCAAGGCAGGCAAATGACACGGGACCCAGGACATGGACCCATGCAGGCTGATTCCAGTTTCTCCACAGTCAGCTCATGCATCGGATATGAACCACACCAGGAGATGACGTCACTGACGCCTGCAAGTCACCCGAGTGCTCAACTGCCTTTTCTGTTATTTTCTAATTTTTAATTTTTACAAGCAAGAGCTGTCACTCCCGTTTCTTTTCTTTTCTTTTTTTTTTTTTTTTTTTGAGATGGAGTTTTGCTCTTGTTGCCCAGGGTGGAATGCAATGGCACAATCTTGGCTCAATGCAACTTCCGCATCCCGGGTTCAAGCAATTCTCCTGCCTCAGCCTCCTGAGTAGCTGGGATTACAGGCATGCGCCACCACGCCTGGCTAATTTTGTATTTTTAGTAGAGACAGGGTTTCACCATGTTAGCCAGGCTGGTCTTGAACTCCCGACCTCAGGTGATCCGCCCACCTCGGCCTTCCAAAGTGCTGGGATTGCAGGCGTGAGTCACCGCACCCAGCCCACTCCCGTTTCTGACAGGTAGAGCCCCCCACCCCATTCCCACCTTCATCCCCACAGTGCAATGTGGAGGGGTGTGCTTGCGTAATCTGGGCTCACAGTGCGTTCGCTCTGGAACACCAGTAGAGGAGCTGGGTGAGCACAGGAAGGAAGGCAGGGCAGAAGCGTGGGGTTGGGGCATGGACAGCCGCTGCGGGAACAGTGGAGGGAGGCCGGGGCACCAGGTGCTTGTGCCCTGCACCGCAGCTGTTGCTGGTGCACAGGGGCTTTGTGTCATCCAAGTGCTGTGGGCAATGGGAGGATGTGACCAGCCCCCAGGCTGTCCTCGGTCCTCAGTCCTATGGCTGTTACCTTCCCCCAAAGCTCCCAAATCCATCATGGCACCCCACCTCCCTGGCCACCGCCCTCTTCCAGCCTCCCCTCCAGATCCATCACGGCACCCCACCTCCTTGGCCCCCACCCTCTTCCACCCTCCCCTCCAGATCCATCACAGCACCCCACATCCCCAGCCACCACCCTCTTCCACCCTCCCCTCCAGATCCATCATGGTACCCCACCTCTCCAGCCCCCACCCTCTTCCACCCTCCCCTCCAGATCCATCACAGCACCCCACATCCCCAGCCACCACCCTCTTCCACCCTCCCCTCCAGATCCATCATGGTACTCCACCTCTCCAGCCCTCACCCTCTTCCACCCTCCCCTCCAGATCCATCATGGCACCCCACACCCCCAACCACCGCCCTCTTCCGCCCTCCCCTCCAGATGCATCATGGTACCCCACATCCCCGGCCACCGCCCTCTTCCACCCTCCCCTACAGATCCATCATGGCAACCCACCTCCCCGGCCTCCACCCTCTTCCACCCTCCCCTGCTCCTGCTGCTCTCTGAGCCCACTCTCCTCCAGCAACGCACTCGCTACCGAACAAGCCTGGCCCTGTCACTCCCAACTCACCCCCACCCCAGGGCTTCCCACCACCCTTAGGTCCAAGAGCCAAGCCCCTAATACGCGTATCTCCCGGGCTGCCCTCCGTCTGCTCGCCTCGCAATCTTTGTGCTCAGATGGCCCTGGCCTTAGCTTCTTGAGTGCACCTGCTGGCCACAGGGCCACTGCCGGGCTGATGATCCTCCCACCCCAGGCTCCAGGCAACTCCCACACAGCCTTCAGCTCAAGTGTCACTTCCTCAGCAGCTGAGGGCCGGTTCCTCTGGGACAGCTGTCATAAAGCCATGTTTCCTTTCCATCTGTACCAGGACTGCAGTGAGATGACCGTCTCACTGATCTCGGGCTCCCCCTCCAGACCATGGCCCCATGGGAGCGGCCACCAGCTCTGGCTGTGCTCACTCCTGTGTCCGCAGCACCTGCTGTGGGGCCCAGCACTTGGCAGGCCTGTGATAAACACCCACGGGAAGATGAAGTAGACCTTGCACTGATCCCAAAGGAATGCCTGACACTAAGCAAGTTCAAGCTCAGACTGAGGCAGGAGCTGCATTTATTTTTTATTTATTTATTTGAGACAGAGTTTCGCTCTTGTTGCCCAGGCTAGATCATGCAATGGCACGATCTCAGCTCACTGCAACCTCTGCTTCCAGGGTTCAAGCGATTCTTCTGCCTCAGCTTCCCGAGTACCTGGGATTACAGATGCCCGCCACCACACCCAGCTAACTTTTTTATATTTTTAGTAGAGACAGGGTTTCACCATATCGGCCAGGCTGGTCTCAAACTCCTGACTTCAAGTGATCTACCCGCCTTGGCCTCCCAAAATGCTGGAATTACAGGTTTGAGCCACTGCACCCAGCCAAGCTGCATTTACTGAACACCTGCTATGTGCCTGAAACTGCACCCAAGGCTCACCATTCATGACCCACTCAGTCCTCTGAGGGCCCATCAGGGGAGGGGCAGGAGGGATGCCCTAGCCCTCAAAGACGACGACAGCCCAGGTGATCTCCCAGGCGCCTCGCCACAACACTTGGAAGTCAGGACCTCGTGTAGGGAGCAGTCCTGGGGTGTATGGAGGTGCGCCGATCAGCAGACGCCCAGCTCCCATGAGCCGCGCTTGCTCTCAGAGGCCTCCCCGCTGACCCCAACCACCTACCACCCCTGGGCCTTCTCCTGGACGGACAGCTGCCTCAGCACCTCCATGCCGGGCCAGTCTCACACAGGACTGGCTGTCCAGGAGTGACGTGTCCTTGGGGTGATATACCCACCTGGAAGGGCCTTGTCAGTGGGCCCCTGGCTATTTCTGTGGGAAGCCCTGTGTCTGAGAGGCCAAGGATCAGACACTGACATGTGGTCTCTCTGATCGAGGTGCTGCCCTAGGAAGACCTGTCCTGGGTAAGTGAGCACCCGCCCCGGTTCTCAGTGATTCCTCCAGAGTGCCGCAGACCTCAAGGCAACCCTTACCAGGCCATGTAGGTCAGAGAGCACTGGACCCTCACAGAAAACACCTGGAGCTGGCAATGTCCCCATCCTGCAGATGAGGAAACAGTCTCCGCAACGAGAAGCTGCTCACCACAGGCAGCGGAGGAACCTGGAGGAGTCTCACCACACAGCCCCTGCCACATTAGCTTCGTTCCTTCGTCCTCCTGAGGGCCCCAGCAGGCCAGGCAGTCAACAAGAAGCCTCTCTAGGGCTACTGCCCAGCGCCAGTGCTGAGGGCCCCCTGCTACTTCTGCAGCGCTCCTGCAGGTGGCAGCTCCCGGATCCTCTGTCCACCCTCCCTCGAGCTCAGAGGCGCCCTGCAGAAGGTGGTGCCAGCACTGCCACCGAACTGAGAAAGGCACAGAGTACAAGCGCCTGCAGCCACAGCTCACCGCCACAGACTCCAGGGCGGGGCCTCTCCTATCCACCACCGCCCTCTCCAGACACCAAGGGCAGACAAAGGGCAAGTCAAACCATAAAGCTGGGGGCACGCCCTGCAAGCCATGCACAATGGTGGCAGCATGTGCTAGGCATGGTGCTCTTGGGTGCAAAGCAGGGTGCAAAGTGTTGTGTACTGGGATGTTGGGGCACTCGGCTCTAGGGTCTGGGATAACAGGTGACTTCAGTGGGTTTCTTTATGCATCTCAACATGTTCTAATCCTCCTGTAATGAGCAGATATTTCCTGTAACATTTTTTGTAAGTTTTAAATGCTGTTCCTCTGCAACCTCATCCACCTGTCCAGTCATCCATTCAGCAAGCATTTATTGAGCAGTTGAGGTGCCAGGCACTACATTCTGCAATGGGGACCAGCCATGAAGAGGTCATAACCCCTACCCTTAAAAAACTTGGCCTGTGGCCGGGCACGCTGGCTCACGCCTGTCATCCCAGCACTTTGGGAGGCTGAGGCAGGCGGATCACCTGAGGTCAGGAGTTCGAGACCAGCCTGGTCAACATGGAGGAACCCCGTCTCTACTAAAAATAGAAAAATTAGCCGGGTGTGATGGCGCATGCTTGTGATTCCAGCTACTTGGGAGGCTGAGGCAGGAGAATCGCTTGAATCCGGGAGGTTGAGGTTGCGGTGAGCCAAGATTGCACCATTGCACTCCAGCCTGGGCAACAAGAGCAAAACTCCATCTTAAAAAAAAAAAAAAAATTGGCCTGAAGAGGGGCTGCACCACAAGCGAGAATGGTCAGTTATAACCTGAGTAGCCCTAGAACATTCCCTAGTGCCAAATACAGCCTGGAGGGCAAGAACAACTGTGACAAAGCCATTGATGGGAGCTGCAGTCCCCAAACCGGGGCCTGAACTCGGCCCTGCCACTCTCAGGGTGTCCGACGTCATCCAGACCCCTGAGCTGTCAGCTAAAAACTAAGCTATGGAGCCACTGCAGGGCAGCAGACAGCCTCCAAGACATGACATACGGGAACGCGCCCAGCAGATCCTGCACTCACCAGGAGCTCCCAGCCCTGCCCTCACCCCATGACCTCTCCACCCTGTCTTCCCATCAGGTACCCCAGGAACTGAATTCGGGTCAGGTTCCTGGGACAGGCCCACCCTAAATAGAAATCAGTAACTCAGAACACAGACTTCCCCAACCCAGACGCGAGCCTTCCTGAAAAGGAAGCGGAGAATCGCTGCAGCCACAAGCAGCAGCCTCTGGCCACGAGTCCGACCACCAAGTGAGGAAGCGGGGACCCGGCGTGAGTGCGTCCTCAACACACATGGGCACAAGCACCTGGGAGGCACAGCTGTGGTCAACTCGGCAAACACTGAGCTGTTGAAAACAGGGGTGCCTTTTGTGGAAAAAGAACTGAAACATTTGTTCTGCTCCATTCAGCAGGACTAGACGTGGGGGTGGGGGCAACATCTAGAAACTGGAGCTGCAGTGGGGCCTGTCCCAGATGTCACAGCTCCTTTCCTGAAGCAGGTCTATGCCTCTTCTAAGCACTGGCCCTGAGGAACTCACTGCTGACAAAAACAACAGTGGTAATGTCACCAATTCCTCTGCCGCCTCCCCCGCGAGCCAGCCAGCCTAGCACCGAGCACATTACTGTGAGGTCCCATTCCCGCTCCTGACACACCCAGCCCCGAAGGGGAAACAACGACTCCCCTCTTACAAGGAACATGAGGTCACCTGGCTCAGGGTTCAGACCCGGGTTAGATGTTAGAGCCACACTCTCAGCCACGGAACTGCCCTGCCTTGCAGTCTGTGGGCTAGAGCCTTGATCCTGGGGCCCAAGTCCCTGGGCGCGGCTCCTGGCTCTGCCATTCTGGCTGTGGCATCCTGAACACATCATCTGGGTGAACGGGGAGTGGGAGGCAGGAGGAGTGAGGCCCAAGTCCTCCCCACGGGGTCACTGCTGGAATGCATGAAAGCAGATAAGGGATCCGAGAAGGCCGGGCTCCTCAGACATCAGTTGGCTACAAGTACGATTTTGGAGAAAAAACTGTTATTCACTTGAAAAAGTGAACCAGGCTGGAAAAACCATGAGACAGTACCTCAATCAGCCACTTGTTTTGAACAAACTTCTGCAGCACCTGCTCCGCTTCCTTCTTCCTCATCTTCTTGCCTTTAAGTTGATCAACCAGGTTCAATATGTTTGTGGAAGACGCAAAGCCGGTTTCTGAGTCAATAATCAGTTCCAGCTGGAAGAAAGAGCAGGTATCATGCTCATCTATTAAAATGGCAAAAATAACTTTTAAATGGTAATACCAAGTCTGGCAGAGGCACAGTAAAACCACTCAGATCACAGGCAGAACTGTACACTGGCATGGTATTCCGGGAAAACAATTTAATGTGCATCAAGAGCCAGGACTGTGCTCAGTTCTTTTGACTCAGAGGTCACTTCTATAACATCCTCCCAAATAAATCATCTTAATGTCCCCAAATCAAAGAGGGTCGCCTTGCCTCACGGCTGGCCTCGGAGGCAGTGAGAGAGAGACACGGCAGGCAGGAACCGCTGGGGAAGACAGGTTCCTGCACACGCAGGTGTGTGCTCAGCTCAGCACCTGCTCCTCAACCTTGGTGGCTAATAATCCCCAGGAGAAGATCTAAAAGGAATGATTCCACCGCCTGGTTCTCAGAGATTTGGATTCAACAGATCGTGAGTGGGGCTGAAATGTCTGAATTATTTTTCACCTCTGCAGTTATTATCATTGCATCTAGGCCTGAGAACCACTCTTAGCCATGTGTTTGAGCAGAAGGCTGAGCAAATAGCTCTGAAGCCTGGTAGAACAGTACCTGTCAAATGTGCACGTGCAAAGGATTCAGTGGGCACCTGGCAAAAATGCAGATTCGGACTCAGCAGTCTAGAGTGGGGACTGGGACCGGGCCTTTCTAACAAGCTCCCAGGCGATGCTGCTGCTGCTGCCTTTCCCAGATGGCACTTGGAGCAGCCAGGCAGGAACGCCTGTTACTACCAGTGAAGCCCTGCTCTTGCCCATCCAGTTGGGGCTCACACCTGGCCCAGCACTTCCTTCTCAGGCAGCCATGGGGACCCCCTGGCAGCTGTGAGTTCCAGATGGGTAGACAGTGACATCTCCCTGCAAAGCCTTTTCTCAGACAGCAATGGTGGCCCATGTCCCCCCAGTGATCCTTGAACACTGCAGTTGCCACTGCTAATGACGGAGACAGAACTTTCCCATAAGAAGCCCACCCAATGGGCAATGGGGATTACTCTACTTACAGCCTTTCTAAACAAATCCAGTTCATTCTCTGCAAAATCCGTAGCCATTTTGGAAATTGAAGTTGTAGCAAGATTCACCTAAGAAATAAGTCAGCACGACAGTCAGGCTGTGCTCTTTGCGTGTTGGTTAACGTGTCGCTGGCTCTCCCTCCCTCCCCTCCTCCATCTCTGGCCAGTCACTGAGCTCCTGTATCCAGGCACTGCGGGCCGCAGGGATGGATCTGTAACCAGGCGTATATTACAGACTTTATTCTTTAGCTCAGCCAACATGCTGGGCCCTCAGAAGTTTCAGAACTCCAAAGGGTGTGCAGTATTTTCCAAACTCAGATAAATTTGGGAGATTTGTCTGCATGTTAATGGAGCTTCAAATGCAAAAAAAGCACTGAGAAGTCTGATAGCAAGGAAATCTGCTTTGCCATGTCTGACCAGCATTTCCACAGTTCTTTGACTCTGTAATGTTTTTTTTCCAGGGAATTGAGTTTGGGCAACCCTGGACTAGAGTGCCCCTTTCTGAGTGTGAGCCTGGCTGGGAGCAGCCAGATGTCCTCTGACCAGCTGAGGTGTCTCCTAGCCAGGGATGGGGCATGTCAGCTTCCCACTCCTGTATTTCACCCTGGCTGTATTTCACTCCTGGCTCTGCCATTCTGGCTGTGGCATCCTGAACACATCACGTGGGTGAACGGGGAGTCGGCGGCAGGAGGGATGAGGCCCAAATCCCTACCTGTGAGAGTAAATCTGAAAACCACTGAAGGCCCCACCCACATGGCCTGCAATCCTTGACACTCCTACAGAGTTTCTTTTCATAGCTTCTATGTCTTATTCTAAATAAAAAACCATTTTCTCCCTTTATTCCTAATATTCTATACATTTGGAGTGACTTCTTTGCAAAGAACTGTCCAAAAGAGAAATCAAACCAAAGCAAACACAGGCTGCCTGGGCCCTGTTCCAGCTCCTCAAAAATGCCACTAGAGGGCTCTGCCGGGCACTCACCAACGCATAAATGGGTCTCCCATCATCTTCCGTGACTCCTCTCTTTATCTCAATATACAAGGACTCCAAGACACTGTTAATGTTGTTGATGAAGTCCTCCAACTTATCTACGGTGGCATTGCCTGGAAATAAACAGACCAAAAAAAGGGGGGTGACCAGGGGGCCTCATCAAAAAAATGTAGCTTGCTTGAATCATTCCATCCCATCTCAACGCAGGGGACAGCAACCCCAGACATGGGTGGAGGCTGCAGCCTCTTGGGTGAACGCCAATGCCACGTGGCTTCTTTCTTCCTGGAGTACTTGGAAGACAAACAGACAACAGATGGAGGGCGTTGTGAGGCAGGAGGGCCAGGGAGATGCTATCTGCAACCACGGAGGCTGCCGCGGGCTTCCTGTCTTTGCTCGCTGCCTCCTGATGAGAGTCCCAATCAGCACCTTCAGCGCATTACTCAATGATGTGCTCAGAGCCTGCGTGAGCTCCCGCCGCACAAACATCCTATCCCATCTCAGCCCTTCTATCGCATCCCCAGTGCCCCGCGAGAGGCCTCTGTCCCTGTATGTCCCCACACATCTTAGGTGGAGCTTTATTCCTTTCTCTTTTTATTCAATGTCGGGTTATCCTCACTTACATGCCAGGCTTGTGCTGGGTCCTGGGCTGGAACAGTAAGAATAACAACAAACGGGGTGAGAAGGGTGGCTTGCAGCGAGCCCTCAGCATGGAGAGGCCCTGTCCTGGGCACCTTTTGTCGTCATGAATCCACCCTCCAGCAGCTCTCTGGGCACAGGGGAAGAGGCTGAGACGCAGAGAGGTGAACTGACTCGCCCAGAGTTGCACCACAAGGCCGGGGCTTTGACTTCTCTGTCGCCCACCTCCCCTGGCCCTGCCAGCAGGATGCTCACAGCCCAGGGGCCACCATCCAGGTCCATCAGTCTGAGGAGGGGGCACCCACACTATTGCCGGGGGCTCAGCTGAGGAGGACAGAGAGGCTGCGGTGAGGACAGGAGCCCGTGGCCGGGGACAGCAGGGCCTTTCTCCTGTGGCACCAGGAAGCCTCTGAGCACTGGAAGCAGTGGAAGGACATGGCCAGCGTTGTGTCCCTTTTATGCTGTGAAACTTTTTTTTTTTTTTTTTTTTTTTTGAGACAGAGTCTTGCTCTCGCCCTGGCTGGAGTGCAGTAGCACAGTCTTGGCTCACTGCAACCTCCACCTCCCGGGTTCAAGCAGTTCTCCTGCCTTAGCCTCCCGAGGAGTTGAGATTACAGGCATGCACCACCACACCCAGCTAATTTTTGTATTTTTAGTAGAGATGGGGTTTTACCATGTTGGCCAGGCTGGTCTCGATCTCCTGACCTCAAGTGTTCCGCCCACCTCAGCTTCCCAAAGTGCTGGGATTATAGGCGTGAGCCACCACGCCCAGCTTGTGCTGTGAAACTTTTTAAAGCAAGAGTATGTATTATTGTTTTCACTACTGTTTTTATGTATTAAAATAAATAATTTCAAAAGATTCATGCCTTAGAAAATCATTCTGGAAAAAAAACTGCAAGAAAAAATGGACAATATGATACATTCATGTGTGAAACAAAAACAGAACCAATGAAACAGTCCCACAGGAAAAGGCCCAGCAGGTTACCCACTGGACTGACGACCAAGGCCATCGCCAGGAAGGGACTAAACGAAGGGTCATCACAGGGCACTCGTGCTGTATGTCTGTGTTTGATTTCTTATTAGACAGAGGCATTTCTAAGCTACCCGTACAACTCAAGATTCATAAAGTTAAAAAAAAAAACAACAGAAGATCATGCTGGTGACAATGGAGGATGTGGCCGTGTGAAAGAGTCAAGGAAAACCCAGGCCAATGAGCTCTGTCAGAGGATCAGACTGTGGGGCCCAGAAAAGCTGAGAACAAAGCCCAGGGCAGTGACACTAATGTGCCATGCTCAGCGAGGAGCTAATCTTCCCTTTCAGTTAAGTTTTTAAAAGGCAGTTTAAATTAAAAAGTAGTCATAGTAAGTGGGTGGAACATGGATGTGGTGAGATCGTAACATATGACAATGACATCTGGCCTCGGCGGCTGGAGAGCAGGCATCAGGAGGGAGGCATGGCCTGACTTCCTGCCTCCATGCCCCTGCTCACGGGCCCCTCCTTTCTGAAAACTCCTCTCCCTCCACTGCGGCAGCCACCTTGGATGGCCTGTTTTTCCAGGAAATGTTCTCTTCTGCCCCCGGTGCTGTCTTCCTCTTCCACAGCATGCAAGGCAGCTCTTTGCTGGCGTGGGAGCCGAGCTGTTCCGTACCTGCCTGTGCCAGTGACTTGGCCAGACACACTTTTCCACCCCCAAGGGGAGCCAACGCTGGGCAGCTCAGGTGCAAGAGGCCCAGACATCAAAAAGCCTCGTTCAGTGCGGAGTGAGTGACAGGAACCCTGTCCACCCAGTGTGACACTGGGGCAAGTCCCACCTCTCTGAAAGTGACAATTCACATTTTCCACTAACGAGGCCCCTCCTGGGTATCACTGAGAACAATGTGCCCTGTGGGCAGATGAGAAGCATTCTGATCTATTGGACTTTCCAGACACCCCGTTGCAGGGAGGGAGCCAGCAGCCCTCTCTGCCCTTCCCCTCTCCACACCACCTCTGGTTTGGCGTCCAGCCTCATTTTTCAGAAACCATGAATGTTTTGCTGTATTTTCATCTGACCAACCACTTCCTCCTACTGTACTCGCTCACTGCACACACCAGCCACTGCTTGGGCGCTCCCGTTCTCTCCGCTATCGCCCTCTTTCCTTCCACACGCTTCCTGCATCAGGGTCATGTCCACGATCTCCATCGCTGACCCTGTAACTGTTTCTCACGGAGGCCCCGCGCCCTTGCAGCTCCTCTTAATCGTGACCTGAGAAGAAACTTCTCTTACACTCAGCACCCCCAAACCCTTCAACTGACTCCTTTCAGCAGCAACAGAGGTGGCGTGGTGGCATGGGGCCAGAAGCAGAGGTGTGGGCTCTAGCCCATCCTGCCCTCCCGCTCTGTGGGGCCCTGCGTGAGCCTCTCCCCCACTTCTCATCTCTAACAGCCACACACAGTCTCGCCTCCAGCCTCACACATGTCCAGAACCCTCTTCCCTCCCGCTTCTCTACCACCACCCCTGGCTGGACCCCAGCCTCCTGATCCTCTGGCAGCCTCCCGTACAGGCCTTCCCCAACCAGATAAGCTGCACTTCCCAGCTCTGTCCTCCCATGGCAGCACTTCCTTCCTCATCACGTGGCACTCCAGTTACTGTGTCCAGCCGCCGCCCCAAGACAGGAGTCAGCTGGTGACACCTGCCAGCCCAGCAGCCATGTCCCTCCCTAACGAGACCTTCGCCTTTTTTCTTTTTTTTTTTTTACAATTGTCTTTCTCTTACATTTGCGGTTTTGGTGAGAGAATAATTCCAGGTATGATATTCAGGGAACCAGAAAGCAGAAAGCTGAAGGGACCAGAGATTAGGGCAGCCAGGAGTAGACAGAGAACCCCTATCAGCCAGACACTCTCCCAATCTGAGCAAGGGACAAAAGGAAGCTTGGAGGTGGCTCCAGCCCAGAAGCTACAGAGGGCCAGCTGCTCTGGCCATGAGGTGATGCCATGCTTCCTGCCTATCCCCAACTGTGCACCTGGCCACCAATGAGTCCTATGTGTCCCTCCCCCAATAGCATCCCGACACATTTTTTTTTTTTTTTGAGATGGAGTGTCACTCCATTGCCCAGGCTGGAGTGCAGTGGCACAGTCTCAGCTCACAGCAACCTCCACCTCCCAGGTTCAAGCGATCCTCCTGCCTCAGCCTCCCCAGGCACTGGGACTACAGGTGTTTCACCACCACACCTGGCTAATTTTTTGTATTTTTAGTAGAGATGGGATTTCACTATGTTGGCTGGTCTGGTCTCAAACTCCTGACCTCAAGTGATCTGCCCACCTGTCTCCCCAAGTTTTGGGATTACAGGCGTGAGCCACCGTGCCCAGCCCCGACACATTCCTTTCTAAGTTGACCAGAACTGGGGTCTCTTGCTTGCTCCCAAGATCCTTATGATGTCCACTAAGCGCTAAGGTTGCACCAGATCGCTGCTTCCCAGCCTCAGGTCTTCAGGACAGCTAATGTCCACAGCTCTGCCCCTGGTCTCTCCCCTGATCCAGGAGCCCTGGTGGAGAAGCTACAGTTTGCCAATCTGTAGGGATACACTGGGCTAAAGGCATGTCTGAGGATCCTTTTGACCTCAATATTCTACGAGCCCATGGTCATGATAAAGAGTGCGGAATAAAGTCCGTATGGTGAGATTCTGAGACAACTACTTTCAGTCTTAGAAATACCACTTTGAAGACTTAGGAGTTAATTAACAACACCACTCCTTTTCAGAATCCAGAACCAACTGAAGAAAAAGACACAACCTTCAGTAAATATCAAAACATCAGGTTTTCTGTAGGTAGCGCTGGATCAGAGGCTGGTTCTCTGCACACCACCAACCTCCAGTCAGTGATATGGGAGGCCCAGCTATGAGGACAGAGGAACGAGGCCCTGGCCCTAGCACAGATGTCTCCTCTAGAGGGAAAGAGATACCCTAGCCAGGACAACCAGCAACATGTTTAAATCAAGCAAGTTGAACCTCTAAACCTCTAAACACAGTGCTATCTGTGTTCTCTCTACTTGGAAGAGGCAGGGTGTGTCTGGATTTCTTAAGGGCTATAGTAAAGTAGCTCATGTTAGGCTAAAATCAAGGGGCCTGCAAATGTGTGGCTATGATTACCTTATTATGTGCCAGCACTATGCATTCACATGGTTCATTTCATCATGACAATAACAGTAACTCCGTAAGATGAAATCACTAGTATCATCTGTATATACAGGAGGCTTGGAGAGGTTAACAACTTGCTCATAGTTTCCGTAACTTGGAAGGAAATGGAGCCCGGGCTTGCCCAACCCCAGATCCTAAGCTCCCAGGCACTAAGCCCCATGGGCTCCACAGAACAAGCCTGAGGACATCCTCTATACCAGACCCCACCGTCATCTCGTCTATACCCTCCTGCACCTGCCCTGTGCTTCAGAGTCACCAAGAGAGACTGGGCCAACAGGGAAGGATGGAAGGCATCTGGGCACCTGATTAGGACACCAGAGGTGGTACCCAAAGAGGAGCTGCACTCACAGAGGAGATGCATTGGATCAGCCCGGCCTGGCCCAGCCCAGCATCCATCATCCCCTCAGCTCAGACCAGCCCAGCATCCATCATCCCCTCAACCCAGCTCAGCCCAGCATCCATCATCCCCTCAACCCAGCCCACCCCAGCATCCATCATCCCCTTGGCCCAGCCCTGAGCACTGGGCCAGGTCCAGCGTGCAGGGACAGCATGCAGGGCAGCAGGAGCAGCTGAGGAAAGGCAAAGACCCTGGAGCGAACAGAGCCACTCTTCCTTTAACAGGAAATGCCCATCAGTGGTGGCAATTGAAAACGGGCCTCCAGGCAAGTGACAAGCACTGAACAAAACAGGACACTTCTCCCCTAAGGAGAAGGGTTGGCTCAAGTCATCTTGAGAGATTTTGTTTTGGACTAATTCTGTATACAGTTTCTCCTTTTCTTTTAAAATTAAATTTTAAGGCCAGGTGTGGTGGCTTACACCTGTAATCACAGTACTTTGGAAGGCCAAGGCAGGAGGATCATTTGAGGCCAGGAGTTCAAGACAAGCCTGAGCAATGGATCAAGAGCTCATCTCTACAAAAAAATTTAAAAATCAGCCAGGCATGGTGGCATGTGGCTATAGTCTCAGCTACTTGGGAGGCTGAGGCAGGAGGATAGCTTGAGCCCAGGAGTTGGAGACTGCAATGAGCTATGATCGCATCACTGCATTCTAGCCTGGGTGACAGAGCTAGGCCATCTCTCAAAAAATGAAAGAAATGATTAAGTTACATTGGAATGTAATGTTACCAATGAGCCTCTTCTTGCTATATCAGGGTCCCTGCTTCCCAGAGGCTACTGGAACCTAGGATTCACTGTGCACTTGGGCAACAGGAAATTGGGAAGTCTACTGCCCTGACCTCTGACCAACAAATAGTTTTGTTCTAAACTAGGCAATAAAAACATAAAATGTTATTTTTAGGCAGAGGAAATAACAGCAAAAAATAAGACTCCAAGGGCCCAAGCCACTGTGAGCCAACTTACCCTCTGACAGCCCTCCCGACAGACAGGGTGGACGGGCGGTCCTGCTAGCACAGCACTGAGGACAGGGCAGGGCAGGCCCTGGATGAGACGGGGGTGCAGGAGTGGAGCTGGCCCAAGAGAGCAGACCCTGGGCTGGGAAGAAGGAAGGGCTGGTGGGCAGGACACGGGGCTGGGGAGGTTTGTGAGGGGCCACAGGATTTCACCTCTCAGCCTGTAGCTCTCATCTTTCCCCCAACCGCCTGGGGAAAAAGATTCTCTGGACCTTCAGGCACACAGATGCAAAGATGAGAACTGCCATGGGCACTTCCAAGCATGGCCAGTGAACAATGCTGGGAAGAGCCGGGTGGAAGGAGAGTGGCTGGTCTGTGGTAGATCACTTAGTGACGAACCGTCCTCTCCATCGGTGCACCAGCTCATTCACTACACGCTGCAGCGCCGCTCCTCACCTCTCAGCAGACCCTCAGCAACCAATGCAGAGGCGAGCCAGAAAGGATCGCTGCTTCTCTTTCTCAGAGGTCAGAGAGATGAAGGACATACCTAAGACGGGACAGGAAGCGACAAAGTCTAGACCAGAAATCAGATGTCTGGCCATTAGCTGGATGCAATCACGAAAGGATGTGGGCATTCATCAGAAAAAAATTCTTACATATACATGCAATGATGTTGAGAATACTTCAAAATAACGTGGGTAAGCAGGTACAAACATAAATAAAACAAGATCAGTCCTGCGTTCATCATCGGAACTGAGTGATGGCACACAGGGCTTCACTGTATCAGTCTCTCCACTTTTCTGTTTGACTTTTTCCATAATAAAATGTTGTAAAAATACTTCAGTGCTCAACAATCATATAACTTGACTCCTTGACCCTCATGAATCTCAATCTAAAGAGAAAAATGAGTGTTGTGTGACAAGGTAGATTAGCTCAGTGCTCTGACAGTAGAGAAGAAATAGGATTTTAATAACGTATGGTTTTAAAACCTATTGTTCTGAGATCTGTACACAGAGTTCTTTTCTTCTTAAACTCAAGAAGTTTATTACAATCAGAAGTTTATTACAATCAGAAAATCTGCTCTTTAGCCTCACTCAAATGACAGAGCATAAAACTTATTTCATGTTACTGGGCACAGTACCTGCATCTCAGCTGCATGCATTTATGGTACTAAAACCTATGACACCACTGCAGGAGTGGTGATGGGGACATCCACTTGCTGTCCCTATCTATGCAGCATCTATGGGACCTTCCCCTGGCTGGAGGTCTACCAGTCAGGACTCCCACTGGCAATAAAGCAGTGCCCACTGCTTTATCACGGTAAAGTTCTGGATCATAATGGAAATCGTCATGAGAAACATAAACTACTATATATTTTGCTACTGATGCTGTTCATACACATTTCATCTAATCACACCCACTGAAAACAGGTGGTCCATCTATCCTTGAGATGAGTGGCAGCTCTGACACCTTCTGTGGCGCTCTGGTCCCCATCCCTACCCATGCAGGAGCCCTCGCAGAGCTGATACAGGGGCTCTGCAGGGGACGGGAGAGAGGCTTCCTGGTCACCCCAGCCCCTGAAACCAGAGCAGTTCTTCCTGATCCCTGTTGGGTAAGTTTCCTCCTGCTCAGATTGCACTGAGCGAACTGAAAATGGACAAATCTGATGCCTACAGAGGCAGGCAGGAAGCACAGCTGCAGACAGCTGTGGGCACAGCAGGGAGCTGGCGGCACGCATTCTACCAAAGAAGGCAGCACTGCTCTGCTCCAGCCGAGTGCCCGAGTTTTGGGTGTTTACACAGAATCTCCTGGCGGTTGTTTTCTGTTTAACCTGGTAATTCTTAAAAATTACAAACACTATAGTGCAAACAAACAATGCCTGTAAGTTATATACCACTGACCGTTCACCGTCTCCCAATTCCGATGTGGGCAGGAAACCCGCTGTCATGAGACACAGTGATTAATGAGGTCACTCTGTTCCCTGACCCACCAGCTAAGCAGTTACTATTTCTCACACAGGCTGGACTGTGAGCAGCTCAAAGGAATGGACCGTGTTACACTCATTCTTCTGAGAGATTGAACATACAAACAGCCAATGGGCTGCAGCCAATGGCCAGACCACGTATAAAAGCAGAACTCCAACCCAAAATCTACATCAACCTGCCCAGAAAGCCAGCCCACCACCTCTAAGCCAGACCTGCAGGAAGCCAGGCCAGTCCCCTAGCAACCAGTCCAGAAGCCAAAACTAACCCACAATCATGGCCCAAAAGGACCAAGGCAGGATCAGTAACTGATACTACCCTAATTGATTTTATTTTATATTTTAGAGATGGGGTCTCGCTCTGTCATCTAGGCTGGAGAGCAGTGGTGCAATCATAGCTCACTATAGCCTTGAACTCCTGGGCTCAAGTGATCCCCCCACCTCAGTCTCCCCAGTAGCTGGGACTACAAGCACGAGCCACTACGCTCAGCTAACTTTGTTTCTTCTGCAGACCCTGAGGTCTCGCAATGTTGCCCAGGCTGGTCTCAAACTCCTAGCCTCAAGTGTTCCTCCCGCCTCAGCCTCCCAAGTAGCTGGGACTACAGGCATGTACCACCATGCTTGCCAGCTTCCCTAATTTTTATCCCTGTTTCTAAGAGACAACAAACCAGAGAAAGCCACATATGTACTTCTAACCAATCACATAGGACGCCCCACTTCTGGTTAGCTGTCTCCACCTTGCCCTGGCCAGCAGCCTCCACTCAGGCACACCTGAAGCCTCCCCACTCCTCTGCCTTCCTGGAGTCTCTGCTAAACCCAAGTGGAGGCTGCCTCTCTTGCTGGAGCAAGCTCTAAATAAGCAGCTGCTGCCTGTTCTGCTGCCTGGTCTCCGTTTATGTTCACACTTTATCCGTGGAGGACTCAATTTGGTGCCCATTCTGGGCTAAGCAGGGGCTAAGAAGTGGCTGGTATGAAGGCGGCTGACTGCAGTCGCTCTGACAGGCGCACGCCCTTCCCTTTCCCCACTCACTACAGTCTGAAGCAGACAACAGCCTCCAACATTCTCCCGGTGTCCCCTCTAGCCTTCTCCATCTGTCTGTCCTCCACATGCAGCTGAGTGGAGCCAGGTCCCAGCACTCAGCCTGGAAGATGTCTGGGGCTCCATCCCCTGACCTATGTTGCCACCTGCCTTTCTGTCCCCCACTCCCCCACACCAAGCTCCTCCCCATCTCAGCCCCTTCACTCATGCTGCCTTCCCTTTGGAAAGCGTCTCCCGCATATCTCTGCAGGGCTGCCCCTCATCACCCGAGCATCGCCACATATGGCAGCTCCACAGAAAGGTTTGAACAGAGGCCCTGGCCAAAGCCACACCCCAGGCCCGCTCTACCGAGGGACTCAATGCTTCCTTCCAGCACTTAGCACCCCAAACTACCACACTGTCTGCCTCCGAGTTACGGTCTTTCTCTTTCTAAGCAGAATGCCAGCTCCCTGAAGGCTGGGATCTGCTCATCCTATTCACCACAGCAGCCCAACATTCAGCTGACACTCAAGACGTATCCGTCCACGAACCGAGGAAGATGTGTGGTACAAGTGGTGACCATGCTTTGTGAATTTTCTAGGAAAACCCCAAGAGAATTCAGCCCTGTGGTCTATAAAATAATTCCTATCACACTATCATACCAGCACCATGGGTCTTCTGATAGTCACCCCCCACCACTCACCCCCAGCAATTGGGATTAGATGGCAAGTTAAGGGGCAGAAAAGGAAGGAAGAGGCAGTGGTGAGCATGAAGTGAACGTGTGCCCACAAGCACTCTGTGCCAGGCGCTGAACATACATTCCCTTGCTTAATCCTCAAGACTCTTCCATGAAATGAATGTGATGTCCCTTATAACACAGAAAGCTGAGACTCAGAAAAGTAAAAGAACTTTCCCCAGACCCTGGAAGAAACAGGACTTGAATTCATGCCTTTGAAAAATGGCTTCCCTGTTCCAGCCAGCGGGGTCTGTGGTAATCCCACTGAATCCATTCCCAGTACTTCCACGCATCAGCACATAACCTCTCTCATGTCTGGGATCCAGTTCAAAATGCATTCCCAAACACATGATGTGTGTGCTTAGGGGAGCGTGAAGCGCACAGAAATCCTGGCTCAGCAACTCCATGCTGGCCTGAAAGGGCTGCGGTGGAGCAGTCCAGCCTGGACTCCCAGGCTGCAGACATGAAGAACGGGCAGGACTTGGACACATCTAGGCCAGCAAGAGCCAGAGACACAAAAGCAACATCAATTTCCTTGTGGTTACAGAGCTTCTTGAACCCAAAGATTCCTGTCTAAGCACTTAATAACTGCCGGCTGTCAATTCTGTATGTTGAGAAATTCATCGAGTCACACGTTAGATGTTACTTTTCATACTCATTTTTTGCCACTTTTCAGTTATGATCCCAGACTTTATCTCCCTTGATTAACTGAAAGGCAGACCGGCTCTGACAGTGGTATGCTGATTAACTGTTCATCATTGCCAAAGGGGAGATCTATAAATGAAATCACTAAAAACAGAAGGAAAATGTACTTGGAGCCAGCTTCTAATTATGACTGAGTCTTCCTTGGAAAGAGAAGGTGCTTACAAATAGGACTACAGACAGGATGGAATACTAAACCAAAATGTCAACATCGCTGATTCACCATCAACGCACGTAGCCTGATGATGTACAGGAGTCCAGCGTGAGACGACGAAGCAGATACAGGCATGTCAATCAGCACGCTGGAAACAAACCCGGGATGAAGGCAGATAAGAGAGTTGACAAAAACAGAAAATCTTTATCAAACCCCAACGTGACCATGATACTTGACTCACTCATCTAGTTTTGACACATGTATTTCAGCGACCTGGTTTTTGCCCAAACATCAAATTATTTACTCTGCTCACTGAAGTATTTCTAAACCTAAATTTTTAAATCTAAAACTTCAGACATTTTTACCTAACTTGTCCTTAAAACAATAGATAATTTAAAACCTCATAAAAATTAACATTAAACATGATAATACAGTGTAATTAGTTCTAAAATGTTAGTGCTGGAGAGTATAGAACTGTACCTCACAGCAGTCTGGCAACCATAAAATAAGAATGAATCCAGGGAAGTATTTTAAAACTAATAGGTAAAAATGGGATGAAGAGTGGGATTATTTTTTGGAACAGGGTCTTGCTCTGTCACCCAGCTGGAGTGCACTGGCATGATCTTGGCTCACTGCCACCTCTGCCTCCCGGGTTCAAGGGATCCTCCCACCTCAGCCTCTGAGTACCTGTGATTACAGGCTCATGCCACCAGGCCCGACTAATTTTTTTATTTTATGTAGATACAGTGTTTCGCCATGTTGCCCAGGTTTGTCTCAAACTCCTGAGCTTGAGTGATCCACCTGCTGCAGCCTCCCAAACTGCTGGGATTACAGGCATCAGCTACTGCACCGGGCCAAGAATGAGATATTTACCTTGTCTCTAAGTACCTCCCTGCAATATACTTATTAATCACATAGAAAAAGAGTAATTGTACACTGGAGAAACCTGGCTGACCCCATCAACACCGTAGCCGACCTGGTAGGATGCAGAGAGAACACAACACCGCTTCCATATTATATCTGCAAAGTTAAAACTCCTAGATCTAATTAGGAGGAAGCTCCAGACAAACCTAAGCTGAGGAACATTCTACAAATAGCACATGTGGCTACTGAGCACTTAAAATGGGGCCAGTCTAAACTAAGTGTAAAATACATATTGGATTGCAAAGACATATTTCCATCACCCCCAATATGGTTTGGCTGTGTCCACCCAAATCTCATCTTGAATTGTAGTTCCCATAATCCAAACATGTCATGGGAGGGGCCTGGTGGGAGGGAATTGAATCATGGGGGCAGTTACCCTCATGCTATTCTTGTGACAGTGAGTGAGTTCTCAAGAGATCTGACAGTTTTATAAGGGTCTTTTCCCCTTTTGCTCAGCACTTCTCCTTCCTGCCTGCCACCATGTGAAGAAGGATGTGTTTGCTTCCCCTTCCACCATGACTGTAAGTTTCCTGAGGCCTCCCCAGCCATGCTGAACGGTGAGTCAATTAAACTTCTTCCCTTTATAAATTACCCAGTTTTGGGTATGTCTTTATTAGCAGCGCGAGAACGGACTAATACACTCACCAAGTTTCCTTGTGCCTCTTTGTAATCCCTCTCACCTACCCATCCTATCCCTCCTCTATGCCATCCCCATGCAACCACTGAACCATCCTGTCATTACAGTCAGGTACGCATTGTCTAGAATTTCACATAAATGCCTTCATATGGCCGGGCACAGTGGCTCACACCTGTAATCCCAGCACTTTGGGAGGCCGAGGTGGGCAGATCACGAGGTGAGGGGATCAATATCATCCTGGCTAACACAGTGAAACCCCATCTCTACCAGAAATACAAAAAAATTAGCCGGGCGTGGTGGCACACACCTGTAGTCCCAGCTACTCAGGAGGCTGAGGGAGGAGAATCGCTTGAACCTGGGAGGTGGAGGTTGCAGTGAGCGGAGATTGCGCCATTGCAATCCAGCCTGGGCGACAGAGCAAGACTCTGTCTCAAAAAAAAAAAAACAAAAAACAAAACAAAACAAAATTGCTTTATACTCTTTCACCTCACTTCTTCCACTCAGCAAAATCATTCTGATTCATTCATATTCTAGCATGTAGGAAGAGCTCACTTACTTTTATTGCTAAGTAGTATGGATTTATCACAGTCTGTTCATCTGTTCAACTGCAAATGGACAACTAGGTGTTCACATTTGGGGCCATTACAAATAAAGATACTCTATCTCTGCACAAGCCTTTGTGCGGGCATATAGCTTCATATCTCTTGAATAAATGCCTAAGAGAGGAATGGCTGAATCATAGGAAATTGCCACACTGTTTTCCTAAATGGCTGTCCCATTTTACATTCCCAACAGTAGTATATTAGAGTTCCAGTTCCTCCATGTTCTCACCAATACTTGCCTTGCAGAGTCTTCTTCATTTTAGCCATTTTAATACACATGCAGTGGTAGCTCACTGCGGTTTTAGTTTGCTTTTTTTTTTTTTTTTTTTTTTTGAGACAGAGTGTTGCTCTCTCCCCAGGCTGGAGTGCAGTGGCGTGATCTCAGCTCACTGCAACCTCCGCCTCCCGGGTTCAAGCAATTCTCCTGCCTCAGCCTCCCAAGTAGCTGGGACTACAGGCACCCGCCACCAAGCCTGGCTAATTTTTGTATTTTTAGTAGACACAGGGTTTCACCCTGTTGGTCAGGATGATCTCAATCTCCTGACCTCGTGATCCACCCACCTCGGCCTCCCAAACTGCTGGGATTACAGGTGTGAGCCACCATGCCTGGCCTGCATTTTTTAAATGTCTAATGATGTTGAGCATCTTTTCATGTGCTCATCTGCCATCTGTACAACCGATTTGCAGTGTTCAAATATTTTGCACACTTCTTACTGGGTTGTATGTTTTTCCTTTTCCTTTTCTTTTTTTGAGACAGGATCTCCCTCTGTCACCCAAGCTGAAGTGCAGTGGCACAATCTCAGCTCACTCCAACCTCTGCCTCCCAGGCTCAAGCAACCCTCCCACATCAGCCTCCCAAGTAGCTGAAACTACAGGTGCATGCCACCATGCCTGACTAATTTTTGTATTTTTTTGTAGAGACGGAGTTTTGTCATGTTGCCCAGGCTGGCCTCAAACTCCTGAGCTCAAGCAATCCACCGGCTTCAGCCTCCCAGAGTGCTGGGATTACAGGTGTGAGCCACCACGCCCAGCCGGGTTGAATGTTTTCTTATTTTTGAGCTTTGAGAATTCTCTATATATTCTGAATACAAGTCATTCATTAAATACATTATTTGCAAATATTTTCTCTTAGTATTTTGCTTGTCTTTTCAGTCTCTAAAGAGTATTTTTTAATGTAAATTTTTAATTGTGAAGTTCAATTTATCGATTCATTCTCTTATGGAGCATGCTTTTGGAGCCAAGAAATCTTGGACTAATCATAGGTCACAGAGGTTTTCTCCTATGTTTTCTTCTGGAAGTTTTATAGTTTCAGGTTTTACATTTAGGTCTATGACTCATTTTGAGATAATTTTTGTATTTGGTGCAAAGTATGGCTTGCAGTTCATTTTTTGATTATGGATATCCAATTATTCCAGCACTCATTTTGGAAAAGACTATTTCCACTAAATTACCTTTGCACTTCTGTCAAAAATCAGCTGTCCACCTATGTGTGGGTCTGTTATCTAGCTCTCTTATTTTTTTCCCTTCATCTGTTTGTCCATCATGACATGACTACCACACTGTCTTGATAGGACAGCCATACAGTAAGTCTTGAAATCAGGCAGGGTTCCTCAAGTTTGTCTTTTTCAAAATAGTTTTGGCTCTTCTAGGTCCTTTACATTTCCATGTGAATTTCAGAATCAGCTTGTTAATTTTTATAAAAAGCCTTGCTGGGATCTAACTGGGATTTCTTTGAATCTATAGATCAATTTGGGGAGAATTGATACCTTAACAATACTGAATTTCCCAGCCCATGAACATGCTATGTCTTTCCACTTATTTAAATCTCCTTTGACTTCTCTCAACAATGTTTTGTAGTTTTCAGTGTACGGGTCTAACACATTTTTGCCAGATCTATTCCTAAGCATTTCTTATTTTTAATGTTATTATAAATGGTGCTATTTTTACATTACCATTTCTGATTATCCATTGCCAGCATATAGAGAAACAATTGGTATTTGGATATTGATTTTGTATCCTACAACTTTACTAAACTCACTTATTAGTTCCAGAAGATTTTTTGTAGATTCCATCAGATTTTCTACACAGATGATCATGTTGTCTGTGAACTGACAGTTTTACTGTGTCGTCCTTTCTAATCCAGCTACCTTTTGTTTCTTTTTCTCGCCTCAGTACACTAGCTAGAACAAAAGTGGTGAGAACAGACATTCTTGTCTTTCTCCTGAGATTAGGGAAAAGTATTCAGTCTTTCACCATTAAGAGTGATGTTAGCTGTAGGTTTTACAGAGATCCCCTTTATCAGGTTAAGGAAGTTCCCTTCTTTTCTCACTTTGCTGAGGGTATTGTTTTTGTTTTTGTTTTTTAATCAGGAATAGCTGTTGGATTTTTTTTTTTTTTTAAACTCTGTGTAGAGGGCCAGGCGCGGTGGCTCATGCCTGTAATCCCAGCACTTTGGGAAGCCAAGCCAGGGAGATCACTTGAGGCCAGGAGTTCAAGACCAGCCTGGCCAACACGGTGAAACCCCACCTCTACTAAAAATAACAAAAATTCGTCGGGCGTGGTGGCACGTGCCTGTAATCCCAGCTACTCGGGAGGCGGAGGCAGGAGAACTGCTTAAACCCAGGAGGCGGAGGTTGTAGCGAGCTGAGATGGCACCACTGCACTCCAGCCTGGGAGGCTTTTTTGAGACTCTCTCTCAAAAATAAAATAAAATAATAAAATAAATGAAATTTATTTAATTTTAACTGTTTTTTTTTTTTTTTTGAGATGGAGTTTTGCTCTTGTTGCCCAGGCTGGGGTGCAATGCACGATACCAGCTCACTGCAACCTCTGCCTCCCGGATTCAAGCAATTCTCCTGCCTCGGCCTCCCGAGCAGCTGGGATTACAGGCATGCACCACCGTGCCCAGCTAATTTTGTATTTTTAGTAGAGACGGGGTTTCTCCATGTTGGTCAGGCTAGTCTCGAACTCCCGACCTCAGGTGATCTGCCCACCTCAGCCTCCCAAAGTGCTGGGATTACAGGCGTGAGCTACCGCGCCCAGCCTTAATTTTAATTATTTAAAATATATATATATATATATATATATATATATAAATATATATATATATATAAAACTCTGTAGAGTTCAGACTCCTCACTTGTGTTCTAAGTCTATTTATCCTATTTATCCCCTGCTACTTAGGATCCCTTAGCTTCCTATAAAAAACTTTCTGCTACATCACACCAGGGCAAACATGAGATTTTGTCAAATACTTTTTCTGTACCTATTGAGATAAACACAAGATTTTTCTTTTTTAGCTTAATATGGTGAATTACACTGATTTTCAAATATTAATACTAAATCAACCCTGCAAAATCAGGATAAACCCTACTTGGTTATGTCGTACCATCCTTTGTAAACACTGTTAGATTAGATTTGCCACAGTTGGGTTTAGCACGTTAACGTCTACGCTCATGAGGAGTCTTGTTTGGGGTTTTCTTTCCTCGCAATGTCTTTGTCTGGTTATGGTATCAGAATCATGCAGGTCTCATAGAATTAGTTGTAACATATTCTCTTCAATTTTACAGAAGAGTTTGGGTAGAAATGGTGTGAGTTCTTCCTCAAATGTTTGGGCCGGGCACTATTCCCAGTTCTGTGAATAGCTGGCATTGTTTTCTCTAATCCTTCAACTAGTTCTCTCCCTGGCCTTAAGAAGTTTTCTTGCTCATCAGTTCTCAGCGGGATCCTTGAGTGGAGGGGCACTTTGGACATCTCAAGTTTTCTCTCTGTGCACCTCTGGTCCACCTTATACTCCATTGTAAGTACTCCGTCCTGCAACCTCTACCTGCCTTAGTCTCCCTGAACTCTCATCTCCATCTCCTCAACGCAGGGAGGCTGCCTAGCTCTGCCTGGGTTTCCCCTGTGCCATGGCCTAGAAACTTTCTAAAGGCACTGAGCTGGGGCAGCTGTACTGCTCACTCCCACTATCGCTTGTGGCAGAAGAAAGTTACTTGGTCTTTCCCCCAGGTTCCTGGTACAGAACTTCTAAAACTCTTAGAATTCCCTGAGTCATATAGGTGATAGAAGCATCTTTTGCTCTAATGAGGCAACTCTTGGCAGGCCCCTAGGATGGGGGCTGGTCACCAGAATGACCAAGCCTCAATAAAAAACATGGAACTTTCAGCCACTCCCCAATATCTGAGGAGAAGAGAGGGACTGGAGATGGAAGCACTCGTCAACGGCCAGTGACTGATCAATCATGCCTGTGTAAAGAAACCTCCATAGAAACCCAGGAATGGCCAGGCACGGTGGCTAAATAAATATTTCAAATCATTTCTAATGGTGGATTCACAATTTTGTGGGATTATTTTTCTTAGAGTGTGCCAAATTCAATAATCAACAGGCCCTATAAAACCTGAAACTGGGCTGGGTGCAGTGGCTCACGCCTGAATCCCAACATTTTGGAAGGCTGACGCAGGATGATCACTTGAGCCTAGGTGTTCGAGACCAGCCTAGGCCACAGAAGAAGACCCCCGTCTCTACAAATAATTTAAAACTTAGCCGGGCGCGGTGGCTCATGCCTGTAATCCCAGCACTTGGGGAGGCGGAGGCAGGCGGATCACCTGAGGTCAGAAGTTCGAGACCAGCCTGGCCAACATGGTGAAACCCCATCTCTACTAAAACCACAAAAATTAGCCGGGTGTGGTGGCTCACGCCTGTAGTCCCAGCTACTCAGGCGGCTGAGGCAGGAGAATCGCTTGAACCTGGGAGGCAGAGGTTGCAGTGAGCCGAGATCTTGCCATTGCACTCCAGCCTGGGCGACAAGAGCAAAACTGTCTCAAAAAAAATAAAAATAAAAATAAAAAAGAAACCCTTGAACGACAGGATTTGAAGAGCTTCGGGTTATTAAACACACAGAGGCGTTGAGACGGTGGTGCAAGTAGAGAGGGCACGGAAACTCCATGCCACCCCCACTTCCCACAGCTGGCCCTGTGATCTCTCCTATGTGGCTGTTCCTGAGTTGTAGCCTTTATAAAAAAACCACGTAAGTCAAAATGTAAGTAAAGTGTTTTCCTGAGTTCTATGAATCATTCTAGAAAATTATCAAATCCAAAGAGGGAGTTATGGGAACCACTGATGTACAGCCATTGGTCAGAAACACAGGTAGCCCAGGACTTACAACTGGTGTCTTAAGTTGGGTCAGTCTTGTGACACTGAGCCCTTTAACTTGTAGGATTTGATGCTAACTCCAGGCAGATAGTGTCAGAATTAAACTGAATTATGGAATGCCCAGTTGTTATCTAGAGAACTGGAGTAGTGTTAGAAAAGATACCACATCAAGTGTCAAGAGAAAAAGAAACCCTCATTGCCCATCTCTCGAAAGATCACTGGCCTTGACTGACGAATGTCCAGTATTTTATACTTTGTCCATTTTTGAATTGTTTCAGGCAAGAAGGTGTACTGAGCCCTGTTGCTCCATACTGGCCAAAAGTGGAAAACCTCAAACCCAAGCCTTCTCCACCACCCCCGAGGCCTCCTGTGCCGACTTCTATCAAGGAGGCCTATATTGGAATCATCTGACCCCTTGTCTGTATGACTCATGAGAGCCATGGTAAAATAAAAATTCAATCTCTGAGTCACCAGTCCCTAGCACAGAGGCCTGGCTCACTTGAGATTCTAGGGAAGCTTTGCTGGTTGAATAAACGTATGTGTGGATGCAAGTCCTGGCTCAAAAATCTAAGGTCCTCTAAGAACACAGGTCCCTAGCGCCATTCCGAAAGGCTCGACCCAAGGCCTGCACTGAACTTGAGAACAAAATCTAAACTCTTCACTAGCCAGGAGAATTGGGGACTTTGTTTCCCCTTAACGACAGTAAGAAGAGAACCCAAACCAAAGCCTAGAATAAGAAGTGATTTGATAAACTGGACAAACACCCTGGGAAATGGCAATTAGAATAACTTGCAATTTCAATCACTCCTTTGTTTCATAATTTTCCTAGAAGCTAAATATTTTTCTATTTGGTACAAGGGGATTTTCCTGGCCATCTCTTCAAAAGATAGGAAATTAATAATATTGGGTCTTGCGAGTATTCACTTAAGTTTAGATAATTTCTGTCATTTCCTGTTTAAAATCTCCCTAATAACAAGAACATGCAGTAACAAGTTTTTTGGCATTTTTCTTAAATGAAGATAGGACAAAATAGATTGTTCTACCCTGTTCACCCTGGCCATAACCATATCTAGGTGCAAAGAAATGGTACACAGTGTGAAGAATAAATCAATTCCTAGACACATTCTACAGGACTTTCCTAAATTAGATCATAACAATTTTAAAGGTCAAATAAAGGCAAAAACACTTTCAGTCTTAGTACCAAGGCATCATGTGGCTCCTTGCAGTGAGCTGTGAAACTTCCCCACCAACATGAAAGCTTACAGTCAAGACTCACAGGAGAAAAAAAGAGAAAAGGACTAAATTGTCGTGTAAATAAGAGATTCAGGATTAACACAAGCATTCTTTTATTTTTTTGAGATGGGGGTTCACTGTGTTGCCCAGGCTGGAGTGCAGTGGTGCAACCTCAGCTCACTGCAACCCCCACCTCCCCTGCTCAAGCGATCCTCCTGCCTCAGCTTCCTGGGTAGCTAGGACCATAGGTGTGTGCCAGCACACCTGGCTAATTTTTTGTACTTTTGGTAGAGACTGGGTTTCACCATGTTGCTCAGGCTGAAGACAAGCGTTCTTATGCACATTTCTGGAGGATATTGAGGGGTAGGTTTAAAGTCCAACCATGCTTTTTTTTTTTTTTTTTTTTTTTTTTTTTTTGATACATGGTCTCGCTCTGTCGCCCAAGCTGGAGTGCAGGGGCAGGATCTCAGCTCACTGCAGCATCTGCCTCCCAGGTTCAAGCAATTATCCTGCCTCAGCCTCCCAAGTAGCTGGGACTACAGGCATGCACCACCACACCCGGCTAATTTTTGTATTTTTAGTAGAGATGGAGTTTCACCATGTTGACCAGGCTGGTCTTGAACTCCTGACCTCAGGTGACCCACCCTCCTCAGCCTCCCAAAGTGCTGGGATTACAGGTGTGAGCCACCACACCCAGCCGCTACTATGCTTTTTAAAGAGCAAGAGAAACTAGCTTAACAGGTATAACATCCCCTTTCAATACAAAAGTCTCTCACCAAAGATCCTTCTCTGCTGGTACAACTGCGGCGCATCTACCTTCACCACGGAGATGGTTCTCAAACCTAAAACTGTCTCTCTCACTCTCTGCTTTGAATACTTCAAGAGGGCCACACTGTCCGCAGAAGTAAAAAGCCATTACTATGGTGTATAGGGTTCTTCATGATCTGCAAACCTACACACGAAAAGAATGTATTCTCTTCCCACACATCATATATTCTTGTCTAGGGATTCCCAGGGTAGGTTATCAGTAGGTCAATTAGGTTTGGATACACAGAATTAAACACAGTTCAACAGGCTAACTTGTTCCTGGCATTACTGAGCTCCCAGAATTCCCCATGGAACACCTCCATGGACCAGTGCTCTGGAGAACGCAGATGCTACTCTCCAGACACTTCAAACTGCTTCTTCTCCGTCTAACACGCCACCTTCTTTTATTCCTCCTTCCTTTGCACACCTTGAAAGAATATTCGTTTCTGTTCTGTCTCCCTCTTCTTATTCCCATTCACTGCTCACCTCTCTGGGATCAGGCTTTGAACTCTAACATGCTGCAGAAACTGCAGTGCTCCAAATGTGACACCTACCTTTTCTCGTGTCCCTTCACATTTTGAAAAGTATAAAATGATCTTCATCACTTTTGAATGCATTTGCATGCAAAGGCATAAAAGTGGCTGGGAAGAAGATGTAATGCACTCATGAAGTGTTTGCCTTTGGGGACAGGAGGGACACCCTTTCTGGTGTCCCTTCGCCCTTTCACAGCTCACTGCAAGGAGCTACAGGATGCCTGTGGACTAAGAATGAAAGCATCTTTTTGCCTTTTTTTTGTGTCCCTTCACCTGTGTACTTGCTCCCTGTGTACCTGTACACGCCCTTTCTCATACCTCTTGGCTTGGCTCACTTCTATGTCATTTTTTATCTTTTTCTTTTGAAAATTAAAAATACAGAGAGAAAGGCAGAATAAGGCAGAATAAAAACCAAACGCCTGCATTCCCATTCATCAGAGGTGACAACCAGTAGACTACACTAATTAATGTCATGTTGTTAGGCTAATAATGTCACGTTGGCTTCAAGACTTTTCTTTTTAATAAAAGAACATAACAGGATAAAAGTGAAGGGTCCTGTGATCTCTGCTGACAGCCCACTCCCACTCTGCTTCTCCTCACAAGCACCTCACAAGTGTCCTGCGTCTTCTTCTGGTCCACTTTTATACCTTTACATGCAAATGCATTCATAACCAATGAAAACGATTTTGTACTTCACAAAAAAACAACATAATCACATCATACAATTACTCATCCATCACCTTTGTCACTGCATAAAATCTAATCAGTAAGATCTACCCATATTGGCACACAACTCAACAATATCTGCCAATGCTAATTCGACTGATCTATCAACACTGATCCTACTGTTTCTTCCACCATCTCCAGTTACTTAGAACTTAGCACCATGTCCTGTCTCCAAGGGCTTCTTATTTGCCCCTCCCAGTGGCCCCGTAAGATGCCCCAAATGCCTTCAGCTGACACAGGGCAGGGACACACTCTTCAGGTCCGGCCCAGTCTAAGGCTGTGCCCTTAAGTGTTGTGCTAAGCTCCCCCATTTTTTTGTTTTATAATTTATTTTCTTTTTTTCAAATAAAAAAATAGAGAGGGTCTTGCTACATTGCCCAGGCTGGTCCCAAACTCCTGGCCTCAAGCTATCCTCCCACCTTGATTCCCAGAGTGCAGGGATAACAGCGTGAGCCACCGCACCCAGCCAAGCTGCCCTGTGTCCATCAATACCCCACTAGGCACTGTCTCTGCGCCACTGTCTTGTACATATCATGTCTCTCAATTCCCTGAACCATGCACTTACTTATGTGTTAAGTACAATTACTATCCTCACTTTACAGATACAGAAACTGAGGCTGGGGCAGGTCCTGGAGGCTTGGTGTGAACCACAACTATACAGCTTTAGACTCTAAGTTTTTATCCACAGGGCTAAATGTCAGGTTTACTTGGAAAAAAAATAAAAGTGGAAGATGAAATTAGAAAGATGGGCCCGTGTAAGATTGTGAAGAGGCTTGAATGCTCAGCTCAGGAGTACCGGTTAACAAGTTACATGGTATTGTACCTATGTCACTGGTCCCTGATCAACACAGCACCAGAGCGCCCTGGGAACAGGGAAACGGTACTCACGGTCATGGACCTTGTAGCAGTGCGTCTGCAAGCGCTTCACGTCCCATTCCTCTAGCACGCCATGGGTCATCAGCAACTGGAGGAAGCGCCGGTGGACATCAGTCATGACGCCCATTCTCCTTGTGCTGCCCTGCATGTGGGAACGAACTGAAAAGGAAGTAAATGACACTAGTCAACCCCAAGCACATCAGAAGCAACGTCCTGGGTCTTGTACTAATTTACATTAACAAATATAAATTTGCTATCATTTTTAAAAGTCATTCTTCATGCTGTTTACTACAAAGGTGAGAAGAAGAACACGAGTCACAGCATCAGGACTGGGCAGTGGTAAGAGGTGTGGATTCTGGAGCTAGAATGCCGGGATTCAGGGCCTGGCTCTCCCACTTACTAGGCGTGTGAGATTGAGCAACTTAGTCCCCACAGGCTTTGGTTTCTGATCTGTAAAGTGGGACTAATGATAGAAACGTCCTCTGCAGAACTGCTACGAAGATTAGATGGGTTAATACATGTAATAGCCTGGTAACACAGTAAGCACTAAATAAGTCTGAGCTATTTTTACTATCAGGCAATTCTGGGTCTAACCCTTGGCTGAGCCTTTTTACCAGATCTATGGCCTTGGAGAAATTGAGCAGAGGCCCCGTTTTCTCACCATAAAATTATAATGAAGTTCATTACTGAGAGAACTACTAGTAAACACTTAATAAATGTTAGTTTCCTCCTCTCCCCAAACCACTAATAAAACAACTATCATGGCAGGACTTCAGACTATTTTCGAAATCTCCTGCTCACTAACAAAATGGGATCTTTCCGTAAACCACAAAGATCACAGTTAATAAAACTATTCCACAAGCCCTGATCAAAACGCTGGCTACTGCCATGGAGCACGCAGTGCAGGGGCTAAGAATGTGAATTTGGAACTAAACAGGAAGCACTGAGACCAGAAAGTCCCAGATCTGCCTGATCCTAAGGATTTCCTAATGTGCATTTTAACAATACAGATTCCCAAACCCTTTCCTGGATGTTCTGACTGCAATGGGTCCTGGAATTCTGAGGTGTTTACATTCATTTTAGGTGATGTCAAGATCTGACAAGAAAGAAGTTCACTGGTGCCTTGGGCAAATACAGCAGGCAAACATTTTTAGCTAACAATGCTCAGCCTCCCTAAGGCCTAGTCTCTTCACCTCTAAAACTGGGAAACTAGTAGCTACCTTAAAGACATAGAGGAAGCCTAAATGAGTCACAACTACCAAAGGCTTGCCAAGCACCTGGCACATAAGAGATCCACAAGACTGCTAATTACTGCTCTTTTGTTCTTTTTTTTTTCTTTTTTTTCTGAGATGGAGTCTCACTCTGTTGCCCAGGCTGGAGTGCAGTGGCGTGATCTCGGCTCACTACAACCTCTGCCTCCCGGGTTCCAGTGATTCTCCTGGCTCAGCCTCCCAAGTAGCTGGAACTACAGGCGCCCACCACCGTGCCTGACTAATTTTCGTATTTTTAGTAGAGACGGGTTTCACCATGTTGGCCAGGCTGGCCTCGAACTCCTGACCTCAGGCGATCCACCTGCCTCAGCCTCCCAAAGTGGTGGGATTACAGTGTGAGCCACCACGCCCAGCCAGTGCTGTTCTTTAACAGCATCCTCAACTGGACCTCAGGGCTGGGAAAATGCGCCATCTCATAACCAGTCCCTCCAACTGCCTGCTAGAAAAATATCCTCCATCTCACCAAATCTGCACCTCAACAAAGCCTACGTTAGACTCATCCTCTCCTTCCACCTCCTTAGCCCCTTTCCTCTCCCAAGTCCTTCTCTTTGCAAATCATCTGGTGTGGACGGTGCAGTCCACACAATCATACCACACACCTGAGCATCGAACTCTGGTCCTCCTCTCCTTAAACCTCAAATCCAGCCTGTCATCAACTTTATTTCCTATCACTAGGGCCATTCCATGTCGATGTACTTAGCACCCCCGTATTTGCCAGTGGTTGTTCTGGGCACAGGGTTAGAATGTGCTAGGCTAAAAACAATGGACTTCTATCCTGCAAATGAAGGATCTCTACAAACTAAGGGTCTTGAAGCAGGAACATGGTGTTGCCTAGCTGTGTTTTAGGGAGATTATCCTCTTTGGCATCATGGAGGTGTAGAGGAAAGAAATGGGAGGCAAAGAGTCCAGAAAGCAGTCTCCTGAAGGGATCCTACAAAAGGGGATGAGGTATCACCGAGGCTTGGCAGTGGGGACAAATGATACGAATCACTGTCATTGTGATCCCATCAAATCTCAAGCAGAATAAACTCTAAAATATCCACCTAGGCTCATCCTAATAAAACCACACAATACCAGAGATTAAACACAATCAAAGAAAAAGTCAGATGACTTCTAAAGAGCAACAAGTAGACTGCCGGCTGCCATCACAATGGCAACAATGGAAGCCGGTCACAGTGGAAACATATCTTCTATGCTGGGAGCGGGTGTCTCAACAGAGAATTCTATAACGAGCTGAAGACTGAGGATAAGACAAAAACATTTCCAAACAACAAAAAACTGAAAGAGCAAGTGACCAGCAGGTGCTCCCTAAAGGAAATTCCAAAGCATATAGTTCAGGAAGAAAGAAAGGGATACAAGTTGGAAGGTCTAAAATGCAGGGTAGAATAAAGAGCAAAAAAAGTTGGTAAATATGTGGTTAAATCCAAGTTAACTGTATAAAACAGTAAAAATCAGAAGAAATGCTTCTATCTTTAAAAAAAAGTTTTTAATACCACAGTAAAAAGAATGAGGTTTTTAAAAAACTAAATACACAAAAATAATAACATAAATGGGAGGTGAGCAATCACTGGGATTAGTGTTCTAATAGCCTTGTGATGGTCAGGAGTAGAAGCTGGACATGAATAAATTTTACACTTGCATTTTACAATTTCTAGAGTAACAACTTTTAAAAAAACAAATAGTGTATATAATTTCCAAATAGTAAAGGGGAATAATGTAATGAGAAAAAATAATGGAAAGGAAAACCAGGATAGGAAAAACAAACACAAAAAAACAAAGTAAGTCAGGAGAAATAATCCAACTAGATTAGTAATAACAATGAATAAAAATAGACTAAATGTTCCAGCTTAAAGACAAGGACTGTTAGACCAGATTTAAAACCTTATCAAATTAATAATGAATAAAATCTACCTCTATATTATAAGAGTTCCTTATAGGCTGGGCACAGTGAGCCCAGGAGTTCAAAACCAGCTTGAGCAACATGGCAAAATCCCATCTCCACAAAAAACACAAAAATTAGCTGGGCATAGTGGCACACCTCCGTAGTCCCAGCTATTTAGGAGGCTGAGGTGGGAAGATTGCTTGAGCCTGGGAGGTCGAGGCTGCAGTGAACCGTGATCACACCACTGCACTCCAGGCTGGGCAACAGAGTGAGACCCTGTCTCAAAAAAAAAAAAAAAAAGGTTGCGGGGGCTGGTCGTGGTGGCTCACACCTATAATCCTAGCACTTTGAGAGGCCAAGGCAGGTCAATCACCTGAGGTCAGGAGGTGGAGACCAGCCTGGTTAACATGGTGAAACCCCATCTCTACTAAAAATACAAAAATTAGCCAGGCATGGTGGTGCGTGCCTATAGTCCCAACTACTCGGGAGGCTGAGGCATGAGAATCGCTGGAACATGGGAGGCAGAGGTTGCAGCGAGCTGAGATGGCACCATTGCACTCCAGCCTGGGTGACAAAGCAAGACTCCGTCTCAAAAAAAAAAAAAAAAAGAAACTATAAAAAGAACTACAAATTAAATCCAAAGAAAGGTAAAATGAGAAAATAATAAAGGGCAGAAATTAATAAAGACTGAAAATAAGCATATATCTAAGGTCAACAAAACCAAAACTATTCTTTGAAAAAACATAATAAAAGTGAAAAACTTCTGACAAGATTTTCCAAGAGCTAAAACTTATAAACAAACAATATTTGAAAAAAAAGGAAATTAACTGCAAATGAGACAAATATCTGCAATTAACATACTTAAAAATATTATCAATAATTTATAATAATCTGAAATTTAACTATGTAAAAAGTCATAGGAAATTTATTCAAAACTAATGAATGAATTATCTGAAAACCTAAACACTCCTATAACCATTAATGACATTTTATAGAAAATCCATCTTCTCACAAAGAAAACTTCAGGTCCCAATGACTTTATCAAGAAGTTCTACCAAATAGTCTAAAAACAAATAATTTCAAATGTTACACAATCGCAGCGCCAGAAAAAAAGCAAACCCTCCCCAACCCATCTGACAAGGCTAACCTAATTTGGCCCTGAAACCTAACAAGGATGTCAAAAGAAAGGAAAATTACAAGCCAGTATCTTTCATGAACACAGCTACAGTATGTCCTAAGCAAAATGCTAACAAACTTAATCCAGATATGTAAAAGGAATGACATATCATCACTTAGGTTTATTCCAGCAATGGTTTCACATCTAAAAATCAATCAATGTGAGTCACCACATTAATAAAGGAAAAAGCATTTTAAAATTCACACAGGGCCGAGCGCGGTGGCTCATGCCTGTAATCCCAGCACTTTGGGAGGCCAAGGCGGGCAGATCACCTGAGGTCAGGAGTTAAGAGGCTAGCCTGGCCAACATGATGAAACTCTGTCGCTACCAAAAATACAAAAATTGGTTGGGCGGGGTGGCACGCGCCTGTAATCCCAGCTACTCAGGAAGCTGAGGCAGGAGAATCGCTTGAACCTGGGAGGCGGGGGTTGCAGTGAGCCAAGATCACGCCATTGCACTCCAGCCTGAGCAACAGAGTGAGACTTCATCTCAAAAAAAAAAAAAAAAAATCACATGGAACCAAAACAGAGCCTGAATAGCGAAAGCAATCCTAAGCAAAAAGAACAAAGCTGGAGGCATCACGTTACCCGACTTCAAACTACACTACAGGGCTAAACAGCATGGTGCTGGTACAGAAACAGGCACATACACCAATGGAACAGAATAGAGAGCCCAAAATTAAGGCCATACACCTATGACCACCTGATCCTTGACAAAGATGACAAAAAGAAGCAATGGGAAAAAGACTCCCTATTCAATAAATGGTGCTAGTATAAGTGGCTAGCCATATGTGAAGACTGAGGCTGGACCCCTTCCTTACAGCACATACAGGAATCAATTCAAGATGGATTAAAGACTTAAATGTAAGACCTAAAACTATAAAATCCCTGGAAGACAACCTAGGCAATACCATCCTGGACACAGGAACGGGCAAAGATCTCACGACAAAGACACCAAAAGCAATCACAATGAAAGCAGAAATTGACAAATGAGATCTAATTAAACTTAAGAGCTTCTGCACAGCAAAAGAAACTATCAACAGAGTAAACAGACAACCTACAGAATGGGAGAAAATATTTGCAAACTATTTACGAGAGAAAATCAAACAACCCCATTAAAAACTGGGCAAAGGACATGAACCAACATTTTTCAAAAAGAAGACATACATGTGGTCAACAAGCATATGAAAAAAAAGCTCAGTATCACTGATCATTAGAGAAATGCAAATCAAAACCACAATGAGATACCATCTCACATCAGTCAGAATGGCTATTATCAAAATGTCAAAAAATAACAGATGCTGGCAAGGTTGCAGAGAAAAGGGAAACTTATATACTGTTGGAGGGAGTGTAAATTAGTTAAACCACTGTAGAAAGCAGTGTGGCAATTCCTCAAAGAGCTAAAAGCAGAACTACCATTTGACCCAGCAACCCCATTCCTGGGTATATACCAGAGGAACAGAAATATTCTACCATAAAGACACATGCACGGGAATGTTCACTGCAGCCCCATTCACAGAAGCAAAGACATGGAATCAACCTAAATGCCCATCAATGACAGACTGGATAAAGAAAATGTGGTACCTATACACCGTGGAACACTATGCAGCCATAAAGAAGAATGAGATGATGTCTTTTGCAGGAACATGGATGAAACTGGAGACTATTATCCTCTGCAAGCTAACACAGGAATAGAAAACCAAATACCACATGTTCTCACTTATAAGTGGGAGTTAAATGATGAAAACTTATGAACACAAGGAAGGAAACAACAGACACTGGGGTCTATTTGAGGATGGAGGGTGGGAGGAGGAAGAAGAGCAGAAAATATAACTATCGGGTACTGGACTTAATTCTTGGCTGATTAAAAAAGCTGTACAACAAACCCCTATGACGTGAGTTTACCTATCTAATAAACCTTCACGTGTGCTGCCAAACCTAAGTTTTTTTAAAAAAGCATATGATCATCTTAATGATGCAGAATATACAATTGATAAAATTCAACATGTACCTACACCAAAAACAAATTTGGAATCGAAGAAAACATCTTTTATCTACTAAGTGACGTCTACAAAAAACCTGCAGCAAACATCATACTGAAAAATGAAATGTTGGCAGCAATCACTTTAAAAACCAAATTGACCCAATGCAATTGAATCAATGCTATTACAGTCAGCATCCCAAGAGGCTTTGTGTATGTGTGTGTGTGATTTGACAAGATGATTCTAAAAATTTACATAGAAAACACAAAGGCAAAACAGCAAAGACATTCCTGGGAGAAAATAAAGGCAGAAGGACTTGTCCTACCAGCTATAAAGACTTCTCATATTTGCTGGGCGCGATGGCTCATGCCTGTAATCCCAGCACTTTGGGAGGCTGACGTGGGCAGATTGCTTGAGCCCAAGAGTTCAACACCAGCCTGGGCAATGTGGTGAAACCTTGTCTCTACTAAAAACAAAAATTAAAAAAAAAATCGCTGGGCATGATGGTATGCACCTGTAGTCCCAGGTACTCATGATACTGAGGTGGGAGGACTGCTTCAGCTCGGGATGTCGAGGCTACAGTGAGTCATGATTGCACCACTGCATTCCAGCCAGGATGACAGAGTAAGATCCTGTCTAAAAACAAACCAAAACAAAAAAAGCACTTCTTATAAAGCTAGAGTAACGAGTACAGTGTGGTAATGGTACAGAGATAGACAAATAAGACCAATCAATGGAACAGAACAGAGAACTCAGAAACGGAAAGGTATACATATATGGATACTTGATGGCGGATGAAAGCAAACTTTCCAATAAAAGGTGCCAGGAAAACTTGTTATCCATATGTAAAAAAATGAATAAAATTTGATTCTTACCTCATACTATATACAAACATCAATTCTGAAGGGATAAGGTCATAATAAGGAAAAATACTGTAAGACTTTTAGGCAATATAGAGAATATATTTATCACCTAAGGGTAGGGAAGGATTTCTTTAAGAGATATAAAAAGTACAGGTCATAAAGGAATATACTGATAAACTTGACTTTTGTTAAAATTAAGGGCCTCTATTCACCAAAAATACCAGAAAGGTGGGGGTTAGGGGATACAAACTGGAGGGCATTTAAAACAAACATAAGCTACAAAATACAAAAGATTCATATTCAGACTATATAAGGAATTCCTACAAATCAGCATGGGAAACACAACTGTAAAAGAGAAATGGGCAACAGAAATTTTACAAAAAGAGGATGCATAAATGATGAATAAATACAGAAAAAAGATGCTCAATCTCAATGTTATCAGACAAATGATTATGAAAACCACAGTGAAGGAATGTCTTAGCCACCACCAGACAGGCAAAAATTTTAAAAGAATGGCTGAGGCTGAAACTTTCATCTGCTGCTGGGAGAGTATAAATTCTTTTCCTTTTTTTTTTTTTTTTTTTTTTTTGAGACAGGGTCTCACTCTGTTGCCCAGGCTGGAATGAAGTGACACAGTCATAGCTCACTGCAGCCTTGACCTTGTGGGCTCAATCGATCCTCTGACCTCAGAACCCCCTAGCAGCTATGACTACAGGCACACACCACTATGCCCGGCTAATTTCTGTATTTTTTGTAGAGATGGGGTCTCACCTGTTGCCCCAGCTGGTCTCATACTCCTGGACTCAAGCGATCCACCCACCTCAGCCTCCCAAAGTGCTGGGATTACAGGTGTGAGCCACCACTCCAGGCTGAGTATAAATTATTGTAACCATTTCAGATAACAGTTGATATTACTAGCAAATTTGCATATCCCCCGAAATCTACTATTAGGTATATACCTTACAGAAACTTCCACATTTGCCCTAGGAGATATGTTTTTACAGAAGCACCTTGTAATAACAAAAGTCTGGCAACAGTATAAATGCCTACCAACTGAAGAACTACATTAAAACAATATAATCATCCCATAGAATTCAAATCAGCAATGAAGACAAAGTAGAGCTCCTCACATCAACACGCATACTTCTCAGAAAGATAATGTTAAGTGCAACAAGCAAGTCACACAAAATATATTTTAGGATCCTATTACATAAAATCGAAAACTCAGCAAAAGCATACATTCATTCATTAGAAATACACACATACATGGTAAAAACTACAAAGCAAAACAAGGCAACAAGTAACACAATATTCAGGGCGGTGGTTATCTTTGAGGAGGGAAGAAAGGATTCAGTGGAGGGTCTGGCAATCTGAAAATGTCTATTTCTTAACTTGGTGGCAGGTACATGAGTGTTCATTTTATTTTTGTTCTTCAAACTTACACTTCCACACAATTGTATAGGTATGTTACATACAATGTTTTTAAATGTGATGGGCTGGGCATGGTGATTCACACCTGTAATCTCAATACTTTGGGAGGTCAAGGCGGGAGGACTGCTTGAGGCCAGGAGTTTAAGACCAGCCTGGGCAACATAGCAAGATCCACTCTCAACAACAACAACAACAACAAAATAATGTGAATATGTTAAATAACAGCCAAAATAAATGTAAATGAGAATGAGAACAGGATAGGATTGAATGCTATAATTTGGTGGAAAAGGAGTGGGAAAAGTAGGAGTGGAAGAAAGACAACCATAAGCTTGTTTATGCATATTATGTCCCTTGTCTCTATGAGAAGAGACTGTAGGGAGAATGGTGGGATTAGCATAGACATGTATTACCTACTTAAATAATTTTATTTTATACAAAAATCAGCCAGGCGTGGTGGTGCACGCCTGTAATCCCAGCTACTCAGAAGGCTAAGGCAGGAGAATCGCTTGAACCCAGGAGGTGGAGGTTGCAGTGAGCCAAGATCGCGTCACTGCACTCTAGCCTGGGCGACAGGGCGAGACTCTGTCACAAAAAGAAAAAAAAAATTACTTTTTTTAAAAAAATTAATTAAAACAGTTTATTGGCTTTAAATGTACATCAGTAAATTTTTAAATGCTAAAAAGTTATGATAAAATAATACAGAACCAAAACATCAAAGAAAATAGAGGCTCAGCAGCATGATTTCAATATATTTTCCCGGATAAACAGATTTTTTTTCTAAGTATATGCCTTTTTATTCAAGAACAAAAACTCCCTAAATTCAATGTTTAGAACTGAATTTTTTTTAACTAAGCCCAGAAAACTGGGGCTCATAAAATAAGGCATAATGTGGGCAGCAAAAGAAAAAAGGAGAAAAAAAATGGGAGAAAAATTGGTTTTAATCCCATGTATAATATAGGTTGGCTGGTTTTGTTTTTGTTTTAGCCAATTTAAGGCAGAATTATCTCTCTGCAACCTTGCAGATAAATCCTAGTGTTTTAGCCATAAGTTTCAAGAGTTCATATATACAGATAAACCAATTAAAAAAACCTTTTCGAAGGCTTTTGAAGCATTATATAAATCTTTAAAATTCCTATCACCCACATTTTAAGAAATACATCTATACGTTTAAATTTATTATTAAATTAATTAAATGCATTAATTAAATCAATTTATTTAAATTTAATAATTTTAAAATAGAAATGTTTGTGGAATAAGTAAATCTCAGTCATACCATTCGTGCGGGTGCTAACACAATTCTAGTGCTTCACATGCCCGACCTCATTTAACCCAAACCAGAACAACCTTATGAGCAAAGGGTCACTGACCCCATCTTACAGATGAGGAAACTGAGACTAAGAGGGCACAAGGTGACACACAAGAGTTGGTGGCAGAGATAGACGTGACCATACAACAGCACAGTTCCTGTTTTCAAGGACACTCTCTATCCAGCGAGAGTGAGAAAAGTGAGTGAACAGAACAACTACAATCCAGGTCCCTCATCTGCAACCCTCAAATCTAAAAAGGTATGAATACTAGTGGATGATCGGATGCAGGGGAAAAAAAAAAAAAAGTCTGAATACCAAAACTTGTTTAAGTTGGAAAACTTGACCTGACTTAAGGTGAGGCTATTTATGGTTATTTATCCCAACAGTGTAAATATATGCATTTTTTTTTTTGAGACGGAGTTTCGCTCTTGTTGCCCAAGCTGGAGTGAAGTGGCACGATCTTGATTCACTGCAACCTCCGCCTCCCGGGTTCAAGCGATTCTCCTGCCTCAGCCTTCCGTCTCAGCCTCCCGAGTAGCTGGGATTACAGGCACGCACCACCACGCCCGGCTAATTTTTTGTATTTTTAGTAGAGACAGGGTTTCACCATATTAGCCAGGCTGGTTTCGAACTCCGAACCTCAGGTGATCCGCCCCCCTCAGCTTCCCAAAGTGCTGGAATTATAGCCGTGGGCCACCGCGACCAGGTCAATGTAATATATGCGTATCTTCATAACTTTAGCTGTGGAAAGGGTCGTGTATTTGATTACAAGCCGCTGCTCCAGCCCCCTCTGAGGGTGAAACCTAACATAGAACATAGGGACTTTACCTTTCCAAACTCCGAGAACTCCTCGATTTTAAACGCATCTGGCCTCGGGGCTGTAACATAAGCGGCTGCGGACTTGTACAAAGTAAGAAACTCCGTACACAAAACAGAGGGGAGCACGGAGGGCGGCGGGACAAAGAGGGTGGTCGGCAAAGGCTGTATTTTCCATAGATGTAATCACAGTTTGAATCGAATTTTATATTTTGCTTTTTCACCTGTTACAATGAAAAGTATCTTTACCTGTTAAATCGTAATTACGATTAAAAATATTTTTCACTAAATAGTAAGATTTTTAGATGTCTGCGTGTGTGTTGCGGGAGGACATCCCAGTCCGCTGTTTTCTGCGGCCCCTGTCTGGGCCTCAGTTTCCCCATCAAGAAGGGGGAAACCCCAAGACCCCAGTCCCCGAGTTCCACAGCCCACGGGGACCGACCCCGGGGCCGGACCCCACTGCCTGTCTCGCCCACCCCACCTTCCGTCCTCCCCTCGCCTTCCTTGAAGTCCCTCTTCTTTCCCCTCCAACCCCTAGCTCCCCACGTTACCCACCAGGGAGCCCAAGCGCATCCCAGGCCGCGCTAGCGGATACGGTCGCAAGGTGGACTCTTCTTCCTTTGAGGCGGGGCGAACGCGAACGCGGCGTTCCCATTGGTGGCCTGCGGCTTATTCGCCCGTCCGTTGAGTGACGCACTTCCGGTTCTCCGTTTGCGCCATTGCCCTGGTGGTTCCGCCTCGTGGGTTAGATCCCAAATTACGCCCGCTCTCGATCCTTAATAATGGGAAGGGGCTTCCACTTGTCGCCCTCCGCCTCCTGCACCTCAGTGACTTCCCTGACCAAGGAGGAAGAATTGGCGTGCAGCCTGGGCTTCCCTCAATGGCCACCATTCCGCTGGCACAATGTAGTGCCCTGCCCCGGGCCTCAGTTTCCCCATCTGTGGAACTGAGTGTGGCCTCGACGTCAAAAATGTGGACTCTGGTCCGGTCGCGGTGGCTCACGCCTGTAAGTAATCCCAGCACTTTGGGAGACCAAGGCGGGCCGATCACTTGAGGTCAGGAGTTCGAGACCAGCTTGGCCAACATGGTGAAACCCCCGTCCCTACTAAAAATACAAAAAGTAGCCGGGCGTGGTGGTGTGTGCCTGTAATCCCAGCTACCCGGGAGGCTGAGGCAGGAGAATCACTTGAACCCGAGAGGCAGAGGTTGCAGTGAGCCAGATCGTACCACAGCACTCGAGCCTGGGTGACAGAGCTCAAAAAAAAAGAAAAGAAAAATGTGGACTCTGTGGTCATAGAGCCTGATCTAGAATCCTGGCTCTGCCACTTACTAGTTGGCAGGCGCTTGGGCAAGTCACTGAGCCTCAGTTTCCTCTTCCATTAAATGAGGATATTAGTTCTTGCAAAATAGTGTTGGTGAGATTTACAAGAGATAATAACACCTATATCAGGTGCTTAGCATGGCCATTGAAAAGTGTCACATGGGAGTGCTGATTATATGTTAACTGTTATCTTACCTAGGGATTGTGAGAAAGCAAGTGAAATTACTCGTGGAAGTGAATGGACTGCTTTGAGTCTTCAAGGCGTTAATTTTCCAAACGTTTGAATTCTATCCCTGGTCTGAGAGCTAGGGATGCAGCCTAGCAAGGGAAACAGGTAACTAATATAGAACAGCAGTACCTGCAAATATCTGTCTCTGTGAGGATAGATCAAATCCAGGCTTGGTCACTCACCACCCCTGTGATCTTGGACAACCTCTTAACCTCTCTGGGCTTCAGTTTCATCTGCTAAGTGGGAAAGCAGTGGTGTGTGGTGATTAAAAGCTTCAGCTTTGGAGCTGGATGGTCAACATGGAATCCTGGGCCTTAAACTCAGTGTCTCTGAGACATAGGACAAAGTACAGTCAGCTGTCCATGTTTACAGGTTCCCCATCTACGGATTGAAGCAACTGTGGGTGGTTAATATTTGTGGGGGAAAACAGTAAAAAATAACAGTTCAACAATAAAAATAATACAGATTCCGAAAGCAATACAGCATAGCAATTACTTATATAGCATTTACATTGTATTAAGTATTGTAAGTAATTTAAAGATGATTTTCAATATACTGGAGGATTTGTGTAGGTTAAATGCAAGTATTCTCGCATTTTGTAAGCACCCAATGGTTCTCCTTGCCTGCTTCCTAGACAGAACCAATTTATCAAGACAGGGGAATTGCAATAGAGAAAGTTTAATTCACACAGAGCTGGCTGAACAGGAGACCACAGTTTTATTATTACTCAAATCAGTCTCCCTGGAAATTCAGGGTTTTCAAGGATAATTTGGTGGCTGGAGGTGCTGGGGATTAGAGAGTGTTGATAGGTTGGATCAGAGAGGAAAGGAGTCAAAGCTGTCCTCTTGCACTGAGTCAGATCCTGGGTTAGGACCATAGGACCAGATTAGCCAGATTACAGGGCTGGGTGGCGTCAGCTGGTGCATTAGAACACGGGTTCTGCAAAATATCTCAAGCACTGATTTTAGGTTTTAGAACAGTGATGTTACTCCCGGAAGCAATCTGGGGAGGGTCAGAATCTTGTAGCCTCCAGCTTGCGTGACCTCCTAAACCATAATTTCTAATCTTTTAGCTAATTTGTTAGTCTACAAAGGCAGACCCGTTCCTAGGCAAGGAGGGGATTTGTTTTGGGAAAGGGCTATTATTGCCTTTGTTTCAAAGTTAAACTATAAACTAAGTTCTTTCCAACATTAATTCCACCTATGTCCAGGAATGATCAAGGACAGCTTGGAAGTTAGAAGCAAGATGGAGTCAGGCCAGATCTCTTTCACTATCATAATTTTCTCAGTTATGCTTTTTACAAAGGTGGTTTTGATTTTACATAAGGGACTTGAGCATCGAGAATTTTGGTATCCATGGGGACTAAGGTACCAATCCCTCACAGATACTAAGGGATGACTGAGCTCAAGTTTTCAGCTTCAGTTTGCTCATCTATAAAGCAGGTTTAATAATAACACTTTGTTGATAATGTTATTCTGAAGATTAAAGGAAGAGTAAACGTAAACTACTTAGAAGAGTGTCTCTGGCACATTGTAAGCCCTCAATAAGTGTGAACTAACACCACTAATAAGTTCTTTATAAACTGCCTAATAGGTAGTCAAATAAGAGGGGAAATAAAGCCCTAAGGAGTAATATTTGTGTTTTGTTTGCCCTACATGGTTTTGTGAAATTTTCTATTCATTATCAATATTTAAAGTTGGGGTTTTCAATCTTTGACTGGGCATGATGGCTCATTCCTGTAATTCCAACACTTTGGGAGGCCCAGCTGGGAGGATGGCTTGAGCTCAGAAGTTTGAGATCAGCCATGGCCAACATGGTGAGGCCCCCATCTCTACAAAAAAAATATATACGCGCGCGCGCACACACACACACACACACACACACACGCAAAAATTAGCCAGGCATGGTGGTGAACACCTGTGGTCCCAGCTACTCAAGAGGCTGAGGTGGGAGGACAGCTTGAGCCAAGGAGGAAGAGGTTGCAGTGAGCTGAGATTGCATCACTGCACTCCAGCCTGTGTGACAGAGCCAGACTCTGTCTCAAAAATAAATAAATAAACTTGGGACATTTCACATAAAACCCTACTGTAGCTGACTGCTCTGGAAAAGTGGGGAAGTCTGACGACAGTGGGCCAGCCTTCCCCCATGGCAGCACTTGTTCAGAACTTGGGAGAGACCGTCCCCTTTTGTGAAGCATGTGCTTCCCTGGTGTGTGGAGAGATAAAAGAATAGAAAACGCTGGGAACACCAGCATTTCAAGATCAAAGCGTCAAGAAAAAAAGGTAGAAAGAAAAGAAAGATTCAAGACTGAGGGGGTTGGTCTTTCACTTGAAGACCATAGAAGTGATGGAAGACCAGGAAGAAATGAGAGAAGGTTTGTATTTTAGAAAAAGAACTTGGGTATATCTATTCTTTTCAAACATGCTTGGAACATTTACAGAAATTGATTACTGGGCCACAAAGGAAGCTTCAAGAAATTCTCAAGAATCTATAGGTGACATTCATGAACCACATGCTGTGAAAGTGGCATCAGAGGCACATAGGAATACAGACTTTTGAGAAGGAGGGTGTGGTCAGAATCGTCAATGCTCTGGAGAGGTCGAGTAAGATGCGCCACTGATTTAGAATTTGATGGCCAACAAAGGCCATCTTAATAGAGAGGGGAGGAAGCCAGATCGAACTCCAAGAGTGAAGAGTGGAAGTTGAGGAAGTGGAGAGGGAATGCTGACTGCTCTTTTGGGAAGTATGGCTTCAGAAGGGAAGACTTGAAGACATAGGAGCAGAGATAATAATCCATAAAATAAAAACAGGCAGCCGGGTGCGGTGGCTCACGTCTGTAATCCCAGCACTTTGGCAGGCCGAGGCGGGTGGATCATGAGGTCAGGAGTTCGAGACCAGCCTGGCCAATATGGTAACACCCTGTCTCTACTAAAAATACAAAAATTAGCTGGGCATGGTGGTGCGTGCCTGTAGGCCCAGCTACTTGGGAGGCTGAGGCAGAAGAATCACTTAAACCCAGGAGGCAGAGGTTGCTGTGAGCTGAGATCGAGCCACTGTACTCCAGCCTGGGTGACAGAGTGAGATTCCATCTCAAAAAAAAAAAAAAAAAGAATTTGAGACTAGCCTGGCCAACATAGTGAGACCCCATCTCTACTAAAAATACAAAAAATTAGCCGGGCGTAGTGGCGCACACCTGTAGTCCCAGCTACTCTGGACGCTGAGGCAGGAGAATGTCTTGAACCCAGGAGGTGGAGGTTGCAGTGAGCCGAGACTGTGCCAGTGCACCCCAGCCTGGGCAACAGAGCAAGACTCTGTCTTAAAAAAAAAAAAAAAAACACCAAAAAAAAAACAGACAAAAAGGGATGGGGTCAAAGGTGTATAGCGACAGGATTACTGTTAACCTAGAGAAGAGAAGAGACACTTCTGAAACAGCAGGAAAAGAGGTGAAAGTGGCTAAAAAAAGCTCACTCCTGATGTTTTCCGTTTTCTCCGTAAGGTAGCAAACAGTATCAATCTTTGGCTGAAGAGGGCCTGGCGTGGTGGCTCACACTTGTAATCCCAGCACTTTGGGAGGCTGAGGTGGGAGGATTGCTTGAGATCAGGAGTTCGAGACCAGCCTGGGCAACACAGCAAGACCTCGTCTCTACAAAAAAAAAATTAAAAATTAGCCGAGTGTGGTGGCATGTGTCTGTAGTCCCAGCTACTTGAGAGGTTGAGGTGGGAGGATGGCTTGAGCCTGGGAGGTAGAGCCCAGGAGGTTGAGGCTACAGTTGAGGTTAAGGTTGAGGGATGGTGCCACTGCACACCAGCCTATCCCAAAAAAAGGTTGGGAGGTGCTGAGGAGATGCTAAGGGATTTAAGGGGAATGGATCAAAAGGTTTGGAAGAGACGCTGACGACAATGCAGAGATGAGTTCCTAGCTGAGGTTGAAACCAGAAATGTGTAGAGATGACAGTTGGTTATCTGATCCCTCCCTCAACACCCCCATCCCCATCCTGGGGGCTTCAGAGCAGAAGCTCAGCCTGGATTCATACTGAAGTGGGCCTTAGCTGGGGTTAAGCAACTGATTCATAGAAGGCCAAGTGACGGGAGAATGCTACTGTCAAGTGATCCACTATGGATCTGGCAAAAATAAAAAGAAGGGAAAGTGCTGACAAATTAAAATGGAAGCAGTACAGCAATCAGAGGCCTCTATGAGGTGAATCTCGTTCAGCAGGAACAAGTAGTGAGTAAGGATCGAAGTTCATCATGCAGAGTGGTCCCCCATGGGGTGACAGTCCTGCCTCAGTATGACTCAGAGGACGGCTCATTCCCTAGTGGGCTCTGTGAGTATTTATTGGGCCTTTGAAGTGCCAGACTTTGGACTCTCTATTCCTGGACAGCTCTGATGGTTCAGACTTCTCAAAGCTGACCCTAAAATGCATGAGAGCTATGAGTACATAAATTTGTTGACCACAAGGCGAGGGCCAAGGCCTTGGCTAGAGAGGAAGCTTCGGGAAATAATATGCTGAGGGTGTTGGTCTTTCACCCGAAGACCACAGAAGCTTATGAAAAGTAAGTGATGAGATCAGGCTTGTATTTTAGAAAAAAAAACTTTGGTATATCTATTCTTTACAGAAATTGACTATGTACTGGGCCACAAAGGAAGCTTAAATGAATTCCAA